>NC_000003.12:92838825-93154543 GCF_000001405.40 Homo sapiens | reverse complement strand
CTGTCTAGTTTTTATACGAAGATATTTCCTTTTCCACCAATGGCCTCAAAGTGCTTGAAATCTCCCCTTGCAAATTCCACAGACAAGTGTTTCAAATCTGCACTGTCTAAAGGAAGGTTCAACCCTGTGAGTTGAATACACACACACAGAAAAAAATTCACTGAGAATTCTATTGTCTATCATTACACGAAGAAATCCCGTTTACTACGAAGGCCTCAAAGAGGTCCAAATATCCAGCTGCAGACATTACAAACTGAGTGTTTCCAAAGTGCTCTATGAAAAGAAGTGTTAAACACTGTGAGTTCAATGCACACATCCCAAAGCAGTTTCTGAGAATGATTCCGTCTATTTTTTCTACGAAGATAATTCCTTTTCTGTCGTTGGCCTCAAAGCGCTTGAAATCTCCACTTGCAAATTCCACAAAAAGAGAGTTTCAAATCTGCTCTGTCTAAAGGAAGGTTCAACTCTGTGAGTTGAATACACACCACAAAAAGAAGTTACTGAGAATTCTTCTGTCTAGCATTATATGAAAAATCCCGTTTCCAACGAAGGCCACAAAGAGGTCCAAATATCCATTTGCAGATTCTGCAAAAAGAGTGTTTCCAAACTGCTCTATGAAAAGAAACGTTAAACTCTGTGAGTTGAACGCAAACATCACAAAGTAGTTTCTGAGAATGACTCCGTCTAGTTTTTATACGAAGATATTTCCTTTCCTACCATTCACTTCAAAGCGCTTGAAGTCTCCCCCTGAAAATTCCACAAAAAGTGTTTCCAATCTGCTCCGCCTAAAGGAAGCTTCAACTCTGTGACTTGAATACCCACAACCCAAAGAAGTTACTGAGAATTCTTCTGTCTAGCATTATATGAAGAAATCCCGTTTCCAACGAAGGCCTCAAATACATCCAAATATCCAGTTGCTGACTTTGCAAACTGAGTGTTTCCAAACTGCTCTATGAAAAGAAAGGTTAAACACTGTGAGTTGAACACACACGTACCAAAGTAGTTTCTGAGAATGATTCTGTCTAGTTTGCATACGAAGATATTTCCTTTTCTACCAGTGGCCTCAAAGCTCTGAAATCTCCACTTGCAAATTCCACAAAAAGAGAGTTTCAAATCTGCTGTTTCTAAAGGAAAGTTCAACTCTGAGAGTTGAATACACACCAGAAAAAGCAGTTACTGAGAAGTCTTCTGTCTAGCATTATATGAAGAAATCCCATTTCCAACGAAGACTTCAAAGAGGTCCAAATATCCACTTGCAGATTCTGCAAAAAGAGTGTTTCGAAACAACTGTATGAAAAGAAAGGTTAAACACTGTGAGTTGAACGCACACATTGCAAAGCAGTTTCTGAGAATGATTCCGTCTAATTATTATACGAAGGTATTTCCTTTTCTATCATTGGCCTCAAAGCGCTTGATACCTCCACGTGAAAATTCCACAAAAAGAGTGTTTCCAATCTACTCTGTCTAAAGGAACGTTCAACTCTGTGAGTTGAATACACACACACAGAAAGAATTCACTGAGAATTCTTCTGTCTGGCATTACATGAAGAAATCCCGTTTCCAACGAAGGCCTCAAAGAGGTCCAAATATCCACTTGCAGATTCTGCAAAAAGAGTGTTTCAAAACCGCTCCATTAAAAGGAATGTTGAACTCTGTGAGTTGAATGCAAACATCACAACTCAGTTGCTGAGAATGCTTCTGACTAGATTTTATGGTAAGATATTTCCTTTTCTACCGTAGGCTTCAATGCCCTCTAAATACACCCTTGCAAATTCTACAAAGAGACTGTTTCATAACTGCTCTACAGGAAGAAAGGTTCAACTCTGTGAGTTGAATGCAGAGATCACAACGTGGTTTCTGCGAATGATTCTTTGTAGTTTTTACATGAAGATATTTCGTTGTCAACCGTAGGCTTCAAAGCACTCAAAGTATTCACTTGGAACTTTTACAAAAAGAGTGTTAGAAAACTGCTCTTTCCAAAGTAAGGTTCAACTCTGTGAGTTGAATGCACACATAACAATCAAGAAGTTTCTGAGAATTCTTCTGTCCTGGTTTATATGAACAAATCCCGTTTCCAACGAAGGCCTCAAAGACGTTTAAATATCCACTTGCAGACTTCACAAACAGAGGGTTTCCAAACTGCTCTATGAAAAGAAAGGTTAAACTCTGTGAGTTGAACTGCACACATCACAAAGTAGCTTCTGAGAATGATTACTGTCTAGTTTTTATACGAAGCATATTTCCTTTCTACCATTGGCGTCAAAGCGCTAGAATTCTCCACTTGCAAATTCCACAAAAAGAGTGTTTCCAATCTGCTCTGTCTAAAGGAAGGTTCAACTCTGTGAGTTGAATACACACACACAAAGAAGCTACTGAGAATTCTTTTGTCAAGAATTATAAGAAGAAATCCCGTTTCCAACGAAGGCCTCAAAGAGTTCCAAATATCCACTTGCACACTGCACAAACTAAGTCTTTCCAAACTGCTCTATGCAAAGAAATGTTCAACTCTGTGAGTTTAATACACACATCACAAAGCAGTTTCTGAGAATGATACTGTCTAGTTTTTATACGAAGATATTTCCTTTTGTACCATTGGCCTCATACTGCTAGAATTTTCCACTTGCAAATTCCACAAAAAGAGTGTTTCCAATCCGCTCTGTCTAAAGGAAGGTTCAACTCTCTGATTTGAATACATACATCCCAAAAGAAGTTACTGAGAATTCTTCTGTCTAGCATTATGTGAAGAAATCCCGTTTCCAACGAAAGCCTCAAAGAGGTCCAAATATCCAGTTGCAGAATTTACAAACTGACTGTTTCCAAACTCATCTATGAAAAGAAAGGTTAAACCCTGTGAGTTGAATGCACATATCACAAAGTAGTTCCTGAGAATGATTCTGTCTAGTTTTTATACTAAGATATTTCCTTTTCCACCAATGGCCTCAAAGTGCTTGAAATCTCCCCTTGCAAATTCCACAGAAAAGTGTTTCAAATCTGCACTGTCTGAAGGAAGGTTCAACCCTGTGAGTTGAATACACACACACAGAAAAAAATTCACTGAGAATTCTATTGTCTATCATTACACGAAGAAATCCCGTTTACTACGAAGGCCTCAAAGAGGTCCAAATATCCAGCTGCAGACATTTCAAACTGAGTGTTTCCAAAGTGCTCTATGAAAAGAAGTGTTAAACACTGTGAGTTCAATGCACACATCCCAAAGCAGTTTCTGAGAATGATTCCGTCTATTTTTTCTACGAAGATAGTTTCCTTTTCTGCCGTTGGCCTCAAAGCGCTTGAAATCTCCACTTGCAAATTCCACAAAAAGAGAGTTTCAAATCTGCTCTGTCTAAAGGAAGGTTCAACTCTGTGAGTTGAATACACACCACAAAAAGAAGTTACTGAGAATTCTTCTGTCTAGCATTATATGAAAAATCCCGTTTCCAACGAAGGCCACAAAGAGGTCCAAATATCCACTTGCAGATTCTGCAAAAAGAGTGTTTCCAAACTGCTCTATGAAAAGAAACGTTAAACTCTGTGAGTTGAACGCAAACATCACAAAGTAGTTTCTGAGAATGACTCCGTCTAGTTTTTATACGAAGATATTTCCTTTTCTACCGTTGGCTTCAGAGCGCTTGAAGTCTCCCCCTGAAAATTCCACAAAAAGTGTTTCCAATCTGCTCCGCCTAAAGGAAGCTTCAACTCTGTGAGTTGAATACCCACAACCCAAAGAAGTTACTGAGAATTCTTCTGTCTAGCATTACATGAAGAAATCCCGTTTCCAACGAAGGCCTCAAATACATCCAGATATCCAGTTGCTGACTTTACAAACTGAGTGTTTCCAAACTGCTCTATGAAAGGAAAGGTTAAACACTGTGAGTTGAACACACACGTACCAAAGTAGTTTCTGAGAATGATTCTGTCTCGTTTGCATACGAAGATATTTCCTTTTCTACCATTGGCCTCAAAGCTTTGAAATCTCCACTTGCAAATTCCACAAAAAGAGAGTTTCAAATCTGCTGTTTCTAAAGGAAAGTTCAACTCTGAGAGTTGAATACACACCAGAAAATGCAGTTACTGAGAAGTCTTCTGTCTAGCATTATATGAAGAAATCCCATTTCCAATGAAGACTTCAAAGAGGTCCAAATATCCACTTGCAGATTCTGCAAAAAGAGTGTTTCGAAACAACTGTATGAAAAGAAAGGTTAAACACTGTGAGTTGAACGCACACATTGCAAAGCAGTTTCTGAGAATGATTCCGTCTAATTATTATACGAAGGTATTTCCTTTTCTATCATTGGCCTCAAAGCGCTTGATACCTCCACCTGAAAATTCCACAAAAACAGTGTTTCCAATCTACTCTGTCTAAAGGAACGTTCAACTCTGTGAGTTGAATACACACACACAGAAAGAATTCACTGAGAATTCTTCTGTCTGGCATTACATGAAGAAATCCCGTTTCCAACGAAGGCCTCAAAGAGGTCCAAATATCCACTTGCAGATTCTGCAAAAAGAGTGTTTCAAAACCGCTCCATTAAAAGGAATGTTGAACTCTGTGAGTTGAATGCAAACATCACAACTCAGTTGCTGAGAATGCTTCTGACTAGATTTTATGGTAAGATATTTCCTTTTCTACCGTAGGCTTCAATGCCCTCTAAATACACCCTTGCAAATTCTACAAAGAGACTGTTTCATAACTGCTCTATAGGAAGAAAGGTTGAACTCTGTGAGTTGAATGCAGAGATCACAACGTGGTTTCTGCGAATGATTCTTTGTAGTTTTTACATGAAGATATTTCGTTGTCAACCGTAGGCTTCAAAGCACTCAAAGTATTCACTTGGAACTTTTACAAAAAGAGTGTTAGAAAACTGCTCTTTCCAAAGTAAGGTTCAACTCTGTGAGTTGAATGCACACATAACAATCAAGAAGTTTCTGAGAATTCTTCTGTCCTGGTTTATATGAAAAAATCCCGTTTCCAACGAAGGCCTCAAAGACGTTTAAATATCCACTTGCAGACTTCACAAACAGAGGGTTTCCAAACTGCTCTATGAAAAGAAAGGTTAAACTCTGTGAGTTGAACGCACACATCACAAAGTAGCTTCTGAGAATGATACTGTCTAGTTTTTATACGAAGATATTTCCTTTCTACCATTGGCGTCAAAGCGCTAGAATTCTCCACTTGCAAATTCCACAAAAAGAGTGTTTCCAATCTGCTCTGTCTAAAGGAAGGTTCAACTCTGTGAGTTGAATACACACACACAAAGAAGCTACTGAGAATTCTTTTGTCAAGAATTATAAGAAGAAATCCCGTTTCCAACGAAGGCCTCAAAGAGTTCCAAATATCCACTTGCACACTGCACAAACTAAGTCTTTCCAAACTGCTCTATGCAAAGAAATGTTCAACTCTGTGAGTTTAATACACACATCACAAAGCAGTTTCTGAGAATGATACTGTCTAGTTTTTATACGAAGATATTTCCTTTTGTACCATTGGCCTCATACTGCTAGAATTTTCCACTTGCAAATTCCACAAAAAGAGTGTTTCCAATCCGCTCTGTCTAAAGGAAGGTTCAACTCTCTGATTTGAATACATACATCCCAAAAGAAGTTACTGAGAATTCTTCTGTCTAGCATTATGTGAAGAAATCCCGTTTCCAACGAAAGCCTCAAAGAGGTCCAAATATCCCAGTTGCAGAATTTACAAACTGACTGTTTCCAAACTCATCTATGAAAAGAAAGGTTAAACTCTGTGAGTTGAATGCACATATCACAAAGTAGTTCCTGAGAATGATTCTGTCTAGTTTTTATACGAAGATATTTCCTTTTCCACCAATGGCCTCAAAGTGCTTGAAATCTCCCCTTGCAAATTCCACAGACAAGTGTTTCAAATCTGCACTGTCTAAAGGAAGGTTCAACCCTGTGAGTTGAATACACACACACAGAAAAAAATTCACTGAGAATTCTATTGTCTATCATTACACGAAGTAAATCCCGTTTACTACGAAGGCCTCAAAGAGGTCCAAATATCCAGCTGCAGACATTACAAACTGAGTGTTTCCAAAGTGCTCTATGAAAAGAAGTGTTAAACACTGTGAGTTCAATGCACACATCCCAAAGCAGTTTCTGAGAATGATTCCGTCTATTTTTTCTACGAAGATATTTCCTTTTCTGCCGTTGGCCTCAAAGCGCTTGAAATCTCCACTTGCAAATTCCACAAAAAGAGAGTTTCAAATCTGCTCTGTCTAAAGGAAGGTTCAACTCTGTGAGTTGAATACACACCACAAAAAGAAGTTACTGAGAATTCTTCTGTCTAGCATTATATGAAAAATCCCGTTTCCAACGAAGGCCACAAAGAGGTCCAAATATCCACTTGCAGATTCTGCAAAAAGAGTGTTTCCAAACTGCTCTATGAAAAGAAACGTTAAACTCTGTGAGTTGAATGCAAACATCACAAAGTAGTTTCTGAGAATGACTCCGTCTAGTTTTTATACGAAGATATTTCCTTTCCTACCATTCACTTCAAAGCGCTTGAAGTCTCCCCCTGAAAATTCCACAAAAAGTGTTTCCAATCTGCTCCGCCTAAAGGAAGCTTCAACTCTGTGACTTGAATACCCACAACCCAAAGAAGTTACTGAGAATTCTTCTGTCTAGCATTATATGAAGAAATCCCGGTTTCCAACGAAGGCCTCAAATACATCCAAATATCCAGTTGCTGACTTTACAAACTGAGTGTTTCCAAACTGCTCTATGAAAAGAAAGGTTAAACACTCTGAGTTGAACACACACGTACCAAAGTAGTTTCTGAGAATGATTCTGTCTAGTTTGCATACGAAGATATTTCCTTTTCTACCATTGGCCTCAAAGCTCTGAAATCTCCACTTGCAAATTCCACAAAAAGAGAGTTTCAAATCTGCTGTTTCTAAAGGAAAGTTCAACTCTGAGAGTTGAATACACACCAGAAAAAGCAGTTACTGAGAAGTCTTCTGTCTAGCATTATATGAAGAAATCCCATTTCCAAAGAAGACTTCAAACAGGTCCAAATATCCACTTGCAGATTCCGCAAAAAGAGTGTTTCGAAACAACTGTATGAAAAGAAAGGTTAAACACTGTGAGTTGAACGCACCCATTGCAAAGCATTTTCTGAGAATGATTCCGTCTAATTATTATACGAAGGTATTTCCTTTTCTATCATGGGCCTCAAAGCGCTTGATACCTCCACCTGAAAATTCCACAAAAAGAGTGTTTCCAATCTACTCTGTCTAAAGGAACGTTCAACTCTGTGAGTTGAATACACACACACAGAAAGAATTCACTGAGAATTCTTCTGTCTGGCATTACATGAAGAAATCCCGTTTTCAACGAAGGCCTCAAAGAGGTCCAAATATCCACTTGCAGATTCTGCAAAAAGAGTGTTTCAAAACCGCTCCATGAAAAGGAATGTTGAACTCTGTGAGTTGAATGCAAACATCACAACTCAGTTTCTGAGAATGCTTCTGACTAGATTTTATGGTAAGATATTTCCTTTTCTACCGTAGGCTTCAATGCCCTCTAAATACACCCTTGCAAATTCTACAAAGAGACTGTTTCATAACTGCTCTATAGGAAGAAAGGTTCAACTCTGTGAGTTGAATGCAGAGATCACAACGTGGTTTCTGCGATTGATTCTTTGTAGTTTTTACATGAAGATATTTCGTTGTCAACCGTAGGCTTCAAAGCACTCAAAGTATTCACTTGGAACTTTTACAAAAAGAGTGTTAGAAAACTGCTCTTTCCAAAGTAAGGTTCAACTCTGTGAGTTGAATGCACACATAACAATCAAGAAGTTTCTGAGAATTCTTCTGTCCTGGTTTATATAAAGAAATCCCGTTTCCAACGAAGGCCTCAAAGACGTTTAAATATCCACTTGCAGACTTCACAAACAGAGTGTTTCCAAACTGCTCTATGAAAAGAAAGGGTAAACACTGTGAGTTGAACGCACACATCACAAAGTAGTTTCTGAGAATGATACTGTCTAGTTTTTATAAGAAGATATTTCCTTTTGTACCATTGGCCTCAAATCGCTAGAATTCTCCACTTGCAAATTCCACAAAAAGAGTGTTTCCAATCTGCTCTGTCTAAAGGAAGGTTCAACTCTGTGAGTTGAATACACACACACACAAAGAAGCTACTGAGAATTCTTTTGTCAAGAATTATAAGAAGAAATCCCATTTCCAACGAAGGTCTCAAAAAGTTCCAAATATCCACTTGCAGACTGTACAAACTAAGTCTTTCCAAACTGCTCTATGAAAAGAAATGTTCAGCTCTGTGAGTTTAATGCACACATCACAAAGCAGTTTCTGAGAATGATTCCGTCTAGTTTTTATACGAACATAGCCTTTTCTACCATTGGCCTCAAAGCTCTTGAAATCTCCACCTGAAAATTCTGCAAAAAGCGTGTTTCCAATCTGCTCTGTCTAAAGGAAGGTTCAACTCTCTGAGTTAAATACACACAACCCATAAGAAGTTACTGAGAATTCTTCTGTCTAGCATTATGTGAAGAAATCCCGTTTCCAACGAAAGCCTCAAAGAGGTCCAAATATCCAGTTGCAGAATTTACAATCTGACTGTTTCTAAACTCATCTATGAAAAGAAAGGTTAAACTGTGAGTTGAATGCACGTATCACAAAGTAGTTCCTGAGAATGATTCTGTCTAGTTTTCATACGAAGATATTTCCTTTTCCACCAATGGCCTCAAAGTGCTTGAAATCTCCCCTTGCAAATTCCACAGACAAGTGTTTCAAATCTGCACTGTCTAAAGGAAGGTTCAACCCTGTGAGTTGAATACACACACACAGAAAAAAATTCACTGAGAATTCTATTGTCTATCATTACACGAAGAAATCCCGTTTACTACGAAGGCCTCAAAGAGGTCCAAATATCCAGCTGCAGACATTACAAACTGAGTGTTTCCAAAGTGCTCTATGAAAAGAAGTGTTAAACACTGTGAGTTCAATGCACACATCCCAAAGCAGTTTCTGAGAATGATTCCGTCTATTTTTTCTACGAAGATATTTCCTTTTCTGCCGTTGGCCTCAAAGCGCTTGAAATCTCCACTTGCAAATTCCACAAAAAGAGAGTTTCAAATCTGCTCTGTCTAAAGGAAGGTTCAACTCTGTGAGTTGAATACACATCACAAAAAGAAGTTACTGAGAATTCTTCTGTCTAGCATTATATGAAAAATCCCGTTTCCAACGAAGGCCACAAAGAGGTCCAAATATCCACTTGCAGATTCTGCAAAAAGAGTGTTTCCAAACTGCTCTATGAAAAGAAACGTTAAACTCTGTGAGTTGAACGCAAACATCACAAAGTAGTTTCTGAGAATGACTCCGTCTAGTTTTTATACGAAGATATTTCCTTTCCTACCATTCACTTCAAAGCGCTTGAAGTCTCCCCCTGAAAATTCCACAAAAAGTGTTTCCAATCTGCTCCGCCTAAAGGAAGCTTCAACTCTGTGAGTTGAATACCCACAACCCAAAGAAGTTACTGAGAATTCTTCTGTCTAGCATTATATGAAGAAATCCCGTTTCCAACGAAGGCCTCAAATACATCCAGATATCCAGTTGCTGACTTTACAAACTGAGTGTTTCCAAACTGCTCTATGAAAAGAAAGGTTAAACACTGTGAGTTGAACACACACGTACCAAAGTAGTTTCTGAGAATGATTCTGTCTAGTTTGCATACGAAGATATTTCCTTTTCTACCATTGGCCTCAAAGCTTTGAAATCTCCACTTGCAAATTCCACAAAAAGAGAGTTTCAAATCTGCTGTTTCTAAAGGAAAGTTCAACTCTGAGAGTTGAATACACACCAGAAAAAGCAGTTACTGAGAAGTCTTCTGTCTAGCATTATATGAAGAAATCCCATTTCCAACGAAGACTTCAAAGAGGTCCAAATATCCACTTGCAGATTCTGCAAAAAGAGTGTTTCGAAACAACTGTATGAAAAGAAAGGTTAAACGCTGTGAGTTGAACGCACACATTGCAAAGCAGTTTCTGAGAATGATTCCGTCTAATTATTATACGAAGGTATTTCCTTTTCTATCATGGGCCGCAAAGCGCTTGATACCTCCACCTGAAAATTCCACAAAAAGAGTGTTTCCAATCTACTCTATCTAAAGGAACGTTCAACTCTGTGAGTTGAATACACACACACAGAAAGAATTCACTGAGAGTTCTTCTGTCTGGCATTACATGAAGAAATCCCGTTTCCAACGAAGGCCTCAAAGAGGTCCAAATATCCACTTGCAGATTCTGCAAAAAGAGTGTTTCAAAACCGCTCCATTAAAAGGAATGTTGAACTCTGTGAGTTGAATGCAAACATCACAACTCAGTTGCTGAGAATGCTTCTGACTAGATTTTATGGTAAGATATTTCCTTTTCTACCGTAGGCTTCAATGCCCTCTAAATACACCCTTGCAAATTCTACAAAGAGACTGTTTCATAACTGCTCTATAGGAAGAAAGGTTCAACTCTGTGAGTTGAATGCAGAGATCACAACGTGGTTTCTGCGAATGATTCTTTGTAGTTTTTACATGAAGATATTTCGTTGTCAACCGTAGGCTTCAAAGCACTCAATGTATTCACTTGGAACTTTTACAAAAAGAGTGTTAGAAAACTGCTCTTTCCAAAGTAAGGTTCAACTCTGTGAGTTGAATGCACACATAACAATCAAGAAGTTTCTGAGAATTCTTCTGTCCTGGTTTATATGAAAAAATCCCGTTTCCAACAAAGGCCTCAAAGACGTTTAAATATCCACTTGCAGACTTCACAAACAGAGTGTTTCCAAACTGCTCTATGAAAAGAAAGGTTAAACTCTGTGAGTTGAACGCACACATCACAAAGTAGCTTCTGAGAATGATACTGTCTAGTTTTTATACGAAGATATTTCCTTTCTACCATTGGCGTCAAAGCGCTAGAATTCTCCACTTGCAAATTCCACAAAAAGAGTGTTTCCAATCTGCTCTGTCTAAAGGAAGGTTCAACTCTGTGAGTTGAATACACACACACAAAGAAGCTACTGAGAATTCTTTTGTCAAGAATTATAAGAAGAAATCCCGTTTCCAACGAAGGCCTCAAAGAGTTCCAAATATCCACTTGCACACTGCACAAACTAAGTCTTTCCAAACTGCTCTATGCAAAGAAATGTTCAACTCTGTGAGTTTAATACACACATCACAAAGCAGTTTCTGAGAATGATACTGTCTAGTTTTTATACGAAGATATTTCCTTTTGTACCATTGGCCTCATACTGCTAGAATTTTCCACTTGCAAATTCCACAAAAAGAGTGTTTCCAATCCGCTCTGTCTAAAGGAAGGTTCAACTCTCTGATTTGAATACATACATCCCAAAAGAAGTTACTGAGAATTCTTCTGTCTAGCATTATGTGAAGAAATCCCGTTTCCAACGAAAGCCTCAAAGAGGTCCAAATATCCAGTTGCAGAATTTACAAACTGACTGTTTCCAAACTCATCTATGAAAAGAAAGGTTAAACTCTGTGAGTTGAATGCACATATCACAAAGTAGTTCCTGAGAATGATTCTGTCTAGTTTTCATACGAAGATATTTCCTTTTCCACCAATGGCCTCAAAGTGCTTGAAATCTCCCCTTGCAAATTCCACAGACAAGTGTTTCAAATCTGCACTGTCTAAAGGAAGGTTCAACCCTGTGAGTTGAATACACACACACAGAAAAAATTCACTGAGAATTCTATTGTCTATCATTACACGAAGAAATCCCGTTTACTACGAAGGCCTCAAAGAGGTCCAAATATCCAGCTGCAGACATTACAAACTGAGTGTTTCCAAAGTGCTCTATGAAAAGAAGTGTTAAACACTGTGAGTTCAATGCACACATCCCAAAGCAGTTTCTCAGAATGATTCCGTCTATTTTTTCTACGAAGATATTTCCTTTTCTACCGTTGGCCTCAAAGCGTTTGAAATCTCCACTTGCAAATTCCACGAAAAGAGAGTTTCAAATCTGCTCTGTCTAAAGGAAGGTTCAACTCTGTGAGTTGAATACACACCACAAAAGGAAGTTACTGAGAATTCTTCTGTCTAGCATTATATGAAAAATCCCGTTTCCAACGAAGGCCACAAAGAGGTCCAAATATCCACTTGCAGATTCTGCAAAAAGAGTGTTTCCAAACTGCTCTATGAAAAGAAACGTTAAACTCTGTGAGTTGAACGCAAACATCACAAAGTAGTTTCTGAGAATGACTCCGTCTAGTTTTTATACGAAGATATTTCCTTTCCTACCATTCACTTCAAAGCGCTTGAAGTCTCCCCCTGAAAATTCCACAAAAAGTGTTTCCAATCTGCTCCGCCTAAAGGAAGCTTCAACTCTGTGAGTTGAATACCCACAACCCAAAGAAGTTACTGAGAATTCTTCTGTCTAGCATTATATGAAGAAATCCCGTTTCCAACGAAGGCCTCAAATACATCCAAATATCCAGTTGCTGACTTTACAAACAGTGTTTCCAAACTGCTCTATGAAAAGAAAGGTTAAACACTGTGAGTTGAACACACACGTACCAAAGTAGTTTCTGAGAATGATTCTGTCTAGTTTGCATACGAAGATATTTCCTTTTCTACCATTGGCCTCAAAGCTCTGAAATCTCCACTTGCAAATTCCACAAAAAGAGAGTTTCAAATCTGCTGTTTCTAAAGGAAAGTTCAACTCTGAGAGTTGAATACACACCAGAAAAAGCAGTTACTGAGAAGTCTTCTGTCTAGCATTATATGAAGAAATCCCATTTCCAACGAAGACTTCAAAGAGGTCCAAATATCCACTTGCAGATTCTGCAAAAAGAGTGTTTCGAAACAACTGTATGAAAAGAAAGGTTAAACACTGTGAGTTGAACGCACACATTGCAAAGCAGTTTCTGAGAATGATTCCGTCTAATTATTATACGAAGGTATTTCCTTTTCTATCATTGGTCTCAAAGCGCTTGATACCTCCACCTGAAAATTCCACAAAAAGAGTGTTTCCAATCTACTCTGTCTAAAGGAACGTTCAACTCTGTGAGTTGAATACACACACACAGAAAGAATTCACTGAGAATTCTTCTGTCTGGCATTACATGAAGAAATCCCGTTTCCAACGAAGGCCTCAAAGAGGTCCAAATATCCACTTGCAGATTCTGCAAAAAGAGTGTTTCAAAACCGCTCCATTAAAAGGAATGTTGAACTCTGTGAGTTGAATGCAAACATCACAACTCAGTTTCTGAGAATGCTTCTGACTAGATTTTATGGTAAGATATTTCCTTTTCTACCGTAGGCTTCAATGCCCTCTAAATACACCCTTGCAAATTCTACAAAGAGACTGCTTCATAACTGCTCTATAGGAGGAAAGGTTCAACTCTGTGAGTTGAATGCAGAGATCACAACGTGGTTTCTGCGAATGATTCTTTGTAGTTTTTACATGAAGATATTTCGTTGTCTACCGTAGGCTTCAAAGCACTCAAAGTATTCACTTGGAACTTTCACAAAAAGAGTGTTAGAAAACTGCTCTTTCCAAAGTAAGGTTCAACTCTGTGAGTTGAATGCACACATAACAAACAAGAAGTTTCTGAGAATTCTTCTGTCCTGGTTTATATGAAGAAATCCCGTTTCCAACGAAGGCCTCAAAGACGTTTAAATATCCACTTGCAGACTTCACAAACAGAGTGTTTCCAAACTGCTCTATGAAAAGAAAGGGTAAACACTGTGAGTTGAACGCACACCTCACAAAGTAGTTTCTGAGAATGATACTGTCTAGTTTTTATACGAAGATATTTCCTTTTGTACCATTGGCCTCATACTGCTAGAATTTTCCACTTGCAAATTCCACAAAAAGAGTGTTTCCAATCTGCTCTGTCTAAAGGAAGGTTCAACTCTGTGAGTTGAGTACACACACACAAAGAAGCTACTGAGAATTCTTTTGTCAAGAATTATAAGAAGAAATCCCGTTTCCAACGAAGGCCTCAAAGAGTTCCAAATATCCACTTGCACACTGCACAAACTAAGTCTTTCCAAACTGCTCTATGCAAAGAAATGTTCAACTCTGTGAGTTTAATACACACATCACAAAGCAGTTTCTGAGAATGATACTGTCTAGTTTCTATACGAAGATATTTCCTTTTGTACCATTGGCCTCATACTGCTAGAATTTTCCACTTGCAAATTCCACAAAAAGAGTGTTTCCAATCCGCTCTGTCTAAAGGAAGGTTCAACTCTCTGATTTGAATACATACATCCCAAAAGAAGTTACTGAGAAATCTTCTGTCTAGCATTATGTGAAGAAATCCCGTTTCCAACGAAAGCCTCAAAGAGGTCCAAATATCCAGTTGCAGAATTTACAAACTGACTGTTTCCAAACTCATCTATGAAAAGAAAGGTTAAACTCTGGGAGTTGAATGCACATATCACAAAGTAGTTCCTGAGAATGATTCTGTCTAGTTTTCATACGAAGTATATTTCCTTTTCCACCAATGGCCTCAAAGTGCTTGAAATCTCCCCTTGCAAATTCCACAGACAAGTGTTTCAAATCTGCACTGTCTAAAGGATGGTTCAACCCTGTGAGTTGAATACACACACACAGAAAAAAATTCACTGAGAATTCTATTGTCTATCATTACACGAAGAAATCCCGTTTACTACGAAGGCCTCAAAGAGGTCCAAATATCCAGCTGCAGACATTACAAACTGAGTGTTTCCAAAGTGCTCTATGAAAAGAAGTGTTAAACACTGTGAGTTCAATGCACACATCCCAAAGCAGTTTCTGAGAATGATTCCGTCTATTTTTTCTACGAAGATATTTCCTTTTCTGCCGTTGGCCTCAAAGCGCTTGAAATCTCCACTTGCAAATTCCACAAAAAGAGAGTTTCAAATCTGCTCTGTCTAAAGGAAGGTTCAACTCTGTGAGTTGAATACACACCACAAAAAGAAGTTACTGAGAATTCTTCTGTCTAGCATTATATGAAAAATCCCGTTTCCAACGAAGGCCACAAAGAGGTCCAAATATCCACTTGCAGATTCTGCAAAAAGAGTGTTTCCAAACTGCTCTATGAAAAGAAACGTTAAACTCTGTGAGTTGAACGCAAACATCACAAAGTAGTTTCTGAGAATGACTCCGTCTAGTTTTTATACGAAGATATTTCCTTTTCTACCGTTGGCCTCAAAGCGCTTGAAGTCTCCCCCTGAAAATTCCACAAAAAGTGTTTCCAATCTGCTCCGCCTAAAGGAAGCTTCAACTCTGTGAGTTGAATACCCACAACACAAAGAAGTTACTGAGAATTCTTCTGTCTAGCATTATATGAAGAAATCCCGTTTCCAACGAAGGCCTCAAATACATCCAAATATCCAGTGGCTGACTTTACAAACTGAGTGTTTCCAAACTGCTCTATGAAAGGAAAGGTTAAACACTGTGAGTTGAACACACACGTACCAAAGTAGTTTCTGAGAATGATTCTGTCTAGTTTGCATACAAAGATATTTCCTTTTCTACCACTGGCCTCAAAGCTTTGAAATCTCCACTTGCAAATTCCACAAAAAGAGAGTTTCAAATCTGCTGTTCCTAAAGGAAAGTTCAACTCTGAGAGTTGAATACACACCAGAAAAAGCAGTTACTGAGAAGTCTTCTGTCTAGCATTATATGAAGAAATCCCATTTCCAACGAAGACTTCAAAGAGGTCCAAATATCCACTTGCAGATTCTGCAAAAAGAGTGTTTCGAAACAACTGTATGAAAAGAAAGGTTAAACACTGTGAGTTGAACGCACACATTGCAAAGCGGTTTCTGAGAATGATTCCGTCTAATTATTATACGAAGGTATTTCCTTTTCTATCATTGGCCTCAAAGCGCTTGATACCTCCACCTGAAAATTCCACAAAAAGAGTGTTTCCAATCTACTCTGTCTAAAGGAACGTTCAACTCTGTGAGTTGAATACACACACACAGAAAGAATTCACTGAGAATTCTTCTGTCTGGCATTACATGAAGAAATCCCGTTTCCAACGAAGGCCTCAAAGAGGTCCAAATATCCACTTGCAGATTCTGCAAAAAGAGTGTTTCAAAACCGCTCCATGAAAAGGAATGTTGAACTCTGTGAGTTGAATGCAAACATCACAACTCAGTTGCTGAGAATGCTTCTGACTAGATTTTATGGTAAGATATTTCCTTTTCTACCGTAGGCTTCAATGCCCTCTAAATACACCCTTGCAAATTCTACAAAGAGACTGTTTCATAACTGCTCTATAGGAAGAAAGGTTGAACTCTGTGAGTTGAATGCAGAGATCACAACGTGGTTTCTGCGAATGATTCTTTGTAGTTTTTACATGAAGATATTTCGTTGTCAACCGTAGGCTTCAAAGCACTCAAAGTATTCACTTGGAACTTTTACAAAAAGAGTGTTAGAAAACTGCTCTTTCCAAAGTAAGGTTCAACTCTGTGAGTTGAATGCACACATAACAATCAAGAAGTTTCTGAGAATTCTTCTGTCCTGGTTTATATGAAAAAATCCCGTTTCCAACGAAGGCCTCAAAGACGTTTAAATATCCACTTGCAGACTTCACAAACAGAGGGTTTCCAAACTGCTCTATGAAAAGAAAGGTTAAACTCTGTGAGTTGAACGCACACATCACAAAGTAGCTTCTGAGAATGATACTGTCTAGTTTTTATACGAAGATATTTCCTTTCTACCATTGGCGTCAAAGCGCTAGAATTCTCCACTTGCAAATTCCACAAAAAGAGTGTTTCCAATCTGCTCTGTCTAAAGGAAGGTTCAACTCTGTGAGTTGAATACACACACACAAAGAAGCTACTGAGAATTCATTTGTCAAGAATTATAAGAAGAAATCCCGTTTCCAACGAAGGCCTCAAAGAGTTCCAAATATCCACTTGCACACTGCACAAACTAAGTCTTTCCAAACTGCTCTATGCAAAGAAATGTTCAACTCTGTGAGTTTAATACACACATCACAAAGCAGTTTCTGAGAATGATACTGTCTAGTTTTTATACGAAGATATTTCCTTTTGTACCATTGGCCTCATACTGCTAGAATTTTCCACTTGCAAATTCCACAAAAAGAGTGTTTCCAATCCGCTCTGTCTAAAGGAAGGTTCAACTCTCTGATTTGAATACATACATCCCAAAAGAAGTTACTGAGAATTCTTCTGTCTAGCATTATGTGAAGAAATCCCGTTTCCAACGAAAGCCTCAAAGAGGTCCAAATATCCAGTTGCAGAATTTACAAACTGACTGTTTCCAAACTCATCTATGAAAAGAAAGGTTAAACTCTGGGAGTTGAATGCACATATCACAAAGTAGTTCCTGAGAATGATTCTGTCTAGTTTTTATACGAAGATATTTCCTTTTCCACCAATGGCCTCAAAGTGCTTGAAATCTCCCCTTGCAAATTCCACAGACAAGTGTTTCAAATCTGCACTGTCTAAAGGAAGGTTCAACCCTGTGAGTTGAATACACACACACAGAAACAAATTCACTGAGAATTCTATTGTCTATCATTACACGAAGAAATCCCGTTTACTACGAAGGCCTCAAAGAGGTCCAAATATCCAGCTGCAGACATTACAAACTGAGTGTTTCCAAAGTGCTCTATGAAAAGAAGTGTTAAACACTGTGAGTTCAATGCACACATCCCAAAGCAGTTTCTGAGAATGATTCTGTCTATTTTTTCTACGAAGATATTTCCTTTTCTGCCGTTGGCCTCAAAGCGCTTGAAATCTCCACTTGCAAATTCCACAAAAAGAGATTTTCAAATCTGCTCTGTCTAAAGGAAGGTTCAACTCTGTGAGTTGAATACACACCACAAAAAGAAGTTACTGAGAATTCTTCTGTCTAGCATTATATGAAAAATCCCGTTTCCAACGAAGGCCACAAAGAGGTCCAAATATCCACTTGCAGATTCTGCAAAAAGAGTGTTTCCAAACTGCTCTATGAAAAGAAACGTTAAACTCTGTGAGTTGAACGCAAACATCACAAAGTAGTTTCTGAGAATGACTCCGTCTAGTTTTTATACGAAGATATTTCCTTTCCTACCATTCACTTCAAAGCGCTTGAAGTCTCCCCCTGAAAATTCCACAAAAAGTGTTTCCAATCTGCTCCGCCTAAAGGAAGCTTCAACTCTGTGACTTGAATACCCACAACCCAAAGAAGTTACTGAGAATTCTTCTGTCTAGCATTATATGAAGAAATCCCGTTTCCAACGAAGGCCTCAAATACATCCAAATATCCAGTTGCTGACTTTACAAACTGAGTGTTTCCAAACTGCTCTATGAAAAGAAAGGTTAAACACTGTGAGTTGAACACACACGTACCAAAGTAGTTTCTGAGAATGATTCTGTCTAGTTTGCATACGAAGATATTTCCTTTTCTACCATTGGCCTCAAAGCTCTGAAATCTCCACTTGCAAATTCCACAAAAAGAGAGTTTCAACTCTGCTGTTTCTAAAGGAAAGTTCAACTCTGAGAGTTGAATACACACCAGAAAAAGCAGTTACTGAGAAGTCTTCTGTCTAGCATTATATGAAGAAATCCCATTTCCAACGAAGACTTCAAAGAGGTCCAAATATCCACTTGCAGATTCTGCAAAAAGAGTGTTTCGAAACAACTGTATGAAAAGAAAGGTTAAACACTGTGAGTTGAACGCACACATTGCAAAGCAGTTTCTGAGAATGATTCCGTCTAATTATTATACGAAGGTATTTCCTTTTCTATCATTGGCCTCAAAGCGCTTGATACCTCCACCTGAAAATTCCACAAAAAGAGTGTTTCCAATCTACTCTGTCTAAAGGAACGTTCAACTCTGTGAGTTGAATACACACACACAGAAAGAATTCACTGAGAATTCTTCTGTCTGGCATTACATGAAGAAATCCCGTTTCCAACGAAGGCCTCAAAGAGGTCCAAATATCCACTTGCAGATTCTGCAAAAAGAGTGTTTCAAAACCGCTCCATTAAAAGGAATGTTGAACTCTGTGAGTTGAATGCAAACATCACAACTCAGTTGCTGAGAATGCTTCTGACTAGATTTTATGGTAAGATATTTCCTTTTCTACCGTAGGCTTCAATGCCCTCTAAATACACCCTTGCAAATTCTACAAAGAGACTGTTTCATAACTGCTCTATAGGGAGAAAGGTTCAACTCTGTGAGTTGAATGCAGAGATCACAACGTGGTTTCTGCGAATGATTCTTTGCAGTTTTTACATGAAGATATTTCGTTGTCTACCATAGGCTTCAAAGCACTCAAAGTATTCACTTGGAACTTTCACAAAAAGAGTGTTAGAAAACTGCTCTTTCCAAAGTAAGGTTCAACTCTGTGAGTTGAATGCACACATAACAAACAAGAAGTTTCTGAGATTTCTTCTGTCCTGGTTTATATGAAAAAATCCCGTTTCCAACGAAGGCCTCAAAGACGTTTAAATATCCACTTGCAGACTTCACAAACAGAGTGTTTCCAAACTGCTCTATGAAAAGAAAGGTTAAACTCTGTGAGTTGAACGCACACATCACAAAGTAGTTTCTGAGAATGATACTGTCTAGTTTTTATACGGAGATATTTCCTTTCCTACCGTTGGCGTCAAAGCGCTAGAATTCTCCACTTGCAAATGCCACAAAAAGAGTGTTTCCAATCTGCTCTGTCTAAAGGAAGGTTCAACTCTGTGAGTTGAATACACACACACAAAGAAGCTACTGAGAATTCTTTTGTCAAGAATTATAAGAAGAAATCCCGTTTCCAACGAAGGCCTCAAAGAGTTCCAAATATCCACTTGCACACTGCACAAACTAAGTCTTTCCAAACTGCTCTATGCAAAGAAATGTTCAACTCTGTGAGTTTAATACACACATCACAAAGCAGTTTCTGAGAATGATACTGTCTAGTTTTTATACGAAGATATTTCCTTTTGTACCATTGGCCTCATACTGCTAGAATTTTCCACTTGCAAATTCCACAAAAAGAGTGTTTCCAATCCGCTCTGTCTAAAGGAAGGTTCAACTCTCTGATTTGAATACATACATCCCAAAAGAAGTTACTGAGAATTCTTCTGTCTAGCATTATGTGAAGAAATCCCGTTTCCAACGAAAGCCTCAAAGAGGTCCAAATATCCAGTTGCAGAATTTACAAACTGACTGTTTCCAAACTCATCTATGAAAAGAAAGGTTAAACTCTGTGAGTTGAATGCACATATCACAAAGTAGTTCCTGAGAATGATTCTGTCTAGTTTTTATACGAAGATATTTCCTTTTCCACCAATGGCCTCAAAGTGCTTGAAATCTCCCCTTGCAAATTCCACAGACAAGTGTTTCAAATCTGCACTGTCTAAAGGAAGGTTCAACCCTGTGAGTTGAATACACACACACAGAGAAAAATTCACTGAGAATTCTGTTGTCTATCATTACACGAAGAAATCCCGTTTACTACGAAGGCCTCAAAGAGGTCCAAATATCCAGCTGCAGACATTACAAACTGAGTGTTTCCAAAGTGCTCTATGAAAAGAAGTGTTAAACACTGTGAGTTCAATGCACACATCCCAAAGCAGTTTCTGAGAATGATTCCGTCTATTTTTTCTACGAAGATATTTCCTTTTCTGCCGTTGGCCTCAAAGCGCTTGAAATCTCCACTTGCAAATTCCACAAAAAGAGAGTTTCAAATCTGCTCTGTCTAAAGGAAGGTTCAACTCTGTGAGTTGAATACACACCACAAAAAGAAGTTACTGAGAATTCTTCTGTCTAGCATTATATGAAAAATCCCGTTTCCAACGAAGGCCACAAAGAGGTCCAAATATCCACTTGCAGATTCTGCAAAAAGAGTGTTTCCAAACTGCTCTATGAAAAGAAACGTTAAACTCTGTGAGTTGAACACAAACATCACAAAGTAGTTTCTGAGAATGACTCCGTCTAGTTTTTATACGAAGATATTTCCTTTCCTACCATTCACTTCAAAGCGCTTGAAGTCTCCCCCTGAAAATTCCACAAAAAGTGTTTCCAATCTGCTCCGCCTAAAGGAAGCTTCAACTCTGTGACTTGAATACCCACAACCCAAAGAAGTTACTGAGAATTCTTCTGTCTAGCATTATATGAAGAAATCCCGTTTCCAACGAAGGCCTCAAATGCATCCAAATATCCAGTTGCTGACTTTACAAACTGAGTGTTTCCAAACTGCTCTATGAAAAGAAAGGTTAAACACTGTGAGTTGAACACACACGTACCAAAGTAGTTTCTGAGAATGATTCTGTCTAGTTTGCATACGAAGATATTTCCTTTTCTACCATTGGCCTCAAAGCTCTGAAATCTCCACTTGCAAATTCCACAAAAAGAGAGTTTCAAATCTGCTGTTTCTAAAGGAAAGTTCAACTCTGAGAGTTGAATACACACCAGAAAAAGCAGTTACTGAGAAGTCTTCTGTCTAGCATTATATGAAGAAATCCCATTTCCAACGAAGACTTCAAAGAAGTCCAAATATCCACTTGCAGATTCTGCAAAAAGAGTGTTTCTAAACAACTGTATGAAAAGAAAGGTTAAACACTGTGAGTTGAACGCACACATTGCAAAGCAGTTTCTGAGAATGATTCCGTCTAATTATTATACGAAGGTATTTCCTTTTCTATCATTGGCCTCAAAGCGCTTGATACCTCCACCTGAAAATTCCACAAAAAGAGTGTTTCCAATCTACTCTGTCTAAAGGAACGTTCAACTCTGTGAGTTGAATACACACACACAGAAAGAATTCACTGAGAATTCTTCTGTCTGGCATTACATGAAGAAATCCCGTTTCCAACGAAGGCCTCAAAGAGGTCCAAATATCCACTTGCAGATTCTGCAAAAAGAGTGTTTCAAAACCGCTCCATTAAAAGGAATGTTGAACTCTGTGAGTTGAATGGAAACATCACAACTCAGTTGCTGAGAATGCTTCTGACTAGATTTTATGGTAAGATATTTCCTTTTCTACCGTAGGCTTCAATGCCCTCTAAATACACCCTTGCAAATTCTACAAAGAGACTGTTTCATAACTGCTCTATAGGAAGAAAGGTTCAACTCTGTGAGTTGAATGCAGAGATCACAACGTGGTTTCTGCGAATGATTCTTTGTAGTTTTTACATGAAGATATTTCGTTGTCAACCGTAGGCTTCAAAGCACTCAAAGTATTCACTTGGAACTTTTACAAAAAGAGTATTAGAAAACTGCTCTTTCCAAAGTAAGGTTCAACTCTGTGAGTTGAATGCACACATAACAATCAAGAAGTTTCTGAGAATTCTTCTGTCCTGGTTTATATGAAAAAATCCCGTTTCCAACGAAGGCCTCAGAGACGTTTAAATATCCACTTGCAGACTTCACAAACAGAGTGTTTCCAAACTGCTCTATGAAAAGAAAGGTTAAACTCTGTGAGTTGAACGCACACATCACAAAGTTGTTTCTGAGAAAGATACTGTCTAGTTTTTATACGGAGATATTTCCTTTCCTACCATTGGCGTCAAAGCGCTAGAATTCTCCACTTGCAAATTCCACAAAAAGTGGGTTTCCAATCTGCTCTGCCTAAAGGCAGGTTCAACTCTGTGAGTTGAATACACACACACAAAGAAGCTACTGAGAATTCTTTTGTCAAGAATTATAAGAAGAAATCCCGTTTCCAACGAAGGCCTCAAAGAGTTCCAAATATCCACTTGCACACTGTACAAACTAAGTCTTTCCAAACTGCTCTATGCAAAGAAATGTTCAACTCTGTGAGTTTAATGCACACATCACAAAGCAGTTTCTGAGAATGATTCCGTCTAGTTTTTATACGAAGATAGCCTTTTCTACCATTGGCCACAAGGCTCTTGAAATCTCCACCTGAAAATTCCGCAAAAAGCGTGTTTTCAATCTGCTCTGTCTAAAGGAAGGTTCAACTCTCTGAGTTGAATATATACATCCCAAAAGAAGTTACTGAGAATTCTTCTGTCTAGCATTATGTGAAGAAATCCCGTTTCCAACGAAAGCCTCAAAGAGGTCCAAATATACAGTTGCAGAATTTACAAACTGACTGTTTCCAAACTCATCTATGAAAAGAAAGGTTAAACTCTGTGAGTTGAATGCACATATCACAAAGTAGTTCCTGAGAATGATTCTGTCTAGTTTTTATACGAAGATATTTCTTTTTCCACCAATGGCCTCAAAGTGCTTGAAATCTCCCCTTGCAAATTCCACAGACAAGTGTTTCAAATCTGCACTGTCTAAAGGAAGGTTCAACCCTGTGAGTTGAATACACACACACAGAAAAAAATTCACTGAGAATTCTATTGTCTATCATTACACGAAGAAATCCCGTTTACTACGAAGGCCTCAAAGAGGTCCAAATATCCAGCTGCAGACATTACAAACTGAGTGTTTCCAAAGTGCTCTATGAAAAGAAGTGTTAAACACTGTGAGTTCAATGCACACATCCCAAAGCAGTTTCTGAGAATGATTCCGTCTATTTTTTCTACGAAGATATTTCCTTTTCTACCGTTGGCCTAAAAGCGCTTGAAATCTCCACTTGCAAATTCCACAAAAAGAGAGTTTCAAATCTGCTCTGTCTAAAGGAAGGTTCAACTCTGTGAGTTGAATACACACCACAAAAAGAAGTTACTGAGAATTCTTCTGTCTAGCATTATATGAAAAATCCCGTTTCCAACGAAGGCCACAAAGAGGTCCAAATATCCACTTGCAGATTCTGCAAAAAGAGTGTTTCCAAACTGCTCTATGAAAAGAAACGTTAAACTCTGTGAGTTGAACGCAAACATCGCAAAGTAGTTTCTGAGAATGACTGCGTCTAGTTTTTATACGAAGATATTTCCTTTTCTACCATTCACTTCAAAGCGCTTGAAGTCTCCCCCTGAAAATTCCACAAAAAGTGTTTCCAATCTGCTCCGCCTAAAGGAAGCTTCAACTCTGTGAGTTGAATACCCACAACCCAAAGAAGTTACTGAGAATTCTTCTGTCTAGCATTATATGAAGAAATCCCGTTTCCAACGAAGGCCTCAAATACATCCAAATATCCAGTTGCTGACTTTACAAACTGAGTGTTTCCAAACTGCTCTATGAAAAGAAAGGTTAAACACTGTGAGTTGAACACACACGTACCAAAGTAGTTTCTGAGAATGATTCTGTCTAGTTTGCATACGAAGATATTTCCTTTTCTACCATTGGCCTCAAAGCTCTGAAATCTCCACTTGCAAATTCCACAAAAAGAGAGTTTCAAATCTGCTGTTTCTAAAGGAAAG
Source organism: Homo sapiens (assembly GCF_000001405.40). Lineage (NCBI taxonomy): Eukaryota > Metazoa > Chordata > Mammalia > Primates > Hominidae > Homo > Homo sapiens. The sequence goes on along the minus strand of NC_000003.12, from coordinate 93,130,275 downwards.
TTCAACTCTGAGAGTTGAATACACACCAGAAAAAGCAGTTACTGAGAAGTCTTCTGTCTAGCATTATATGAAGAAATCCCATTTCCAACGAAGACTTCAAAGAGGTCCAAATATCCACTTGCAGATTCTGCAAAAAGAGTGTTTCGAAACAACTGTATGAAAAGAAAGGTTAAACACTGTGAGTTGAACGCACACATTGCAAAGCAGTTTCTGAGAATGATTCCGTCTAATTATTATACGAAGGTATTTCCTTTTCTATCATTGGCCTCAAAGCGCTTGATACCTCCACCTGAAAATTCCACAAAAAGAGTGTTTCCAATCTACTCTGTCTAAAGGAACGTTCAACTCTGTGAGTTGAATACACACACACAGAAAGAATTCACTGAGAATTCTTCTGTCTGGCATTACATGAAGAAATCCCGTTTCCAACGAAGGCCTCAAAGAGGTCCAAATATCCACTTGCAGATTCTGCAAAAAGAGTGTTTCAAAACCGCTCCATTAAAAGGAATGTTGAACTCTGTGAGTTGAATGCAAACATCACAACTCAGTTTCTGAGAATGCTTCTGACTAGATTTTATGGTAAGATATTTCCTTTTCTACCGTAGGCTTCAATGCCCTCTAAATACACCCTTGCAAATTCTACAAAGAGACTGTTTCATAACTGCTCTATAGGAAGAAAGGTTGAACTCTGTGAGTTGAATGCAGGGATCACAACGTGGTTTCTGCGAATGATTCTTTGTAGTTTTTACATGAAGATATTTCGTTGTCAACCGTAGGCTTCAAAGCACTCAAAGTATTCACTTGGAACTTTTACAAAAAGAGTGTTAGAAAACTGCTCTTTCCAAAGTAAGGTTCAACTCTGTGAGTTGAATGCACACATAACAATCAAGAAGTTTCTGAGAATTCTTCTGTCCTGGTTTATATGAAAAAATCCCGTTTCCAACGAAGGCCTCAAAGACGTTTAAATATCCACTTGCAGACTTCACAAACAGAGGGTTTCCAAACTGCTCTATGAAAAGAAAGGTTAAACTCTGTGAGTTTAATACACACATCACAAAGCAGTTTCTGAGAATGATACTGTCTAGTTTTTATACGAAGATATTTCCTTTTGTACCATTGGCCTCATACTGCTAGAATTTTCCACTTGCAAATTCCACAAAAAGAGTGTTTCCAATCCGCTCTGTCTAAAGGAAGGTTCAACTCTCTGATTTGAATACATACATCCCAAAAGAAGTTACTGAGAATTCTTCTGTCTAGCATTATGTGAAGAAATCCCGTTTCCAACGAAAGCCTCAAAGAGGTCCAAATATCCAGTTGCAGAATTTACAAACTGACTGTTTCCAAACTCATCTATGAAAAGAAAGGTTAAACTCTGTGAGTTGAATGCACATATCACAAAGTAGTTCCTGAGAATGATTCTGTCTAGTTTTCATACGAAGATATTTCCTTTTCCACCAATGGCCTCAAAGTGCTTGAAATCTCCCCTTGCAAATTCCACAGACAAGTGTTTCAAATCTGCACTGTCTAAAGGAAGGTTCAACCCTGTGAGTTGAATACACACACACAGAAAAAAATTCACTGAGAATTCTATTGTCTATCATTACACGAAGAAATCCCGTTTACTACGAAGGCCTCAAAGAGGTCCAAATATCCAGCTGCAGACATTACAAACTGAGTGTTTCCAAAGTGCTCTATGAAAAGAAGTGTTAAACACTGTGAGTTCAATGCACACATCCCAAAGCAGTTTCTGAGAATGATTCCGTCTATTTTTTCTACGAAGATATTTCCTTTTCTACCGTTGGCCTCAAAGCGCTTGAAATCTCCACTTGCAAATTCCACAAAAAGAGAGTTTCAAATCTGCTCTGTCTAAAGGAAGGTTCAACTCTGTGAGTTGAATACACACCACAAAAAGAAGTTACTGAGAATTCTTCTGTCTAGCATTATATGAAAAATCCCGTTTCCAACGAAGGCCACAAAGAGGTCCAAATATCCACTTGCAGATTCTGCAAAAAGAGTGTTTCCAAACTGCTCTATGAAAAGAAACGTTAAACTCTGTGAGTTGAACCGCAAACATCACAAAGTAGTTTCTGAGAATGACTCCGTCTAGTTTTTATACGAAGATATTTCCTTTTCTACCATTCACTTCAAAGCGCTTGAAGTCTCCCCCTGAAAATTCCACAAAAAGTGTTTCCAATCTGCTCCGCCTAAAGGAAGCTTCAACTCTGTGAGTTGAATACCCACAACCCAAAGAAGTTACTGAGAATTCTTCTGTCTAGCACTATATGAAGAAATCCCGTTTCCAACGAAGGCCTCAAATACATCCAAATATCCAGTTGCTGACTTTACAAACTGAGTGTTTCCAAACTGCTCTATGAAAAGAAAGGTTAAACACTGTGAGTTGAACACACACGTACCAAAGTAGTTTCTGAGAATGATTCTGTCTAGTTTGCATACGAAGATATTTCCTTTTCTACCATTGGCCTCAAAGCTTTGAAATCTCCACTTGCAAATTCCACAAAAAGAGAGTTTCAACTCTGCTGTTTCTAAAGGAAAGTTCAACTCTGAGAGTTGAATACACACCAGAAAAAGCAGTTACTGAGAAGTCTTCTGTCTAGCATTATATGAAGAAATCCTATTTCCAACGAAGACTTCAAAGAGGTCCAAATATCCACTTGCAGATTCTGCAAAAAGAGTGTTTCGAAACAACTGTATGAAAAGAAAGGTTAAACACTGTGAGTTGAACGCACACATTGCAAAGCAGTTTCTGAGAATGATTCCGTCTAATTATTATACGAAGGTATTTCCTTTTCTATCATTGGCCTCAAAGCGCTTGATACCTCCACCTGAAAATTCCACAAAAAGAGTGTTTCCAATCTACTCTGTCTAAAGGAACGTTCAACTCTGTGAGTTGAATACACACACACAGAAAGAATTCACTGAGAATTCTTCTGTCTGGCATTACATGAAGAAATCCCGTTTCCAACGAAGGCCTCAAAGAGGTCCAAATATCCACTTGCAGATTCTGCAAAAAGAGTGTTTCAAAACCGCTCCATGAAAAGGAATGTTGAACTCTGTGAGTTGAATGCAAACATCACAACTCAGTTGCTGAGAATGCTTCTGACTAGATTTTATGGTAAGATATTTCCTTTTCTACCGTAGGCTTCAATGCCCTCTAAATACACCCTTGCAAATTCTACAAAGAGACTGTTTCATAACTGCTCTATAGGAAGAAAGGTTCAACTCTGTGAGTTGAATGCAGAGATCACAACGTGGTTTCTGCGAATGATTCTTTGTAGTTTTTACATGAAGATATTTCGTTGTCAACCGTAGGCTTCAAAGCACTCAAAGTATTCACTTGGAACTTTTACAAAAAGAGTGTTAGAAAACTGCTCTTTCCAAAGTAAGGTTCAACTCTGTGAGTTGAATGCACACATAACAATCAAGAAGTTTCTGAGAATTCTTCTGTCCTGGTTTATATGAAAAAATCCCGTTTCCAACGAAGGCCTCAAAGACGTTTAAATATCCACTTGCAGACTTCACAAACAGAGGGTTTCCAAACTGCTCTATGAAAAGAAAGGTTAAACTCTGTGAGTTTAATACACACATCACAAAGCAGTTTCTGAGAATGATACTGTCTAGTTTTTATACGAAGATATTTCCTTTTGTACCATTGGCCTCATACTGCTAGAATTTTCCACTTGCAAATTCCACAAAAAGAGTGTTTCCAATCCGCTCTGTCTAAAGGAAGGTTCAACTCTCTGATTTGAATACATACATCCCAAAAGAAGTTACTGAGAATTCTTCTGTCTAGCATTATGTGAAGAAATCCCGTTTCCAACGAAAGCCTCAAAGAGGTCCAAATATCCAGTTGCAGAATTTACAAACTGACTGTTTCCAAACTCATCTATGAAAAGAAAGGTTAAACTCTGTGAGTTGAATGCACATATCACAAAGTAGTTCCTGAGAATGATTCTGTCTAGTTTTCATACGAAGATATTTCCTTTTCCACCAATGGCCTCAAAGTGCTTGAAATCTCCCCTTGCAAATTCCACAGACAAGTGTTTCAAATCTGCACTGTCTAAAGGAAGGTTCAACCCTGTGAGTTGAATACACACACACAGAAAAAAATTCACTGAGAATTCTATTGTCTATCATTACACGAAGAAATCCCGTTTACTACGAAGGCCTCAAAGAGGTCCAAATATCCAGCTGCAGACATTACAAACTGAGTGTTTCCAAAGTGCTCTATGAAAAGAAGTGTTAAACACTGTGAGTTCAATGCACACATCCCAAAGCAGTTTCTGAGAATGATTCCGTCTATTTTTTCTACGAAGTATATTTCCTTTTCTGCCGTTGGCCTCAAAGCGCTTGAAATCTCCACTTGCAAATTCCACAAAAAGAGAGGTTCAAATCTGCTCTGTCTAAAGGAAGGTTCAACTCTGTGAGTTGAATACACACCACAAAAAGAAGTTACTGAGAATTCTTCTGTCTAGCATTATATGAAAAATCCCGTTTCCAACGAAGGCCACAAAGAGGTCCAAATATCCACTTGCAGATTCTGCAAAAAGAGTGTTTCCAAACTGCTCTATGAAAAGAAACGTTAAACTCTGTGAGTTGAACGCAAACATCACAAAGTAGTTTCTGAGAATGACTCCGTCTAGTTTTTATATGAAGATATTTCCTTTCCTACCATTCACTTCAAAGCGCTTGAAGTCTCCCCCTGAAAATTCCACAAAAAGTGTTTCCAATCTGCTCCGCCTAAAGGAAGCTTCAACTCTGTGAGTTGAATACCCACAACCCAAAGAAGTTACTGAAAATTCTTCTGTCTAGCATTATATGAAGAAATCCCGTTTCCAACGAAGGCCTCAAATACATCCAAATATCCAGTTGCTGACTTTACAAACTGAGTGTTTCCAAACTGCTCTATGAAAAGAAAGGTTAAACACTGTGAGTTGAACACACACGTACCAAAGTAGTTTCTGAGAATGATTCTGTCTAGTTTGCATACGAACATATTTCTTTTTCTACCATTGGCCTCAAAGCTTTGAAATCTCCACTTGCAAATTCCACAAAAAGAGAGTTTCAAATCTGCTGTTTCTAAAGGAAAGTTCAACTCTGAGAGTTGAATACACACCAGAGAAAGCAGTTACTGAGAATTCTTCTGTCTAGCATTATATGAAGAAATCCCATTTCCAACGAAGTACTTCAAAGAGGTCCAAATATCCACTTGCAGATTCTGCAAAAAGAGTGTTTCGAAACAACTGTATGAAAAGAAAGGTTAAACACTGTGAGTTGAACGCACACATTGCAAAGCAGTTTCTGAGAATGATTCCGTCTAATTATTATACGAAGGTATTTCCTTTTCTATCATTGGCCTCAAAGCGCTTGATACCTCCACCTGAAAATTCCACAAAAAGAGTGTTTCCAATCTACTCTGTCTAAAGGAACGTTCAACTCTGTGAGTTGAATACACACACACAGAAAGAATTCACTGAGAATTCTTCTGTCTGGCATTACATGAAGAAATCCCGTTTCCAACGAAGGCCTCAAAGAGGTCCAAATATCCACTTGCAGATTCTGCAAAAAGAGTGTTTCAAAACCGCTCCATTAAAAGGAATGTTGAACTCTGTGAGTTGAATGGAAACATCACAACTCAGTTGCTGAGAATGCTTCTGACTAGATTTTATGGTAAGATATTTCCTTTTCTACCGTAGGCTTCAATGCCCTCTAAATACACCCTTGCAAATTCTACAAAGAGACTGTTTCATAACTGCTCTATAGGAAGAAAGGTTCAACTCTGTGAGTTGAATGCAGAGATCACAACGTGGTTTCTGCGAATGATTCTTTGTAGTTTTTACAGGAAGATATTTCATTGTCAACCGTAGGCTTCAAAGCACTCAAAGTATTCACTTGGAACTTTTACAAAAAGAGTGTTAGAAAACTGCTCTTTCCAAAGTAAGGTTCAACTCTGTGAGTTGAATGCACACATAAGAATGAAGAAGTTTCTGAGAATTCTTCTGTCCTGGTTTATATGAAAAAATCCCGATTCCAACGAAGGCCTCAGAGACGTTTAAATATCCACTTGCAGACTTCACAAACAGAGTGTTTCCAAACTGCTCTATGAAAAGAAAGGTTAAACTCTGTGAGTTGAACGCACACATCACAAAGTTGTTTCTGAGAATGATACTGTCTAGTTTTTATACGGAGATATTTCCTTTCCTTCCATTGGCGTCAAAGCGCTAGAATTCTCCACTTGCAAATTCCACAAAAAGAGTGTTTCCAATCTGCTCTGACTAAAGGAAGGTTCAACTCTGTGAGTTGAATACACACACACAAAGAAGCTACTGAGAATTCTTTTGTCAAGAATTATAAGAAGAAATCCCGTTTCCAACGAAGGCCTCAAAGAGTTCCAAATATCCACTTGCACACTGTACAAACTAAGTCTTTCCAAACTGCTCTATGCAAAGAAATGTTCAACTACTGTGAGTTTAATGCACACATCACAAAGCAGTTTCTGAGAATGATTCCCTCTAGTTTTTATATGAAGATATCCTTTTCTACCATTGGTCTCAAGGCTCTTGGAATCTCCACCTGAAAATTCCGCAAAAAGCGTGTTTCCAATGCGCTCTGTCTAAAGGAAGGTTCAACTCTCCGAGTTGAATACATACATCCCAAAAGAAGTTACTGCGAATTCTTCTGTCTAGCATTATGTGAAGAAATCCCGTTTCCAACGAACGCCTCAAAGAGGTCCTAATATCCAGTTGCAGAATTTACAAACTGACTGTTTCCAAACTCATCTATGAAAAGAAAGGTTAAACCCTGTGAGTTGAATGCACGTATCACAAAGTAGTTCCTGAGAATGATTCTGTCTAGTTTTTATACGAAGATATTTCCTTTTCCACCAATGGCCTCAAAGTGCTTGAAATCTCCCCTTGCAAATTCCACAGAAAAGTGTTTCAAATCTGCACTGTCTGAAGGAAGGTTCAACCCTGTGAGTTGAATACACACACACAGAAAAAAATTCACTGAGAATTCTATTGTCTATCATTACACGAAGAAATCCCGTTTACTACGAAGGCCTCAAAGAGGTCCAAATATCTAGCTGCAGACATTACAAACTGAGTGTTTCCAAAGTGCTCTATGAAAAGAAGTGTTAAACACTGTGAGTTCAATGCACACATCCCAAAGCAGTTTCTGAGAATCATTCCGTCTATTTTTTCTAAGAAGATATTTCCTTTTCTACCGTTGGCCTCAAAGCGCTTGAAATCCCCACTTGCAAATTCCACGAAAAGAGAGTTTCAAATCTGCTCTGTCTAAAGGAAGGTTCAACTCTGTGAGTTGAATACACACCACAAAAAGAAGTTACTGAGAATTTTTCTGTCTAGCATTATATGAAAAATCCCGTTTCCAACGAAGGCCACAAAGAGGTCCAAATATCCACTTGCAGATTCTGCAAAAAGAGTGTTTCCAAACTGCTCTATGAAAAGAAACGTTAAACTCTGTGAGTTGAACCGCAAACATCACAAAGTAGTTTCTGAGAATGACTCCGTCTAGTTTTTATACGAAGATATTTCCTTTCCTACCATTCACTTCAAAGCGCTTGAAGTCTCCCCCTGAAAATTCCACAAAAAGTGTTTCCAATCTGCTCCGCCTAAAGGAAGCTTCAACTCTGTGAGTTGAATACCCACAACCCAAAGAAGTTACTGAGAATTCTTCTGTCTAGCATTATATGAAGAAATCCCGTTTCCAACGAAGGCCTCAAATACATCCAAATATCCAGTTGCTGACTTTACAAACTGAGTGTTTCCAAACTGCTCTATGAAAAGAAAGGTTAAACACTGTGAGTTGAACACACACGTACCAAAGTAGTTTCTGAGAATGATTCTGTCTAGTTTGCATACGAAGATATTTCCTTTTCTACCATTGGCCTCAAAGCTCTGAAATCTCCACTTGCAAATTCCACAAAAAGAGAGTTTCAAATCTGCTGTTTCTAAAGGAAAGTTCAACTCTGAGAGTTGAATACACACCAGAAAAAGCAGTTACTGAGAAGTCTTCTGTCTAGCATTATATGAAGAAATCCCATTTCCAACGAAGACTTCAAAGAGGTCCAAATATCCACTTGCAGATTCTGCAAAAAGAGTGTTTCGAAACAACTGTATGAAAAGAAAGGTTAAACACTGTGAGTTGAACGCACACATTGCAAAGCGGTTTCTGAGAATGATTCCGTCTAATTATTATACGAAGGTATTTCCTTTTCTATCATTGGCCTCAAAGCGCTTGATACCTCCACCTGAAAATTCCACAAAAAGAGTGTTTCCAATCTACTCTGTCTAAAGGAACGTTCAACTCTGTGAGTTGAATACACACACACAGAAAGAATTCACTGAGAATTCTTCTGTCTGGCATTACATGAAGAAATCCCGTTTCCAACGAAGGCCTCAAAGAGGTCCAAATATCCACTTGCAGATTCTGCAAAAAGAGTGTTTCAAAACCGCTCCATTAAAAGGAATGTTGAACTCTGTGAGTTGAATGGAAACATCACAACTCAGTTTCTGAGAATGCTTCTGACTAGATTTTATGGTAAGATATTTCCTTTTCTACCGTAGGCTTCAATGCCCTCTAAATACACCCTTGCAAATTCTACAAAGAGACTGTTTCATAACTGCTCTATAGGAAGAAAGGTTCAACACTGTGAGTTGAATGCAGAGATCACAACGTGGTTTCTGCGAATGATTCTTTGTAGTTTTTACATGAAGATATTTCGTTGTCAACCGTAGGCTTCAAAGCACTCAAAGTATTCACTTGGAACTTTTACAAAAAGAGTGTTAGAAAACTGCTCTTTCCAAAGTAAGGTTCAACTCTGTGAGTTGAATGCACACATAACAATCAAGAAGTTTCTGAGAATTCTTCTGTCCTGGTTTATATGAAAAAATCCCGTTTCCAACGAAGGCCTCAAAGACGTTTAAATATCCACTTGCAGACTTCACAAACAGAGGGTTTCCAAACTGCTCTATGAAAAGAAAGGTTAAACTCTGTGAGTTGAACGCACACATCACAAAGTAGCTTCTGAGAATGATACTGTCTAGTTTTTATACGAAGATATTTCCTTTCTACCATTGGCGTCAAAGCGCTAGAATTCTCCACTTGCAAATTCCACAAAAAGAGTGTTTCCAATCTGCTCTGTCTAAAGGAAGGTTCAACTCTGTGAGTTGAATACACACACACAAAGAAGCTACTGAGAATTCTTTTGTCAAGAATTATAAGAAGAAATCCCGTTTCCAACCAAGGCCTCAAAGAGTTCCAAATATCCACTTGCACACTGCACAAACTACGTCTTTCCATACTGCTCTATGCAAAGAAATGTTCAACTCTGTGAGTTTAATACACACATCACAAAGCAGTTTCTGAGAATGATACTGTCTAGTTTTTATACGAAGATATTTCCTTTTGTACCATTGGCCTCATACTGCTAGAATTTTCCACTTGCAAATTCCACAAAAAGAGTGTTTCCAATCCGCTCTGTCTAAAGGAAGGTTCAACTCTCTGATTTGAATACATACATCCCAAAAGAAGTTACTGAGAATTCTTTTGTCTAGCATTATGTGAAGAAATCCCGTTTCCAACGAAAGCCTCAAAGAGGTCCAAATATCCAGTTGCAGAATTTACAAACTGACTGTTTCCAAACTCATCTATGAAAAGAAAGGTTAAACTCTGGGAGTTGAATGCACATATCACAAAGTAGTTCCTGAGAATGATTCTCTCTAGTTTTCATACGAAGATATTTCCTTTTCCACCAATGGCCTCAAAGTGCTTGAAATCTCCCCTTGCAAATTCCACAGACAAGTGTTTCAAATCTGCACTGTCTAAAGGAAGGTTCAACCCTGTGAGTTGAATACACACACACAGAAAAAAATTCACTGAGAATTCTATTGTCTATCATTACACGAAGAAATCCCGTTTACTACGAAGGCCTCAAAGAGGTCCAAATATCCAGCTGCAGACATTTCAAACTGAGTGTTTCCAAAGTGCTCTATGAAAAGAAGTGTTAAACACTGTGAGTTCAATGCACACATCCCAAAGCAGTTTCTGAGAATGATTCCGTCTATTTTTTCTACGAAGATATTTCCTTTTCTGCCGTTGGCCTCAAAGCGCTTGAAATCTCCACTTGCAAATTCCACAAAAAGAGAGTTTCAAATCTGCTCTGTCTAAAGGAAGGTTCAACTCTGTGAGTTGAATACACACCACAAAAAGAAGTTACTGAGAATTCTTCTGTCTAGCATTATATGAAAAATCCCGTTTCCAACGAAGGCCACAAAGAGGTCCAAATATCCACTTGCAGATTCTGCAAAAAGAGTGTTTCCAAACTGCTCTATGAAAAGAAACGTTAAACTCTGTGAGTTGAACGCAAACATCACAAAGTAGTTTCTGAGAATGACTCCGTCTAGTTTTTATACGAAGATATTTCCTTTCCTACCATTCACTTCAAAGCGCTTGAAGTCTCCCCCTGAAAATTCCACAAAAAGTGTTTCCAATCTGCTCCGCCTAAAGGAAGCTTCAACTCTGTGACTTGAATACCCACAACCCAAAGAAGTTACTGAGAATTCTTCTGTCTAGCATTATATGAAGAAATCCCGTTTCCAACGAAGGCCTCAAATACATCCAAATATCCAGTTGCTGACTTTACAAACTGAGTGTTTCCAAACTGCTCTATGAAAAGAAAGGTTACACACTGTGAGTTGAACACACACGTACCAAAGTAGTTTCTGAGAATGATTCTGTCTAGTTTGCATACGAAGATATTTCCTTTTCTACCATTGGCCTCAAAGCTCTGAAATCTCCACTTGCAAATTCCACAAAAAGAGAGTTTCAAATCTGCTGTTTCTAAAGGAAAGTTCAACTCTGAGAGTTGAATACACACCAGAAAAAGCAGTTACTGAGAAGTCTTCTGTCTAGCATTATATGAAGAAATCCCATTTCCAACGAAGACTTCAAAGAGGTCCAAATATCCACTTGCAGATTCTGCAAAAAGAGTGTTTCGAAACAACTGTATGAAAAGAAAGGTTAAACACTGTGAGTTGAACGCACACATTGCAAAGCAGTTTCTGAGAATGATTCCGTCTAATTATTATACGAAGGTATTTCCTTTTCTATCATTGGCCTCAAAGCGCTTGATACCTCCACCTGAAAATTCCACAAAAAGAGTGTTTCCAATCTACTCTGTCTAAAGGAACGTTCAACTCTGTGAGTTGAATACACACACACAGAAAGAATTCACTGAGAATTCTTCTGTCTGGCATTACATGAAGAAATCCCCTTTCCAACAAAGGCCTCAAATAGGTCCAAATATCCACTTGCAGATTCTGCAAAAAGAGTGTTTCAAAACCGCTCCATTAAAAGGAATGTTGAACTCTGTGAGTTGAATGCAAATATCACAACTCAGTTGCTGAGAATGCTTCTGACTAGATTTTATGGTAAGATATTTCCTTTTCTACCGTAGGCTTCAATGCCCTGTAAATACACCCTTGCAAATTCTACAAAGAGACTGTTTCATAACTGCTCTATAGGAAGAAAGGTTCAACTCTGTGAGTTGAATGCAGAGATCACAACGTGGTTTCTGCGAATGATTCTTTGTAGTTTTTACATGAAGATATTTCGTTGTCAACCGTAGGCTTCAAAGCACTCAAAGTATTCACTTGGAACTTTTACAAAAAGAGTGTTAGAAAACTGCTCTTTCCAAAGTAAGGTTCAACTCTGTGAGTTGAATGCACACATAACAATCAAGAAGTTTCTGAGAATTCTTCTGTCCTGGTTTATATGAACAAATCCCGTTTCCAACGAAGGCCTCAAAGACGTTTAAATATCCACTTGCAGACTTCACAAACAGAGTGTTTCCAAACTGCTCTATGAAAAGAAAGGTTAAACTCTGTGAGTTGAACGCACACATCACAAAGTAGTTTGTGAGAATGATACTGTCTAGTTTTTATACGAAGATATTTCCTTTCTACCATTGGCGTCAAAGCGCTAGAATTCTCCACTTGCAAATTCCACAAAAAGAGTGTTTCCAATCTGCTCTGTCTAAAGGAAGGTTCAACTCTGTGAGTTGAATACACACACACAAAGAAGCTACTGAGAATTCTTTTGTCAAGAATTATAAGAAGAAATCCCGTTTCCAACGAAGGCCTCAAAGAGTTCCAAATATCCACTTGCACACTGCACAAACTAAGTCTTTCCAAACTGCTCTATGCAAAGAAATGTTCAACTCTGTGAGTTTAATACACACATCACGAAGCAGTTTCTGAGAATGATACTGTCTAGTTTTTATACGAAGATATTTCCTTTTGTACCATTGGCCTCATACTGCTAGAATTTTCCACTTGCAAATTCCACAAAAAGAGTGTTTCCAATCCGCTCTGTCTAAAGGAAGGTTCAACTCTCTGATTTGAATACATACATCCCAAAAGAAGTTACTGAGAATTCTTCTGTCTAGCATTATGTGAAGAAATCCCGTTTCCAACGAAAGCCTCAAAGAGGTCCAAATATCCAGTTGCAGAATTTACAAACTGACTGTTTCCAAACTCATCTATGAAAAGAAAGGTTAAACTCTGTGAGTTGAATGCACATATCACAAAGTAGTTCCTGAGAATGATTCTGTCTAGTTTTTATACGAAGATATTTCCTTTTCCACCAATGGCCTCAAAGTGCTTGAAATCTCCCCTTGCAAATTCCACAGACAAGTGTTTCAAATCTGCACTGTCTAAAGGAAGGTTCAACCCTGTGAGTTGAATACACACACACTGAAAAAAATTCACTGAGAATTCTATTGTCTATCATTACAGGAAGAAATCCCGTTTACTACGAAGGCCTCAAAGAGGTCCAAATATCCAGCTGCAGACATTACAAACTGAGTGTTTCCAAAGTGCTCTATGAAAAGAAGTGTTAAACACTGTGAGTTCAATGCACACATCCCAAAGCAGTTTCTGAGAATGATTCCGTCTATTTTTTCTACGAAGATATTTCCTTTTCTGCCGTTGGCCTCAAAGCGCTTGAAATCTCCACTTGCAAATTCCACAAAAAGAGAGTTTCAAATCTGCTCTGTCTAAAGGAAGGTTCAACTCTGTGAGTTGAATACACACCACAAAAAGAAGTTACTGAGAATTCTTCTGTCCAGCATTATATGAAGAAATCCTTTTTCCAACGAAGACTTCAAAGAAGTCCAAAAAAATATCCACTTGAAGATTCTGCAAAAAGAGTGTTTCGAAACAACTGTATGAAAAGAAAGTTAAACTCTGTGAGTTCAACGCACACATTGCAAAGCAGTTTCTGAGAATGATTCCGTCTAATTATTATACGAAGGTATTTCCTTTTCTATCATTGGCCTCAAAGCGCTTGATACCTCCACCTGAAAATTCCACAAAAAGAGTGTTTCCAATCTACTCTGTCTAAAGGAACGTTCAACTCTGTGAGTTGAATACACACACACAGAAAGAATTCACTGAGAATTCTTCTGTCTGGCATTACATGAAGAAATCCCGTTTCCAACGAAGGCCTCAAAGAGGTCCAAATATCCACTTGCAGATTCTGCAAAAAGAGTGTTTCAAAACCGCTCCATGAAAAGGAATGTTGAACTCTGTGAGTTGAATGCAAACATCACAACTCAGTTGCTGAGAATGCTTCTGACTAGATTTTATGGTAAGATATTTCCTTTTCTACTGTAGGCTTCAATGCCCTCTAAATACACCCTTGCAAATTCTACAAAGAGACTGTTTCATAACTGCTCTATAGGAAGAAAGGTTCAACACTGTGAGTTGAATGCAGAGATCACAACGTGGTTTCTGCGAATGATTCTTTGTAGTTTTTACATGAAGATATTTCGTTGTCAACCGTAGGCTTCAAAGCACTCAAAGTATTCACTTGGAACTTTTACAAAAAGAGTGTTAGAAAACTGCTCTTTCCAAAGTAAGGTTCAACTCTGTGAGTTGAATGCACACATAACAATCAAGAAGTTTCTGAGAATTCTTCTGTCCTGGTTTATATGAAAAAATCCCGTTTCCAACGAAGGCCTCAAAGACGTTTAAATATCCACTTGTAGACTTCACAGAGTGTTTCCAAACTGCTCTATGAAAAGAAAGGTTAAACTCTGTGAGTTGAACGCACACATCACAAAGTAGTTTCTGAGAATGATACTGTCTAGTTTTTATACGAAGATATTTCCTTTCTACCATTGGCGTCAAAGCGCTAGAATTCTCCACTTGCAAATTCCACAAAAAGAGTGTTTCCAATCTGCTCTGTCTAGAGGAAGGTTCAACTCTGTGAGTTGAATACACACACACAAAGAAGCTACTGAGAATTCTTTTGTCAAGAATTATAAGAAGAAATCCCGTTTCCAACCAAGGCCTCAAAGAGTTCCAAATATCCACTTGCACACTGCACAAACTAAGTCTTTCCATACTGCTCTATGCAAAGAAATGTTCAAATCTGTGAGTTTAATACACACATCACAAAGCAGTTTCTGAGAATGATACTGTCTAGTTTTTATACGAAGATATTTCCTTTTGTACCATTGGCCTCATACTGCTAGAATTTTCCACTTGCAAATTCCACAAAAAGAGTGTTTCCAATCCGCTCTGTCTAAAGGAAGGTTCAACTCTCTGATTTGAATACATACATCCCAAAAGAAGTTACTGAGAATTCTTCTGTCTAGCATTATGTGAAGAAATCCCGTTTCCAACGAAAGCCTCACAGAGGTCCAAATATCCAGTTGCAGAATTTACAAACTGACTGTTTCCAAACTCATCTATGAAAAGAAAGGTTAAACTCTGTGAGTTGAATGCACATATCACAAAGTAGTTCCTGAGAATGATTCTGTCTAGTTTTTATACGAAGATATTTCCTTTTCCACCAATGGCCTCAAAGTGCGTGAAATCTCCCCTTGCAAATTCCACAGACAAGTGTTTCAAATCTGCACTGTCTAAAGGAAGGTTCAACCCTGTGAGTTGAATACACACACACAGAAAAAAATTCACTCAGAATTCTATTGTCTATCATTACACGAAGAAATCCCGTTTACTACGAAGGCCTCAAAGAGGTCCAAATATCCAGCTGCAGACATTACAAACTGAGTGTTTCCAAAGTGCTCTATGAAAAGAAGTGTTAAACACTGTGAGTTCAATGCACACATCCCAAAGCAGTTTCTGAGAATGATTCCGTCTATTTTTTCTACGAAGATATTTCCTTTTCTGCCGTTGGCCTCAAAGCGCTTGAAATCTCCACTTGCAAATTCCACAAAAAGAGAGTTTCAAATCTGCTCTGTCTAAAGGAAGGTTCAACTCTGTGAGTTGAATACACACCACAAAAAGAAGTTACTGAGAATTCTTCTGTCTAGCATTATATGAAAAATCCCGTTTCCAACGAAGGCCACAAAGAGGTCCAAATATCCACTTGCAGATTCTGCAAAAAGAGTGTTTCCAAACTGCTCTATGAAAAGAAACGTTAAACTCTGTGAGTTGAACGCAAACATCACAAAGTAGTTTCTGAGAATGACTCCGTCTAGTTTTTATACGAAGATATTTCCTTTCCTACCATTCACTTCAAAGCGCTTGAAGTCTCCCCCTGAAAATTCCACAAAAAGTGTTTCCAATCTGCTCCGCCTAAAGGAAGCTTCAACTCTGTGACTTGAATACCCACAACCCAAAGAAGTTACTGAGAATTCTTCTGTCTAGCATTATATGAAGAAATCCCGTTTCCAACGAAGGCCTCAAATACATCCAGATATCCAGTTGCTGACTTTACAAACTGAGTGTTTCCAAATTGCTCTATGAAAGGAAAGGTTGAACACTGTGAGTTGAACACACACGTACCAAAGTAGTTTCTGAGAATGATTCTGTCTAGTTTGCATACAAAGATATTTCCTTTTCTACCACTGGCCTCAAAGCTTTGAAATCTCCACTTGCAAATTCCACAAAAAGAGAGTTTCAAATCTGCTGTTCCTAAAGGAAAGTTCAACTCTGAGAGTTGAATACACACCAGAAAAAGCAGTTACTGAGAAGTCTTCTGTCTAGCATTATATGAAGAAATCCCATTTCCAAAGAAGACTTCAAACAGGTCCAAATATCCACTTGCAGATTCTGCAAAAAGAGTGTTTCGAAACAACTGTATGAAAAGAAAGGTTAAACACTGTGAGTTGAACGCACCCATTGCAAAGCATTTTCTGAGAATGATTCCGTCTAATTATTATACGAAGGTATTTCCTTTTCTATCATGGGCCTCAAAGCGCTTGATACCTCCACCTGAAAATTCCACAAAAAGAGTGTTTCCAATCTACTCTGTCTAAAGGAACGTTCAACTCTGTGAGTTGAATACACACACACAGAAAGAATTCACTGAGAATTCTTCTGTCTGGCATTACATGAAGAAATCCCGTTTCCAACGAAGGCCTCAAAGAGGTCCAAATATCCACTTGCAGATTCTGCAAAAAGAGTGTTTCAAAACCGCTCTATTAAAAGGAATGTTGAACTCTGTGAGTTGAATGCAAACATCACAACTCAGTTTCTGAGAATGCTTCTGACTAGATTTTATGGTCAGATATTTCCTTTTCTACCGTAGGCCTCAATGCCCTCTAAATACACCCTTGCAAATTCTACAAAGAGACTGTTTAATAATTGCTCTATAGGAATAAAGGTTGAACTCTGTGAGTTGAATGCAGAGATCACAACGTGGTTTCTGCGAATGATTCTTTGTAGTTTTTACATGAAGATATTTCGTTGTCAACCGTAGGCTTCAAAGCACTCAAAGTATTCACTTGGAACTTTTACAAAAAGAGTGTTAGAAAACTGCTCTTTCCAAAGTAAGGTTCAACTCTGTGAGTTGAATGCACACATAACAATCAAGAAGTTTCTGAGAATTCTTCTGTCCTGGTTTATATGAAAAAATCCCGTTTCCAACGAAGGCCTCAAAGACGTTTAAATATCCACTTGCAGACTTCACAAAAAGAGGGTTTCCAAACTGCTCTATGAAAAGAAAGGTTAAACTCTGTGAGTTTAATACACACATCACAAAGCAGTTTCTGAGAATGATACTGTCTAGTTTTTATACGAAGATATTTCCTTTTGTACCATTGGCCTCATACTGCTAGAATTTTCCACTTGCAAATTCCACAAAAAGAGTGTTTCCAATCCGCTCTGTCTAAAGGAAGGTTCAACTCTCTGATTTGAATACATACATCCCAAAAGAAGTTACTGAGAATTCTTCTGTCTAGCATTATGTGAAGAAATCCCGTTTCTAACGAAAGCCTCAAAGAGGCCCAAATATCCAGTTGCAGCATTTACAAACTGACTGTTTCCAAACTCATCTATGAAAAGAAAGGTTAAACTCTGTGAGTTGAATGCACATATCACAAAGTAGTTCCTGAGAATGATTCTGTCTAGTTTTTATACGAAGATATTTCCTTTTCCACCAATGGCCTCAAAGTGCTTGAAATCTCCCCTTGCAAATTCCACAGACAAGTGTCTCAAATCTGCACTGTCTAAAGGAAGGTTCAACCCTGTGAGTTGAATACACACACACAGAAAAAAATTCACTGAGAATTCTATTGTCTATCATTACACGAAGAAATCCCGTTTACTACGAAGGCCTCAAAGAGGTCCAAATATCCAGCTGCAGACATTACAAACTGAGTGTTTCCAAAGTGCTCTATGAAAAGAAGTGTTAAACACTGTGAGTTCAATGCACACATCCCAAAGCAGTTTCTGAGAATGATTCCGTCTATTTTTTCTACGAAGATATTTCCTTTTCTACCGTTGGCCTCAAAGCGCTTGAAATCTCCACTTGCAAATTCCACAAAAAGAGAGTTTCAAATCTGCTCTGTCTAAAGGAAGGTTCAACTCTGTGAGTTGAATACACACCACAAAAAGAAGTTACTGAGAATTCTTCTGTCTAGCATTATATGAAAAATCCCGTTTCCAACGAAGGCCACAAAGAGGTCCAAATATCCACTTGCAGATTCTGCAAAAAGAGTGTTTCCAAACTGCTCTATGAAAAGAAACGTTAAACTCTGTGAGTTGAACGCAAACATCACAAAGTAGTTTCTGAGAATGACTCCGTCTAGTTTTTATACGAAGATATTTCCTTTCCTACCATTCACTTCAAAGCGCTTGAAGTCTCCCCCTGAAAATTCCACAAAAAGTGTTTCCAATCTGCTCCGCCTAAAGGAAGCTTCAACTCTGTGAGTTGAATACCCACAACCCAAAGAAGTTACTGAAAATTCTTCTGTCTAGCATTATATGAAGAAATCCCGTTTCCAACGAAGGCCTCAAATACATCCAAATATCCAGTTGCTGACTTTACAAACTGAGTGTTTCCAAACTGCTCTATGAAAAGAAAGGTTAAACACTGTGAGTTGAACACACACGTACCAAAGTAGTTTCTGAGAATGATTCTGTCTAGTTTGCATACGAAGATATTTCCTTTTCTACCATTGGCCTCAAAGCTCTGAAATCTCCACTTGCAAATTCCACAAAAAGAGAGTTTCAAATCTGCTGTTTCTAAAGGAAAGTTCAACTCTGAGAGTTGAATACACACCAGAAAAAGCAGTTACTGAGAAGTCTTCTGTCTAGCATTATATGAAGAAATCCCATTTCCAACGAAGACTTCAAAGAGGTCCAAATATCCACTTGCAGATTCTGCAAAAAGAGTGTTTCGAAACAACTGTATGAAAAGAAAGGTTAAACACTGTGAGTTGAACGCACACATTGCAAAGCAGTTTCTGAGAATGATTCCGTCTAATTATTATACGAAGGTATTTCCTTTTCTATCATTGGCCTCAAAGCGCTTGATACCTCCACCTGAAAATTCCACAAAAAGAGTGTTTCCAATCTACTCTGTCTAAAGGAACGTTCAACTCTGTGAGTTGAATACACACACACAGAAAGAATTCACTGAGAATTCTTCTGTCTGGCATTACATGAAGAAATCCCGTTTCCAACGAAGGCCTCAAAGAGGTCCAAATATCCACTTGCAGATTCTGCAAAAAGAGTGTTTCAAAACCGCTCCATTAAAAGGAATGTTGAACTCTGTGAGTTGAATGGAAACATCACAACTCAGTTGCTGAGAATGCTTCTGACTAGATTTTATGGTAAGATATTTCCTTTTCTACCGTAGGCTTCAATGCCCTCTAAATACACCCTTGCAAATTCTACAAAGAGACTGTTTCATAACTGCTCTATAGGAAGAAAGGTTCAACTCTGTGAGTTGAATGCAGAGATCACAACGTGGTTTCTGCGAATGATTCTTTGTAGTTTTTACATGAAGATATTTCGTTGTCAACCGTAGGCTTCAAAGCACTCAAAGTATTCACTTGGAACTTTTACAAAAAGAGTGTTAGAAAACTGCTATTTCCAAAGTAAGGTTCAACTCTGTGAGTTGAATGCACACATAACAATCAAGAAGTTTCTGAGAATTCTTCTGTCCTGGTTTATATGAAAAAATCCCGTTTCCAACGAAGGCCTCAAAGACGTTTAAATATCCACTTGCAGACTTCACAAACAGAGGGTTTCCAAACTGCTCTATGAAAAGAAAGGTTAAACTCTGTGAGTTGAACGCACACATCACAAAGTAGCTTCTGAGAATGATACTGTCTAGTTTGCATACGAAGATATTTCCTTTCTACCATTGGCGTCAAAGCGCTAGAATTCTCCACTTGCAAATTCCACAAAAAGAGTGTTTCCAATCTGCTCTGTCTAAAGGAAGGTTCAACTCTGTGAGTTGAATACACACACACAAAGAAGCTACTGAGAATTCTTTTGTCAAGAATTATAAGAAGAAATCCCGTTTCCAACGAAGGCCTCAAAGAGTTCCAAATATCCACTTGCACACTGCACAAACTAAGTCTTTCCAAACTGCTCTATGCAAAGAAATGTTCAACTCTGTGAGTTTAATACACACATCACAAAGCAGTTTCTGAGAATGATACTGTCTAGTTTTTATACGAAGATATTTCCTTTTGTACCATTGGCCTCATACTGCTAGAATTTTCCACTTGCAAATTCCACAAAAAGAGTGTTTCCAATCCGCTCTGTCTAAAGGAAGGTTCAACTCTCTGATTTGAATACATACATCCCAAAAGAAGTTACTGAGAATTCTTCTGTCTAGCATTATGTGAAGAAATCCCGTTTCCAACGAAAGCCTCAAAGAGGCCCAAATATCCAGTTGCAGCATTTACAAACTGACTGTTTCCAAACTCATCTATGAAAAGAAAGGTTAAACTCTGTGAGTTGAATGCACATATCACAAAGTAGTTCCTGAGAATGATTCTGTCTAGTTTTTATACGCAGATATTTCCTTTTCCACCAATGGCCTCAAAGTGCTTGAAATCTCCCCTTGCAAATTCCACAGACAAGTGTCTCAAATCTGCACTGTCTAAAGGAAGGTTCAACCCTGTGAGTTGAATACACACACACAGAAAAAAATTCACTGAGAATTCTATTGTCTATCATTACACGAAGAAATCCCGTTTACTACGAAGGCCTCAAAGAGGTCCAAATATCCAGCTGCAGACATTACAAACTGAGTGTTTCCAAAGTGCTCTATGAAAAGAAGTGTTAAACACTGTGAGTTCAATGCACACATCCCAAAGCAGTTTCTGAGAATGATTCCGTCTATTTTTTCTACGAAGATATTTACTTTTCTACCGTTGGCCTCAAAGCGCTTGAAATCTCCACTTGCAAATTCCACAAAAAGAGAGTTTCAAATCTGCTCTGTCTAAAGGAAGGTTCAACTCTGTGAGTTGAATACACACCACAAAAAGAAGTTACTGAGAATTCTTCTATCTAGCATTATATGAAAAATCCCGTTTCCAACGAAGGCCACAAAGAGGTCCAAATATCCACTTGCAGATTCTGCAAAAAGAGTGTTTCCAAACTGCTCTATGAAAAGAAACGTTAAACTCTGTGAGTTGAACGCAAACATCACAAAGTAGTTTCTGAGAATGACTCCGTCTAGTTTTTATACGAAGATATTTCCTTTCCTACCATTCACTTCAAAGCGCTTGAAGTCTCCCCCTGAAAATTCCACAAAAAGTGTTTCCAATCTGCTCCGCCTAAAGGAAGCTTCAACTCTGTGACTTGAATACCCACAACCCAAAGAAGTTACTGAGAATTCTTCTGTCTAGCATTATATGAAGAAATCCCGTTTCCAACGAAGGCCTCAAATACATCCAAATATCCAGTTGCTGACTTTACAAACTGAGTGTTTCCAAACTGCTCTATGAAAAGAAAGGTTAAACACTGTGAGTTGAACACACACGTACCAAAGTAGTTTCTGAGAATGATTCTGTCTAGTTTGCATACGAAGATGTTTCCTTTTCTACCATTGGCCTCAAAGCTCTGAAATCTCCACTTGCAAATTCCACAAAAAGAGAGTTTCAAATCTGCTGTTTCTAAAGGAAAGTTCAACTCTGAGAGTTGAATACACACCAGAAAAAGCAGTTACTGAGAAGTCTTCTGTCTAGCATTATATGAAGAAATCCCATTTCCAACGAAGACTTCAAAGGAGGTCCAAATATCCACTTGCAGATTCTGCAAAAAGAGTGTTTCGAAACAACTGTATGAAAAGAAAGGTTAAACACTGTGAGTTGAACGCACACATTGCAAAGCAGTTTCTGAGAATGATTCCGTCTAATTATTATACGAAGGTATTTCCTTTTCTATCATTGGCCTCAAAGCGCTTGATACCTCCACCTGAAAATTCCACAAAAAGAGTGTTTCCAATCTACTCTGTCTAAAGGAACGTTCAACTCTGTGAGTTGAATACACACACACAGAAAGAATTCACTGAGAATTCTTCTGTCTGGCATTACATGAAGAAATCCCGTTTCCAACGAAGGCCTCAAAGAGGTCCAAATATCCACTTGCAGATTCTGCAAAAAGAGTGTTTCAAAACCGCTCCATGAAAAGGAATGTTGAACTCTGTGAGTTGAATGCAAACATCACAACTCAGTTGCTGAGAATGCTTCTGACTAGATTTTATGGTAAGATATTTCCTTTTCTACCGTAGGCTTCAATGCCCTCTAAATACACCCTTGCAAATTCTACAAAGAGACTGTTTCATAACTGCTCTATAGGAAGAAAGGTTCAACTCTGTGAGTTGAATGCAGAGATCACAACGTGGTTTCTGCGAATGATTCTTTGTAGTTTTTACATGAAGATATTTCGTTGTCAACCGTAGGCTTCAAAGCACTCAAAGTATTCACTTGGAACTTTTACAAAAAGAGTGTTAGAAAACTGCTCTTTCCAAAGTAAGGTTCAACTCTGTGAGTTGAATGCACACATAACAATCAAGAAGTTTCTGAGAATTCTTCTGTCCTGGTTTATATGAAAACATCCCGTTTCCAACGAAGGCCTCAAAGACGTTTAAATATCCACTTGCAGACTTCACAAACAGAGTGTTTCCAAACTGCTCTATGAAAAGAAAGGTTAAACTCTGTGAGTTGAACGCACACATCACAAAGTAGTTTCTGAGAATGATACTGTCTAGTTTTTATACGAAGATATTTCCTTTCTACCATTGGCGTCAAAGCGCTAGAATTCTCCACTTGCAAATTCCACAAAAAGAGTGTTTCCAATCTGCTCTGTCTAAAGGAAGGTTCAACTCTGTGAGTTGAATACACACACACAAAGAAGCTACTGAGAATTCTTTTGTCAAGAAATTATAAGAAGAAATCCCGTTTCCAACGAAGGCCTCAAAGAGTTCCAAATATCCACTTGCACACTGCACAAACTAAGTCTTTCCAAACTGCTCTATGCAAAGAAATGTTCAACTCTGTGAGTTTAATACACACATCACAAAGCAGTTTCTGAGAATGATACTGTCTAGTTTTTATACGAAGATATTTCCTTTTGTACCATTGGCCTCATACTGCTAGAATTTTCCACTTGCAAATTCCACAAAAAGAGGGTTTCCAATCCGCTCTGTCTAAAGGAAGGTTCAACTCTCTGATTTGAATACATACATCCCAAAAGAAGTTACTGAGAATTCTTCTGTCTAGCATTATGTGAAGAAATCCCGTTTCCAACGAAAGCCTCAAAGAGGTCCAAATATCCAGTTGCAGAATTTACAAACTGACTGTTTCCAAACTCATCTATGAAAAGAAAGGTTAAACTCTGGGAGTTGAATGCACATATCACAAAGTAGTTCCTGAGAATGATTCTGTCTAGTTTTCATACGAAGATATTTCCTTTTCCACCAATGGCCTCAAAGTGCTTGAAATCTCCCCTTGCAAATTCCACAGACAAGTGTTTCAAATCTGCACTGTCTAAAGGATGGTTCAACCCTGTGAGTTGAATACACACACACAGAAAAAAATTCACTGAGAATTCTATTGTCTATCATTACACGAAGAAATCCCGTTTACTACGAAGGCCTCAAAGAGGTCCAAATATCCAGCTGCAGACATTATAAACTGAGTGTTTCCAAAGTGCTCTATGAAAAGAAGTGTTAAACACTGTGAGTTCAATGCACACATCCCAAAGCAGTTTCTGAGAATGATTCCGTCTATTTTTTCTACGAAGATATTTCCTTTTCTGCCGTTGGCCTCAAAGCGCTTGAAATCTCCACTTGCAAATTCCACAAAAAGAGAGTTTCAAATCTGCTCTGTCTAAAGGAAGGTTCAACTCTGTGAGTTGAATACACACCACAAAAAGAAGTTACTGAGAATTCTTCTGTCTAGCATTATATGAAAAATCCCGTTTCCAACGAAGGCCACAAAGAGGTCCAAATATCCACTTGCAGATTCTGCAAAAAGAGTGTTTCCAAACTGCTCTATGAAAAGAAACGTTAAACTCTGTGAGTTGAACGCAAACATCACAAAGTAGTTTCTGAGAATGACTCCGTCTAGTTTTTATACGAAGATATTTCCTTTTCTACCGTTGGCCTCAAAGCGCTTGAAGTCTCCCCCTGAAAATTCCACAAAAAGTGTTTCCAATCTGCTCCGCCTAAAGGAAGCTTCAACTCTGTGAGTTGAATACCCACAACACAAAGAAGTTACTGAGAATTCTTCTGTCTCGCATTATATGAAGAAATCCCGTTTCCAACGAAGGCCTCAAATACATCCACATATCCAGTTGCTGACTTTACAAACTGAGTGTTTCCAAACTGCTCTATGAAAAGAAAGGTTAAACACTGTGAGTTGAACACACACGTACCAAAGTAGTTTCTGAGAATGATTCTGTCTAGTTTGCATACAAAGATATTTCCTTTTCTACCACTGGCCTCAAAGCTTTGAAATCTCCACTTGCAAATTCCACAAAAAGAGAGTTTCAAATCTGCTGTTTCTAAAGGAAAGTTCAACTCTGAGAGTTGAATACACACCAGAAAAAGCAGTTACTGAGAAGTCTTCTGTCTAGCATTATATGAAGAAATCCCATTTCCAAAGAAGACTTCAAACAGGTCCAAATATCCACTTGCAGATTCTGCAAAAAGAGTGTTTCGAAACAACTGTATGAAAAGAAAGGTTAAACACTGTGAGTTGAACGCACCCATTGCAAAGCATTTTCTGACAATGATTCCGTCTAATTATTATACGAAGGCATTTCCTTTTCTATCATGGGCCTCAAAGCGCTTGATACCTCCACCTGAAAATTCCACAAAAAGAGTGTTTCCAATCTACTCTGTCTAAAGGAACGTTCAACTCTGTGAGTTGAATACACACACACAGAAAGAATTCACTGAGAATTCTTCTGTCTGGCATTACATGAAGAAATCCCGTTTCCAACGAAGGCCTCAAAGAGGTCCAAATATCCACTTGCAGATTCTGCAAAAAGAGTGTTTCAAAACCGCTCCATTAAAAGGAATGTTGAACTCTGTGAGTTGAATGCAAACATCACAACTCAGTTTCTGAGAATGCTTCTGACTAGATTTTATGGTAAGATATTTCCTTTTCTACCGTAGGCTTCAATGCCCTCTAAATACACCCTTGCGAATTCTACAAAGAGACTGTTTCATAACTGCTCTATAGGAAGAAAGGTTCAACTCTGTGAGTTGAATGCAGAGATCACAACGTGGTTTCTGCGAATGATTCTTTGTAGTTTTTACATGAAGATATTTCGTTGTCAACCGTAGGCTTCAAAGCACTCAAAGTATTCACTTGGAACTTTTACAAAAAGAGTGTTAGAAAACTGCTCTTTCCAAAGTAAGGTTCAACTCTGTGAGTTGAATGCACACATAACAATCAAGAAGTTTCTGAGAATTCTTCTGTCCTGGTTTATATGAAAAAATCCCGTTTCCAACGAAGGCCTCAAAGACGTTTAAATATCCACTTGCAGACTTCACAAACAGAGGGTTTCCAAACTGCTCTATGAAAAGAAAGGTTAAACTCTGTGAGTTGAACGCACACATCACAAAGTAGCTTCTGAGAATGATACTGTCTAGTTTTTATACGAAGATATTTCCTTTCTACCATTGGCGTCAAAGCGCTAGAATTCTCCACTTGCAAATTCCACAAAAAGAGTGTTTCCAATCTGCTCTGTCTAAAGGAAGGTTCAACTCTGTGAGTTGAATACACACACACAAAGAAGCTACTGAGAATTCTTTTTTCAAGAAATTATAAGAAGAAATCCCGTTTCCAACGAAGGCCTCAAAGAGTTCCAAATATCCACTTGCACACTGCAAAAACTAAGTCTTTCCAAACTGCTCTATGCAAAGAAATGTTCAACTCTGTGAGTTTAATACACACATCACAAAGCAGTTTCTGAGAATGATACTGTCTAGTTTTTATACGAAGATATTTCCTTTTGTACCATTGGCCTCATACTGCTAGAATTTTCCACTTGCAAATTCCACAAAAAGAGTGTTTCCAATCTGCTCTGTCTAAAGGAAGGTTCAACTCTCTGATTTGAATACATACATCCCAAAAGAAGTTACTGAGAATTCTTCTGTCTAGCATTATGTGAAGAAATCCCGTTTCCAACGAAAGCCTCAAAGAGGTCCAAATATCCAGTTGCAGAATTTACAAACTGACTGTTTCCAAACTCATCTATGAAAAGAAAGGTTGAACTCTGTGAGTTGAATGCACATATCACAAAGTAGTTCCTGAGAATGATTCTGTCTAGTTTTCATACGAAGATATTTCCTTTTCCACCAATGGCCTCAAAGTGCTTGAAATCTCCCCTTGCAAATTCCACAGACAAGTGTTTCAAATCTGCACTGTCTAAAGGAAGGTTCAACCCTGTGAGTTGAATACACACACACAGAAAAAAATTCACTGAGAATTCTATTGTCTATCATTACACGAAGAAATCCCGTTTACCACGAAGGCCTCAAAGAGGTCCAAATATCCAGCTGCAGACATTACAAACTGAGTGTTTCCAAAGTGCTCTATGAAAAGAAGTGTTAAACACTGTGAGTTCAATGCACACATCCCAAAGCAGTTTCTGAGAATGATTCCGTCTATTTTTTCTACGAAGATATTTCCTTTTCTACCGTTGGCCTCAAAGCGCTTGAAATCTCCACTTGCAAATTCCACGAAAAGAGAGTTTCAAATCTGCTCTGTCTAAAGGAAGGTTCAACTCTGTGAGTTGAATACACACCACAAAAAGAAGTTACTGAGAATTCTTCTGTCTAGCATTATATGAAAAATCCCGTTTCCAACGAAGGCCACAAAGAGGTCCAAATATCCACTTGCAGATTCTGCAAAAAGAGTGTCTCCAAACTGCTCTATGAAAAGAAACGTTAAACTCTGTGAGTTGAACGCAAACATCACAAAGTAGTTTCTGAGAATGACTCCGTCTAGTTTTTATACGAAGATATTTCCTTTTCTACCGTTGGCCTCAAAGCGCTTGAAGTCTCCCCCTGAAAATTCCACAAAAAGTGTTTCCAATCTGCTCCGCCTAAAGGAAGCTTCAACTCTGTGAGTTGAATACCCACAACACAAAGAAGTTACTGAGAATTCTTCTGTCTAGCATTATATGAAGAAATCCCGTTTCCAACGAAGGCCTCAAATACATCCAAATATCCAGTGGCTGACTTTACAAACTGAGTGTTTCCAAGCTGCTCTATGAAAGGAAAGGTTAAACACTGTGAGTTGAACACACACGTACCAAAGTAGTTTCTGAGAATGATTCTGTCTAGTTGGCATACGAAGATATTTCCTTTTCTACCATTGGCCTCAATGCTTTGAAATCTCCACTTGCAAATTCCACAAAAAGAGAGTTTCATATCTGCTGTTTCTAAAGGAAAGTTCAACTCTGAGAGTTGAATACACACCAGAAAAACCAGTTACTGAGAAGTCTTCTGTCTAGCATTATATGAAGAAATCCCATTTCCAACGAAGACTTCAAAGAGGTCCAAATATCCACTTCCAGATTCCGCAAAAAGGGTGTTTCGAAACAACTGTATGAAAAGAAAGGTTAAACACTGTGAGTTGAAGGCACACATTGCAAAGCAGTTTCTGAGAATGATTCCATCTAATTATTATACGAAGGTATTTCCTTTTCTATCTTGGCCTCAAAGCGCTTGATACCTCCACGTGAACATTCCACAAAAAGAGTGTTTCCAATCTACTCTGTCTAAGGGAACGTTCAACTCTGTGAGTTGAGTACACACACACAGAAAGAATTCACTGAGAGTTCTTCTGTCTGGGATTACATGAAGAAATCCCGTTTCCAACGAAGGCCTCAAAGAGGTCCAAATATCCACTTGCAGATTCTGGAAAAAGAGTGTTTCAAAACCGCTCTATGAAAAGGAATGTTGAACTCTGTGAGTTGAATGCAAACATCACAACTCAGTTTCTGAGAATGCTTCTGACTAGATTTTATGGTCAGATATTTCCTTTTCTACCGTAGGCCTCAATGCCCTCTAAATACACCCTTGCAAATTCTACAAAGAGACTGTTTAATAACTGCTCTATAGGAAGAAAGGTTGAACTCTGTGAGTTGAATGCAGAGATCACAACGTGGTTTCGGCGAATGATTCTTTGCAGTTTTTACATGAAGCTATTTCGTTGTCTACCGTAGGCTTCAAAGCACTCAAAGTATTCACTTGGAACTTTTACAAAAAGAGTGTTAGAAAACTGCTCTTTCCGAAGTAAGGTTCAACTCTGTGAGTTGAATGCACACATAACAAACAAGAAGTTTCTGAGAATTCTTCTGTCCTGGTTTATATGAAAAAATCCCGTTTCCAACGAAGGCCTCAAAGACGTTTAAATATCCACATGCAGACTTCACAAACAGAGTGTTTCCAAACTGCTCTATGAAAAGAAAGGTTAAACTCTGTGAGTTGAACGCACACATCACAAAGTAGTTTCTGAGAATGATACTGTCTAGTTTTTATACGAAGATATTTCCTTTCTACCATTGGCGTCAAAGCGCTAGAATTCTCCACTTGCAAATTCCACAAAAAGTGTGTTTCCAATCTGCTCTGTCTAAAGGAAGGTTCAACTCTGTGAGTTGAATACACACACACAAAGAAGCTACTGAGAATTCTTTTGTCAAGAATTATAAGAAGAAATCCCGTTTCCAACGAAGGCCTCAAAGAGTTCCAAATATCCACTTGCACACTGCACAAACTAAGTCTTTCCAAACTGCTCTATGCAAAGAAATGTTCAACTCTGTGAGTTTAATACACACATCACAAAGCAGTTTCTGAGAATGATACTGTCTAGTTTTTATACGAAGATATTTCCTTTTGTACCATTGGCCTCATACTGCTAGAATTTTCCACTTGCAAATTCCACAAAAAGAGTGTTTCCAATCCGCTCTGTCTAAAGGAAGGTTCAACTCTCTGATTTGAATACATACATCCCAAAAGAAGTTACTGAGAATTCTTGTCTAGCATTATGTGAAGAAATCCCGTTTCCAACGAAAGCCTCAAAGAGGTCCAAATATCCAGTTGCAGAATTTACAAACTGACTGTTTCCAAACTCATCTATGAAAAGAAAGGTTAAACTCTGTGAGTTGAATGCACATATCACAAAGTAGTTCCTGAGAATGATTCTGTCTAGTTTTTATACGAAGTTATTTGCTTTTCCACCAATGGCCTCAAAGTGCTTGAAATCTCCCCTTGCAAATTCCACAGACAAGTGTTTCAAATCTGCACTGTCTAAAGGAAGGTTCAACCCTGTGAGTTGAATACACACACACAGAAAAAAATTCACTGAGAATTCTATTGTCTATCATTACACGAAGAAATCCCGTTTACTACGAAGGCCTCAAAGAGGTCCAAATATCCAGCTGCAGACATTACAAACTGAGTGTTTCCAAAGTGCTCTATGAAAAGAAGTGTTAAACACTGTGAGTTCAATGCACACATCCCAAAGCAGTTTCTGAGAATGATTCCGTCTATTTTTTCTACGAAGATATTTCCTTTTCTGCCGTTGGCCTCAAAGCGCTTGAAATCTCCACTTGCAAATTCCACAAAAAGAGAGGTTCAAATCTGCTCTGTCTAAAGGAAGGTTCAACTCTGTGAGTTGAATACACACCACAAAAAGAAGTTACTGAGAATTCTTCTGTCTAGCATTATATGAAAAATCCCGTTTCCAACGAAGGCCACAAAGAGGTCCAAATATCCACTTGCAGATTCTGCAAAAAGAGTGTTTCCAAACTGCTCTATGAAAAGAAACGTTAAACTCTGTGAGTTGAACGCAAACATCACAAAGTAGTTTCTGAGAATGACTCCGTCTAGTTTTTATACGAAGATATTTCCTTTCCTACCATTCACTTCAAAGCGCTTGAAGTCTCCCCCTGAAAATTCCACAAAAAGTGTTTCCAATCTGCTCCGCCTAAAGGAAGCTTCAACTCTGTGAGTTGAATACCCACAACCCAAAGAAGTTACTGAGAATTCTTCTGTCTAGCACTATATGAAGAAATCCCGTTTCCAACGAAGGCCTCAAATACATCCAAATATCCAGTTGCTGACTTTACAAACTGAGTGTTTCCAAACTGCTCTATGAAAAGAAAGGTTAAACACTGTGAGTTGAACACACACGTACCAAAGTAGTTTCTGAGAATGATTCTGTCTAGTTTGCATACGAAGATATTTCCTTTTCTACCATTGGCCTCAAAGCTTTGAAATCTCCACTTGCAAATTCCACAAAAAGAGAGTTTCAACTCTGCTGTTTCTAAAGGAAAGTTCAACTCTGAGAGTTGAATACACACCAGAAAAAGCAGTTACTGAGAAGTCTTCTGTCTAGCATTATATGAAGAAATCCCATTTCCAACGAAGACTTCAAAGAGGTCCAAATATCCACTTGCAGATTCTGCAAAAAGAGTGTTTCGAAACAACTGTATGAAAAGAAAGGTTAAACACTGTGAGTTGAACGCACACATTGCAAAGCAGTTTCTGAGAATGATTCCGTCTAATTATTATACGAAGGTATTTCCTTTTCTATCATTGGCCTCAAAGCGCTTGATACCTCCACCTGAAAATTCCACAAAAAGAGTGTTTCCAATCTACTCTGTCTAAAGGAACGTTCAACTCTGTGAGTTGAATACACACACACAGAAAGAATTCACTGAGAATTCTTCTGTCTGGCATTACATGAAGAAATCCCGTTTCCAACGAAGGCCTCAAAGAGGTCCAAATATCCACTTGCAGATTCTGCAAAAAGAGTGTTTCAAAACCGCTCCATTAAAAGGAATGTTGAACTCTGTGAGTTGAATGCAAACATCACAACTCAGTTTCTGAGAATGCTTCTGACTAGATTTTATGGTAAGATATTTCCTTTTCTACCGTAGGCTTCAATGCCCTCTAAATACACCCTTGCAAATTCTACAAAGAGACTGTTTCATAACTGCTCTATAGGAAGAAAGGTTGAACTCATGTGAGTTGAATGCAGAGATCACAACGTGGTTTCTGCGAATGATTCTTTGTAGTTTTTACATGAAGATATTTCGTTGTCAACCGTAGGCTTCAAAGCACTCAAAGTATTCACTTGGAACTTTTACAAAAAGAGTGTTAGAAAACTGCTCTTTCCAAAGTAAGGTTCAACTCTGTGAGTTGAATGCACACATAACAATCAAGAAGTTTCTGAGAATTCTTCTGTCCTGGTTTATATGAAAAAATCCCGTTTCCAACGAAGGCCTCAGAGACGTTTAAATATCCACTTGCAGACTTCACAAACAGAGTGTTTCCAAACTGCTCTATGAAAAGAAAGGTTAAACTCTGTGAGTTGAACGCACACATCACAAAGTTGTTTCTGAGAAAGATACTGTCTAGTTTTTATACGAAGATATTTCCTTTCTACCATTGGCGTCAAAGCGCTAGAATTCTCCACTTGCAAATTCCACAAAAAGAGTGTTTCCAATCTGCTCTGTCTAAAGGAAGGTTCAACTCTGTGAGTTGAATACACACACACAAAGAAGCTACTGAGAATTCTTTTGTCAAGAATTATAAGAAGAAATCCCGTTTCCAACGAAGGCCTCAAAGAGTTCCAAATATCCACTTGCACACTGCACAAACTAAGTCTTTCCAAACTGCTCTATGCAAAGAAATGTTCAACTCTGTGAGTTTAATTCACACATCACAAAGCAGTTTCTGAGAACGATACTGTCTAGTTTTTATACGAAGATATTTCCTTTTGTACCATTGGCCTCAAACTGCTAGAATTTTCCACTTGCAAATTCCACAAAAAGAGTGTTTCCAATCCGCTCTGTCTAAAGGAAGGTTCAACTCTCTGATTTGAATACATACATCCCAAAAGAAGTTACTGAGAATTCTTCTGTCTAGCATTATGTGAAGAAATCCCGTTTCCAACGAAAGCCTCAAAGAGGTCCAAATATCCAGTTGCAGAATTTACAAACTGACTGTTTCCAAACTCATCTATGAAAAGAAAGGTTAAACTCTGTGAGTTGAATGCCCATATCACAAAGTAGTTCCTGAGAATGATTCTGTCTAGTTTTCATACGAAGATATTTCCTTTTCCACCAATGGCCTCAAAGTGCTTGAAATCTCCCCTTGCAAATTCCACAGACAAGTGTTTCAAATCTGCACTGTCTAAAGGATGGTTCAACCCTGTGAGTTGAATACACACACACAGAAAAAAATTCACTGAGAATTCTATTGTCTATCATTACACGAAGAAATCCCGTTTACTACGAAGGCCTCAAAGAGGTCCAAATAACCAGATGCAGACATTACAAACTGAGTGTTTCCAAAGTGCTCTATGAAAAGAAGTGTTAAACACTGTGAGTTCAATGCACACATCCCAAAGCAGTTTCTGAGAATGATTCCGTCTATTTTTTCTACGAAGATATTTCCTTTTCTACCGTTGGCCTCAAAGCGCTTGAAATCTCCACTTGCAAATTCCACAAAAAGAGAGTTTCAAATCTGCTCTGTCTAAAGGAAGGTTCAACTCTGTGAGTTGAATACACACCACAAAAAGAAGTTACTGAGAATTCTTCTGTCTAGCATTATATGAAAAATCCCGTTTCCAACGAAGGCCACAAAGAGGTCCAAATATCCACTTGCAGATTCTGCAAAAAGAGTGTTTCCAAACTGCTCTATGAAAAGAAACGTTAAACTCTGTGAGTTGAACGCAAACATCACAAAGTAGTTTCTGAGAATGACTCCGTCTAGTTTTTATACGAAGATATTTCCTTTCCTACCATTCACTTCAAAGCGCTTGAAGTCTCCCCCTGAAAATTCCACAAAAAGTGTTTCCAATCTGCTCCGCCTAAAGGAAGCTTCAACTCTGTGACTTGAATACCCACAACCCAAAGAAGTTACTGAGAATTCTTCTGTCTCGCATTATAGGAAGAAATCCCGTTTCCAACGAAGGCCTCAAATACATCCACATATCCAGTTGCTGACTTTACAAACTGAGTGTTTCCAAACTGCTCTATGAAAAGAAAGGTTAAACACTGTGAGTTGAACACACACGTACCAAAGTAGTTTCTGAGAATGATTCTGTCTAGTTTGCATACAAAGATATTTCCTTTTCTACCACTGGCCTCAAAGCTTTGAAATCTCCACTTGCAAATTTCACAAAAAGAGAGTTTCAAATCTGCTGTTTCTAAAGGAAAGTTCAACTCTGAGAGTTGAATACACACCAGAAAAAGCAGTTACTGAGAAGTCTTCTGTCTAGCATTATATGAAGAAATCCCATTTCCAAAGAAGACTTCAAACAGGTCCAAATATCCACTTGCAGATTCTGCAAAAAGAGTGTTTCGAAACAACTGTATGAAAAGAAAGGTTAAACACTGTGAGTTGAACACACCCATTGCAAAGCAGTTTCTGAGAATGATTCCGTCTAATTATTATACGAAGGTATTTCCTTTTCTATCATTGGCCTCAAAGCGCTTGATACCTCCACCTGAAAATTCCACAAAAAGAGTGTTTCCAATCTACTCTGTCTAAAGGAACGTTCAACTCTGTGAGTTGAATACACACACACAGAAAGAATTCACTGAGAATTCTTCTGTCTGACATTACATGAAGAAATCCCGTTTCCAACGAAGGCCTCAAAGAGGTCCAAATATCCACTTGCAGATTCTGCAAAAAGAGTGTTTCAAAACCGCTCCATTAAAAGGAATGTTGAACTCTGTGAGTTGAATGCAAACATCACAACTCAGTTGCTGAGAATGCTTCTGACTAGATTTTATGGTAAGATATTTCCTTTTCTACCGTAGGCTTCAATGCCCTCTAAATACACCCTTGCAAATTCTACAAAGAGACTGTTTCATAACTGCTCTATAGGAAGAAAGGTTGAACTCTGTGAGTTGAATGCAGAGATCACAACGTGGTTTCTGCGAATGATTCTTTGTAGTTTTTACATGAAGATATTTCGTTGTCAACCGTAGGGTTCAAAGCACTCAAAGTATTCACTTGGAACTTTTACAAAAAGAGTGTTAGAAAACTGCTCTTTCCAAAGTAAGGTTCAACTCTGTGAGTTGAATGCACACATAACAATCAAGACGTTTCTGAGAATTCTTCTGTCCTAGTTTATATGAAAAAATCCCGTTTCCAACGAAGGCCTCAAAGACGTTTAAATATCCACTTGCAGACTTCACAAACAGAGTGTTTCCAAACTGCTCTATGAAAAGAAAGGTTAAACTCTGTGAGTTGAACGCACACATCACAAAGTAGCTTCTGAGAATGATACTGTCTAGTTTTTATACGAAGATATTTCCTTTCTACCATTGGCGTCAAAGCGCTAGAATTCTCCACTTGCAAATTCCACAAAAAGAGTGTTTCCAATCTGCTCTGTCTAAAGGAAGGTTCAACTCTGTGAGTTGAATACACACACACAAAGAAGCTACTGAGAATTCTTTTGTCAAGAATTATAAGAAGAAATCCCGTTTCCAACGAAGGCCTCAAAGAGTTCCAAATATCCACTTGCACACTGCACAAACTAAGTCTTTCCAAACTGCTCTATGCAAAGAAATGTTCAACACTGTGAGTTTAATACACACATCACAAAGCAGTTTCTGAGAATGATACTGTCTAGTTTTTATACGAAGATATTTCCTTTTGTACCATTGGCCTCATACTGCTAGAATTTTCCACTTGCAAATTCCACAAAAAGAGTGTTTCCAATCCGCTCTGTCTAAAGGAAGGTTCAACTCTCTGATTTGAATACATACATCCCAAAAGAAGTTACTGAGAATTCTTCTGTCTAGCATTATGTGAAGAAATCCCATTTCCAACGAAAGCCTCAAAGAGGTCCAAATATCCAGTTGCAGAATTTACAAACTGACTGTTTCCAAACTCATCTATGAAAAGAAAGGTTAAACTCTGGGAGTTGAATGCACATATCACAAAGTAGTTCCTGAGAATGATTCTGTCTAGTTTTCATACGAAGATATTTCCTTTTCCACCAATGGCCTCAAAGTGCTTGAAATCTCCCCTTGCAAATTCCACAGACAAGTGTTTCAAATCTGCACTGTCTAAAGGAAGGTTCAACCCTGTGAGTTGAATACACACACACAGAAAAAAATTCACTGAGAATTCTATTGTCTATCATTACACGAAGAAATCCCGTTTACTACGAAGGCCTCAAAGAGGTCCAAATATCCAGCTGCAGACATTACAAACTGAGTGTTTCCAAAGTGCTCTATGAAAAGAAGTGTTAAACACTGTGAGTTCAATGCACACATCCCAAAGCAGTTTCTGAGAATGATTCCATCTATTTTTTCTACGAAGATATTTCCTTTTCTGCCGTTGGCCTCAAAGCGCTTGAAATCTCCACTTGCAAATTCCACAAAAAGAGAGTTTCAAATCTGCTCTGTCTAAAGGAAGGTTCAACTCTGTGAGTTGAATACACACCACAAAAAGAAGTTACTGAGAATTCTTCTGTCTAGCATTATATGAAAAATCCCGTTTCCAACGAAGGCCACAAAGAGGTCCAAATATCCACTTGCAGATTCTGCAAAAAGAGTGTTTCCAAACTGCTCTATGAAAAGAAACGTTAAACTCTGTGAGTTGAACGCAAACATCACAAAGTAGTTTCTGAGAATGACTCTGTCTAGTTTTTATACGAAGATATTTCCTTTCCTACCATTCACTTCAAAGCGCTTGAAGTCTCCCCCTGAAAATTCCACAAAAAGTGTTTCCAATCTGCTCCGCCTAAAGGAAGCTTCAACTCTGTGACTTGAATACCCACAACCCAAAGAAGTTACTGAGAATTCTTCTGTCTAGCATTATATGAAGAAATCCCGTTTCCAACGAAGGCCTCAAATACATCCAAATATCCAGTTGCTGACTTTACAAACTGAGTGTTTCCAAACTGCTCTATGAAAAGAAAGGTTAAACACTGTGAGTTGAACACACACGTACCAAAGTAGTTTCTGAGAATGATTCTGTCTAGTTTGCATACGAAGATATTTCCTTTTCTACCATTGGCCTCAAAGCTCTGAAATCTCCACTTGCAAATTCCACAAAAAGAGAGTTTCAAATCTGCTGTTTCTAAAGGAAAGTTCAACTCTGAGAGTTGAATACACACCAGAAAAAGCAGTTACTGAGAAGTCTTCTGTCTAGCATTATATGAAGAAATCCCATTTCCAACGAAGACTTCAAAGAGGTCCAAATATCCACTTGCAGATTCTGCAAAAAGAGTGTTTCGAAACAACTGTATGAAAAGAAAGGTTAAACACTGTGAGTTGAACGCACACATTGCAAAGCGGTTTCTGAGAATGATTCCGTCTAATTATTATACGAAGGTATTTCCTTTTCTATCATTGGCCTCAAAGCGCTTGATACCTCCACCTGAAAATTCCACAAAAAGAGTGTTTCCAATCTACTCTGTCTAAAGGAACGTTCAACTCTGTGAGTTGAATACACACACACAGAAAGAATTCACTGAGAATTCTCTGTCTGGCATTACATGAAGAAATCCCGTTTCCAACGAAGGCCTCAAAGAGGTCCAAATATCCACTTGCAGATTCTGCAAAAAGAGTGTTTCAAAACCGCTCCATTAAAAGGAATGTTGAACTCTGTGAGTTGAATGCAAACATCACAACTCAGTTGCTGAGAATGCTTTCTGACTACATTTTATGGTAAGATATTTCCTTTTCTACCGTAGGCTTCAATGCCCTCTAAATACACCCTTGCAAATTCTACAAAGAGACTGTTTCATAACTGCTCTATAGGAAGAAAGGTTCAACTCTGTGAGTTGAATGCAGAGATCACAACGTGGTTTCTGCAAATGATTCTTTGTAGTTTTTACATGAAGATATTTCGTTGTCAACCGTAGGCTTCAAAGCACTCAAAGTATTCACTTGGAACTTTTACAAAAAGAGTGTTAGAAAACTGCTCTTTCCAAAGTAAGGTTCAACTCTGTGAGTTGAATGCACACATAACAATCAAGAAGTTTCTGAGAATTCTTCTGTCCTGGTTTATATGAAAAAATCCCGTTTCCAACGAAGGCCTCAAAGACGTTTAAATATCCACTTGCAGACTTCACAAACAGAGGGTTTCCAAACTGCTCTATGAAAAGAAAGGTTAAACTCTGTGAGTTGAACGCACACATCACAAAGTAGCTTCTGAGAATGATACTGTCTAGTTTTTATACGAAGATATTTCCTTTCTACCATTGGCGTCAAAGCGCTAGAATTCTCCACTTGCAAATTCCACAAAAAGAGTGTTTTCAATCTGCTCTGTCTAAAGGAAGGTTCAACTCTGTGAGTTGAATACACACACACAAAGAAGCTACTGAGAATTCTTTTTTCAAGAAATTATAAGAAGAAATCCCGTTTCCAACGAAGGCCTCAAAGAGTTCCAAATATCCACTTGCACACTGCACAAACTAAGTCTTTCCAAACTGCTCTATGCAAAGAAATGTTCAACTCTGTGAGTTTAATACACACATCACAAAGCAGTTTCTGAGAATGGTACTGTCTAGTTTTTATACGAAGATATTTCCTTTTGTACCATTGGCCTCATACTGCTAGAATTTTCCACTTGCAAATTCCACAAAAAGAGTGTTTCCAATCCGCTCTGTCTAAAGGAAGGTTCAACTCTCTGATTTGAATACATACATCCCAAAAGAAGTTACTGAGAATTCTTCTGTCTAGCATTATGTGAAGAAATCCCGTTTCCAACGAAAGCCTCAAAGAGGTCCAAATATCCAGTTGCAGAATTTACAAACTGACTGTTTCCAAACTCATCTATGAAAAGAAAGGTTAAACTCTGGGAGTTGAATGCACATATCACAAAGTAGTTCCTGAGAATGATTCTGTCTAGTTTTTATACGAAGATATTTCCTTTTCCACCAATGGCCTCAAAGTGCTTGAAATCTCCCCTTGCAAATTCCACAGACAAGTGTTTCAAATCTGCACTGTCTAAAGGATGGTTCAACCCTGTGAGTTGAATACACACACACAGAAAAAAATTCACTGAGAATTCTTCTATTGTCTATCATTACACGAAGAAATCCCGTTTACTACGAAGGCCTCAAAGAGGTCCAAATATCCAGCTGCAGACATTACAAACTGAGTGTTTCCAAAGTGCTCTATGAAAAGAAGTGTTAAACACTGTGAGTTCAATGCACACATCCCAAAGCAGTTTCTGAGAATGATTCCGTCTATTTTTTCTACGAAGATATTTCCTTTTCTGCCGTTGGCCTCAAAGCGCTTGAAATCTCCACTTGCAAATTCCACAAAAAGAGAGTTTCAAATCTGCTCTGTCTAAAGGAAGGTTCAACTCTGTGAGTTGAATACACACCACAAAAAGAAGTTACTGAGAATTCTTCTGTCTAGCATTATATGAAAAATCCCGTTTCCAACGAAGGCCACAAAGAGGTCCAAATATCCACTTGCAGATTCTGCAAAAAGAGTGTTTCAAAACTGCTCCATTAAAAGGAATGTTGAACTCTGTGAGTTGAATGCAAACATCACAACTCAGTTTCTGAGAATGCTCCTGACTAGATTTTATGGTAAGATATTTCCTTTTCTACCGTAGGCTTCAATGCCCTCTAAATACACCCTTGCAAATTCTACAAAGAGACTGTTTCATAACTGCTCTATAGGAAGAAAGGTTCAACTCTGTGAGTTGAATGCAGAGATCACAACGTGGTTTCTGCGAATGATTCTTTGTAGTTTTTACATGAAGATATTTCGTTGTCAACCGTAGGCTTCAAAGCACTCAAAGTATTCACTTGGAACTTTTACAAAAAGAGTGTTAGAAAACTGCTCTTTCCAAAGTAAGGTTCAACTCTGTGAGTTGAATGCACACATAACAATCAAGAAGTTTCTGAGAATTCTTCTGTCCTGGTTTATATGAACAAATCCTGTTTCCAACGAAGGCCTCAAAGACGTTTAAATATCCACTTGCAGACTTCACAAACAGAGTGTTTCCAAACTGCTCTATGAAAAGAAAGGTTAAACTCTGTGAGTTGAACGCGCACATCACAAAGTAGTTTCTGAGAATGATACTGTCTAGTTTTTATACGAAGATATTTCCTTTCTACCATTGGCGTCAAAGCGCTAGAATTCTCC
This sequence comes from Homo sapiens, assembly GCF_000001405.40. NCBI lineage: Eukaryota > Metazoa > Chordata > Mammalia > Primates > Hominidae > Homo > Homo sapiens. The sequence continues at coordinate 93,091,360 of NC_000003.12, read as the reverse complement.
ACTTGCAAATTCCACAAAAAGAGTGTTTCCAATCTGCTCTGTCTAAAGGAAGGTTCAACTCTGTGAGTTGAATACACACACACAAAGAAGCTACTGAGAATTCTTTTGTCAAGAATTATAAGAAGAAATCCCGTTTCCAACGAAGGCCTCAAAGAGTTCCAAATATCCACTTGCACACTGTACAATCTAAGTCTTTCCAAACTGCTCTATGCAAAGAAATGTTCAACCTTGTGAGTTTAATGCACACATCACAAAGCAGTTTCTGAGAATGATTCCCTCTAGTTTTTATACGAAGATAGCCTTTTCTACCATTGACCTCAAGGCTCTTGGAATCTCCACCTGAAAATTCCGCAAAAAGCGTGTTTCCAATGCGCTCTGTCTAAAGGAAGGTTCAACTCTCTGAGTTGAATACATACATCCCAAAAGAAGTTACTGAGAATTCTTCTGTCTAGCATAATGTGAAGAAATCCTGTTTCCAACGAAAGCCTCAAAGAGGTCCTAATATCCAGTTGCAGAATTTACAAACTGACTGTTTCCAAACTCATCTATGAAAAGAAAGGTTAAACCCTGTGAGTTGAACGCACATATCACAAAGTAGTTCCTGAGAATGATTCTGTCTAGTTTTTATACGAAGATATTTCCTTTTCCACCAATGGCCTCAAAGTGCTTGAAATCTCCCCTTGCAAATTCCACAGAAAAGTGTTTCAAATCTGCACTGTCTGAAGGAAGGTTCAACCCTGTGAGTTGAATACACACACACAGAAAAAAATTCACTGAGAATTCTATTGTCTATCATTACACGAAGAAATCCCGTTTACTACCAAGGCCTCAAAGAGGCCCAAATATCCAGCTGCAGACATTACAAACTGAGTGTTTCCAAAGTGCTCTATGAAAAGAAGTGTTAAACACTGTGAGTTCAATGCACACATCCCAAAGCAGTTTCTGAGAATGATTCCGTCTATTTTTTCTACGAAGATATTTCCTTTTCTACCGTTGGCCTCAAAGCGCTTGAAATCTCCACTTGCAAATTCCACGAAAAGAGAGTTTCAAATCTGCTCTGTCTAAAGGAAGGTTCAACTCTGTGAGTTGAATACACACCACAAAAAGAAGTTACTGAGAATTCTTCTGTCTAGCATTATATGAAAATTCCCGTTTCCAACGAAGGCCACAAAGAGGTCCTAATATCCACTTGTAGATTCTGCAAAAAGAGTGTTTCCAAACTGCTCTATGAAAAGAAACGTTAAACTCTGTGAGTTGAACGCAAACATCACAAAGTAGTTTCTGAGAATGACTCCGTCTAGTTTTTATACGAAGATATTTCCTTTCCTACCATTCACTTCAAAGCGCTTGAAGTCTCCCCCTGAAAATTCCACAAAAAGTGTTTCCAATCTGCTCCGCCTAAAGGAAGCTTCAACTGCTGTGAGTTGAATACCCACAACCCAAAGAAGTTACTGAGAATTCTGCTGCCTACCATTATATGAAGAAATCCCGTTTCCAACGAAGGCCTCAAATACATCCAAATATCCAGTTGCTGACTTTACAAACTGAGTGTTTCCAAACTGCTCTATGAAAAGAAAGGTTAAACACTGTGAGTTGAACACACACGTACCAAAGTAGTTTCTGAGAATGATTCTGTCTAGTTTGCATACGAAGATATTTCCTTTTCTACCATTGGCCTCAAAGCTCTGAAATCTCCACTTGCAAATTCCACAAAAAGAGAGTTTCAAATCTGCTGTTTCTAAAGGAAAGTTCAACTCTGAGAGTTGAATACACACCAGAAAAAGCAGTTACTGAGAAGTCTTCTGTCTAGCATTATATGAAGAAATCCCATTTCCAACGAAGACTTCAAAGAGGTCCAAATATCCACTTGCAGATTCTGCAAAAAGAGTGTTTCGAAACAACTGTATGAAAAGAAAGGTTAAACACTGTGAGTTGAACGCACACATTGCAAAGCAGTTTCTGAGAATGATTCCGTCTAATTATTATACGAAGGTATTTCCTTTTCTATCATTGGCCTCAAAGCGCTTGATACCTCCACCTGAAAATTCCACAAAAAGAGTGTTTCCAATCTACTCTGTCTAAAGGAACGTTCAACTCTGTGAGTTGAATACACACACACAGAAAGAATTCACTGAGAATTCTTCTGTCTGGCATTACATGAAGAAATCCCGTTTCCAACGAAGGCCTCAAAGAGGTCCAAATATCCACTTGCAGATTCTGCAAAAAGAGTGTTTCAAAACCGCTCCATTAACAGGAATGTTGAACTCTGTGAGTTGAATGCAAACATCACAACTCAGTTGCTGAGAATGCTTCTGACTAGATTTTATGGTAAGATATTTCCTTTTCTACCGTAGGCTTCAATGCCCTCTAAATACACCCTTGCAAATTCTACAAAGAGAGTGTTTCATAACTGCTCTATAGGAAGAAAGGTTCAACTCTGTGAGTTGAATGCAGAGATCACAACGTGGTTTCTGCGAATGATTCTTTGTAGTTTTTACATGAAGATATTTCGTTGTCAACCGTAGGCTTCAAAGCACTCAAAGTATTCACTTGGAACTTTTACAAAAAGAGTGTTAGAAAACTGCTCTTTCCAAAGTAAGGTTCAACTCTGTGAGTTGAATGCACACATAACAATCAAGAAGTTTCTGAGAATTCTTCTGTCCTGGTTTATATGAAGAAATCCCGTTTCCAACGAAGGCCTCAAAGACGTTTAAATATCCACTTGCAGACTTCACAAACAGAGGGTTTCCAAACTGCTCTATGAAAAGAAAGGTTAAACTCTGTGAGTTAAACGCACACATCACAAAGTAGCTTCTGAGAATGATACTGTCTAGTTTTTATACGAAGATATTTCCTTTCTACCATTGGCGTCAAAGCGCTAGAATTCTCCACTTGCAAATTCCACAAAAAGAGTGTTTCCAATCTGCTCTGTCTAAAGGAAGGTTCAACTCTGTGAGTTGAATACACACACACAAAGAAGCTACTGAGAATTCTTTTGTCAAGAATTATAAGAAGAAATCCCGTTTCCAACGAAGGCCTCAAAGAGTTCCAAATATCCACTTGCACACTGCACAAACTAAGTCTTTCCAAACTGCTCTATGCAAAGAAATGTTCAACTCTGTGAGTTTAATACACACATCACAAAGCAGTTTCTGAGAATGATACTGTCTAGTTTTTATACGAAGATATTTCCTTTTGTACCATTGGCCTCATACTGCTAGAATTTTCCACTTGCAAATTCCACAAAAAGAGTGTTTCCAATCCGCTCTGTCTAAAGGAAGGTTCAACTCTCTGATTTGAATACATACATCCCAAAAGAAGTTACTGAGAATTCTTCTGTCTAGCATTATGTGAAGAAATCCCGTTTCCAACGAAAGCCTCAAAGAGGTCCAAATATCCAGTTGCAGAATTTACAAACTGACTGTTTCCAAACTCATCTATGAAAAGAAAGGTTAAACTCTGGGAGTTGAATGCACATATCACAAAGTAGTTCCTGAGAATGATTCTGTCTAGTTTTCATACGAAGATATTTCCTTTTCCACCAATGGCTTCAAAGTGCTTGAAATCTCCCCTTGCAAATTCCACAGACAAGTGTTTCAAATCTGCACTGTCTAAAGGAAGGTTCAACCCTGTGAGTTGAATACACACACACAGAAAAAAATTCACTGAGAATTCTATTGTCTATCATTACACGAAGAAATCCCGTTTACTACGAAGGCCTCAAAGAGGTCCAAATATCCAGCTGCAGACATTACAAACTGAGTGTTTCCAAAGTGCTCTATGAAAAGAAGTGTTAAACACTGTGAGTTCAATGCACACATCCCAAAGCAGTTTCTGAGAATGATTCCGTCTATTTTTTCTACGAAGATATTTCCTTTTCTGCCGTTGGCCTCAAAGCGCTTGAAATCTCCACTTGCAAATTCCACAAAAAGAGAGTTTCAAATCTGCTCTGTCTAAAGGAAGGTTCAACTCTGTGAGTTGAATACACACCACAAAAAGAAGTTACTGAGAATTCCTCTGTCTAGCATTATATGAAAAATCCCGTTTCCAACGAAGGCCACAAAGAGGTCCAAATATCCACTTGCAGATTCTGCAAAAAGAGTGTTTCCAAACTGCTCTATGAAAAGAAACGTTAAACTCTGTGAGTTGAACGCAAACATCACAAAGTAGTTTCTGAGAATGACTCCGTCTAGTTTTTATACGAAGATATTTCCTTTCCTACCATTCACTTCAAAGCGCTTGAAGTCTCCCCCTGAAAATTCCACAAAAAGTGTTTCCAATCTGCTCCGCCTAAAGGAAGCTTCAACTCTGTGACTTGAATACCCACAACCCAAAGAAGTTACTGAGAATTCTTCTGTCTAGCATTATATGAAGAAATCCCGTTTCCAACGAAGGCCTCAAATACATCCAAATATCCAGTTGCTGACTTTACAAACTGAGTGTTTCCAAACTGCTCTATGAAAAGAAAGGTTAAACACTGTGAGTTGAACACACACGTACCAAAGTAGTTTCTGAGAATGATTCTGTCTAGTTTGCATACGAAGATATTTCCTTTTCTACCATTGGCCTCAAAGCTCTGAAATCTCCACTTGCAAATTCCACAAAAAGAGAGTTTCAAATCTGCTGTTTCTAAAGGAAAGTTCAACTCTGAGAGTTGAATACACACCAGAAAAAGCAGTTACTGAGAAGTCTTCTGTCTAGCATTATATGAAGAAATCCCATTTCCAACGAAGACTTCAAAGAGGTCCAAATATCCACTTGCAGATTCTGCAAAAAGAGTGTTTCGAAACAACTGTATGAAAAGAAAGGTTAAACACTGTGAGTTGAACGCACACATTGCAAAGCAGTTTCTGAGAATGATTCCGTCTAATTATTATACGAAGGTATTTCCTTTTCTATCATTGGCCTCAAAGCGCTTGATACCTCCACCTGAAAATTCCACAAAAAGAGTGTTTCCAATCTACTCTGTCTAAAGGAACGTTCAACTCTGTGAGTTGAATACACACACACAGAAAGAATTCACTGAGAATTCTTCTGTCTGGCATTACATGAAGAAATCCCGTTTCCAACGAAGGCCTCAAAGAGGTCCAAATATCCACTTGCAGATTCTGCAAAAAGAGTGTTTCAAAACCGCTCCATTAAAAGGAATGTTGAACTCTGTGAGTTGAATGCAAACATCACAACTCAGTTTCTGAGAATGCTTCTGACTAGATTTTATGGTAAGATATTTCCTTTTCTACCGTAGGCTTCAATGCCCTCTAAATACACCCTTGCAAATTCTACAAAGAGACTGTTTCATAACTGCTCTATAGGAAGAAAGGTTGAACTCTGTGAGTTGACTGCAGAGATCACAACGTGGTTTCTGCGAATGATTCTTTGTAGTTTTTACATGAAGATATTTCGTTGTCAACCGTAGGCTTCAAAGCACTCAAAGTATTCACTTGGAACTTTTACAAAAAGAGTGTTAGAAAACTGCTCTTTCCAAAGTAAGGTTCAACTCTGTGAGTTGAATGCACACATAACAATCAAGAAGTTTCTGAGAATTCTTCTGTCCTGGTTTATATGAAAAAATCCCGTTTCCTACGAAGGCCTCAAAGACGTTTAAATATCCACTTGCAGACTTCACAAACAGAGTGTTTCCAAACTGCTCTATGAAAAGAAAGGTTAAACTCTGTGAGTTGAACGCACACATCACAAAGTAGTTTCTGAGAATGATACTGTCTAGTGTTTATACGAAGATATTTCCTTTCTACCATTGGCGTCAAAGCGCTAGAATTCTCCACTTGCAAATTCCACAAAAAGAGTGTTTCCAATCTGCTCTGTCTAAAGGAAGGTTCAACTCTGTGAGTTGAATACACACACACAAAGAAGCTACTGAGAATTCTTTTGTCAAGAATTATAAGAAGAAATCCCGTTTCCAACGAAGGCCTCAAAGAGTTCCAAATATCCACTTGCACACTGCACAAACTAAGTCTTTCCAAACTGCTCTATGCAAAGAAATGTTCAACTCTGTGAGTTTAATACACACATCACAAAGCAGTTTCTGAGAATGATACTGTCTAGTTTTTATACGAAGATATTTCCTTTTGTACCATTGGCCTCATACTGCTAGAATTTTCCACTTGCAAATTCCACAAAAAGAGTGTTTCCAATCCGCTCTGTCTAAAGGAAGGTTCAACTCTCTGATTTGAATACATACATCCCAAAAGAAGTTACTGAGAATTCTTCTGTCTAGCATTATGTGAAGAAATCCCGTTTCCAACGAAAGCCTCAAAGAGGCCCAAATATCCAGTTGCAGCATTTACAAACTGACTGTTTCCAAACTCATCTATGAAAAGAAAGGTTAAACTCTGTGAGTTGAATGCACATATCACAAAGTAGTTCCTGAGAATGATTCTGTCTAGTTTTTATACGAAGATATTTCCTTTTCCACCAATGGCCTCAAAGTGCTTGAAATCTCCCCTTGCAAATTCCACAGACAAGTGTCTCAAATCTGCACTGTCTAAAGGAAGGTTCAACCCTGTGAGTTGAATACACACACACAGAAAAAAATTCACTGAGAATTCTATTGTCTATCATTACACGAAGAAATCCCGTTTACTACGAAGGCCTCAAAGAGGTCCAAATAACCAGATGCAGACATTACAAACTGAGTGTTTCCAAAGTGCTCTATGAAAAGAAGTGTTAAACACTGTGAGTTCAATGCACACATCCCAAAGCAGTTTCTGAGAATGATTCCGTCTATTTTTTCTACGAAGATATTTCCTTTTCTACCGTTGGCCTCAAAGCGCTTGAAATCTCCACTTGCAAATTCCACAAAAAGAGAGTTTCAAATCTGCTCTGTCTAAAGGAAGGTTCAACTCTGTGAGTTGAATACACACCACAAAAAGAAGTTACTGAGAATTCTTCTGTCTAGCATTATATGAAAAATCCCGTTTCCAACGAAGGCCACAAAGAGGTCTAAATATCCACTTGCAGATTCTGCAAAAAGAGTGTTTCCAAACTGCTCTATGAAAAGAAACGTTAAACTCTGTGAGTTTAACGCAAACATCACAAAGTAGTTTCTGAGAATGACTCCGTCTAGTTTTTATACGAAGATATTTCCTTTTCTACCATTCACTTCAAAGCGCTTGAAGTCTCCCCCTGAAAATTCCACAAAAAGTGTTTCCAATCTGCTCCGCCTAAAGGAAGCTTCAACTCTGTGAGTTGAATACCCACAACCCAAAGAAGTTACTGAGAATTCTTCTGTCTAGCACTATATGAAGAAATCCCGTTTCCAACGAAGGCCTCAAATACATCCAAATATCCAGTTGCTGACTTTACAAACTGAGTGTTTCCAAACTGCTCTATGAAAAGAAAGGTTAAACACTGTGAGTTGAACACACACGTACCAAAGTAGTTTCTGAGAATGATTCTGTCTAGTTTGCATACGAAGATATTTCCTTTTCTACCATTGGCCTCAAAGCTCTGAAATCTCCACTTGCAAATTCCACAAAAAGAGAGTTTCAAATCTGCTGTTTCTAAAGGAAAGTTCAACTCTGAGAGTTGAATACACACCAGAAAAAGCAGTTACTGAGAAGTCTTCTGTCTAGCATTATATGAAGAAATCCCATTTCCAACGAAGACTTCAAAGAGGTCCAAATATCCACTTGCAGATTCTGCAAAAAGAGTGTTTCGAAACAACTGTATGAAAAGAAAGGTTAAACACTGTGAGTTGAACGCACACATTGCAAAGCGGTTTCTGAGAATGATTCCGTCTAATTATTATACGAAGGTATTTCCTTTTCTATCATTGGCCTCAAAGCGCTTGATACCTCCACCTGAAAATTCCACAAAAAGAGTGTTTCCAATCTACTCTGTCTAAAGGAACGTTCAACTCTGTGAGTTGAATACACACACACAGAAAGAATTCACTGAGAATTCTTCTGTCTGGCATTACATGAAGAAATCCCGTTTCCAACGAAGGCCTCAAAGAGGTCCAAATATCCACTTGCAGATTCTGCAAAAAGAGTGTTTCAAAACCGCTCCATTAAAAGGAATGTTGAACTTCTGTGAGTTGAATGCAAACATCACAACTCAGTTTCTGAGAATGCTTCTGACTAGATTTTATGGTAAGATATTTCCTTTTCTACCGTAGGCTTCAATGCCCTCTAAATACACCCTTGCAAATTCTACAAAGAGACTGTTTCATAACTGCTCTATAGGAAGAAAGGTTGAACTCTGTGAGTTGAATGCAGAGATCACAACGTGGTTTCTGCGAATGATTCTTTGTAGTTTTTACATGAAGATATTTCGTTGTCAACCGTAGGCTTCAAAGCACTCAAAGTATTCACTTGGAACTTTTACAAAAAGAGTGTTAGAAAACTGCTCTTTCCAAAGTAAGGTTCAACTCTGTGAGTTGAATGCACACATAACAATCAAGAAGTTTCTGAGAATTCTTCTGTCCTGGTTTATATGAAAAAATCCCGTTTCCAACGAAGGCCTCAAAGACGTTTAAATATCCACTTGCAGACTTCACAAACAGAGGGTTTCCAAACCGCTCTATGAAAAGAAAGGTTAAACTCTGTGAGTTGAACGCACACATCACAAAGTAGCTTCTGAGAATGATACTGTCCAGTTTTTATATGGAGATATTTCCTTTCCTACCATTGGCGTCAAAGCGCTAGAATTCTCCACTTGCAAATTCCACAAAAAGTGGGTTTCCAATCTGCTCTGCCTAAAGGAAGGTTCAACTCTGTGAGTTGAATACACACACACAAAGAAGCTACTGAGAATTCTTTTGTCAAGAATTATAAGAAGAAATCCCGTTTCCAACGAAGGGCCTCAAAGAGTTCCAAATATCCACTTGCACACTGCACAAACTAAGTCTTTCCAAACTGCTCTATGCAAAGAAATGTTCAACTCTGTGAGTTTAATACACACATCACAAAGCAGTTTCTGAGAATGATACTGTCTAGTTTTTATACGAAGATATTTCCTTTTGTACCATTGGCCTCATACTGCTAGAATTTTCCACTTGCAAATTCCACAAAGAGAGTGTTTCCAATCCGCTCTGTCTAAAGGAAGGTTCAACTCTCTGATTTGAATACATACATCCCAAAAGAAGTTACTGAGAATTCTTCTGTCTAGCATTATGTGAAGAAATCCCGTTTCCAACGAAAGCCTCAAAGAGGTCCAAATATCCAGTTGCAGAATTTACAAACTGACTGTTTCCAAACTCATCTATGAAAAGAAAGGTTAAACTCTGGGAGTTGAATGCACATATCACAAAGTAGTTCCTGAGAATGATTCTGTCTAGTTTTTATACGAAGATATTTCCTTTTCCACCAATGGCCTCAAAGTGCTTCAAATCTCCCCTTGCAAATTCCACAGACAAGTGTTTCAAATCTACACTGTCTAAAGGAAGGTTCAACCCTGTGAGTTGAATACACACACACAGAAAAAAATTCACTGAGAATTCTATTGTCTATCATTACACGAAGAAATCCCGTTTACTACGAAGGCCTCAAAGAGGTCCAAATATCCAGCTGCAGACATTACAACCTGAGTGTTTCCAAAGTGCTCTATGAAAAGAAGTGTTAAACACTGTGAGTTCAATGCACACATCCCAAAGCAGTTTCTGAGAATGATTCCGTCTATTTTTTCTACGAAGATATTTCCTTTTCTACCGTTGGCCTCAAAGCGCCTGAAATCTCCACTTGCAAATTCCACAAAAAGAGAGTATCAAATCTGCTCTGTCTAAAGGAAGGTTCAACTCTGTGAGTTGAATACACACCACAAAAAGAAGTTACTGAGAATTCTTCTGTCTAGCATTATATGAAAAATCCCGTTTCCAACGAAGGCCACAAAGAGGTCCAAATATCCACTTGCAGATTCTGCAAAAAGAGTGTCTCCAAACTGCTCTATGAAAAGAAACGTTAAACTCTGTGAGTTGAACGCAAACATCACAAAGTAGTTTCTGAGAATGACTCCGTCTAGTTTTTATACGAAGATATTTCCTTTTCTACCATTCACTTCAAAGCGCTTGAAGTCTCCCCCTGAAAATTCCACAAAAAGTGTTTCCAATCTGCTCCGCCTAAAGGAAGCTTCAACTCTGTGAGTTGAATACCCACAACCCAAAGAAGTTACTGAGAATTCTTCTGTCTAGCATTATATGAAGAAATCCCGTTTCCAACGAAGGCCTCAAATACATCCAAATATCCAGTTGCTGACTTTACAAACTGAGTGTGTCCAAACTGCTCTATAAAAAGAAAGGTTAAACACTGTGAGTTGAACACACACGTACCAAAGTAGTTTCTGAGAATGATTCTGTCTAGTTTGCATACGAAGATATTTCCTTTTCTACCATTGGCCTCAAAGCTCTGAAATCTCCACTTGCAAATTCCACAAAAAGAGAGTTTCAAATCTGCTGTTTCTAAAGGAAAGTTCAACTCTGAGAGTTGAATACACACCAGAAAAAGCAGTTACTGAGAAGTCTTCTGTCTAGCATTATATGAAGAAATCCCATTTCCAACGAAGACTTCAAAGAGGTCCAAATATCCACTTGCAGATTCTGCAAAAAGAGTGTTTCGAAACAACTGTATGAAAAGAAAGGTTAAACACTGTGAGTTGAACGCACACATTGCAAAGCAGTTTCTGAGAATGATTCCGTCTAATTATTATACGAAGGTATTTCCTTTTCTATCATTGGCCTCAAAGCGCTTGATACCTCCACCTGAAAATTCCACAAAAAGAGTGTTTCCAATCTACTCTGTCTAAAGGAACGTTCAACTCTGTGAGTTGAATACACACACACAGAAAGAATTCACTGAGAATTCTTCTGTCTGGCATTACATGAAGAAATCCCGTTTCCAACGAAGGCCTCAAAGAGGTCCAAATATCCACTTGCAGATTCTGCAAAAAGAGTGTTTCAAAACCGCTCCATTAAAAGGAATGTTGAACTCTGTGAGTTGAATGCAAACATCACAACTCAGTTTCTGAGAATGCTTCTGACTAGATTTTATGGTAAGATATTTCCTTTTCTACCGTAGGCTTCAATGCCCTGTAAATACTCCCTTGCAAATTCTACAAAGAGACTGTTTCATAACTGCTCTACAGGAGGAAAGGTTCAACTCTGTGAGTTGAATGCAGAGATCACAACGTGGTTTCTGCGAATGATTCTTTGTAGTTTTTACATGAAGATATTTCGTTGTCTACCGTAGGCTTCAAAGCACTCAAAGTATTCACTTGGAACTTTTACAAAAAGAGTGTTAGAAAACTGCTCTTTCCAAAGTAAGGTTCAACTCTGTGAGTTGAATGCACACATAACAAACAAGAAGTTTCTGAGAATTCTTCTGTCCTGGTTTATATGAAGAAATCCCGTTTCCAACGAAGGCCTCAAAGACGTTTAAATATCCACTTGCAGACTTCACAAACAGAGTGTTTCCAAACTGCTCTATGAAAAGAAAGGGTAAACACTGTGAGTTGAACGCACACATCACAAAGTAGTTTCTGAGAATGATAACTGTCTAGTTTTTATACGAAGATATTTCCTTTTGTACCATTGGACTCATACTGCTAGAATTTTCCACTTGCAAATTCCACAAAAAGAGTGTTTCCAATCTGCTCTGTCTAAAGGAAGGTTCAACTCTGTGAGTTGAGTACACACACACAAAGAAGCTACTGAGAATTCTTTTGTCAAGAATTATAAGAAGAAATCCCGTTTCCAACCAAGGCCTCAAAGAGTTCCAAATATCCACTTGCACACTGCACAAACTAAGTCTTTCCATACTGCTCTATGCAAAGAAATGTTCAAGTCTGTGAGTTTAATACACACATCACAAAGCAGTTTCTGAGAATGATACTGTCTAGTTTTTATACGAAGATATTTCCTTTTGTACCATTGGCCTCATACTGCTAGAATTTTCCACTTGCAAATTCCACAAAAAGAGTGTTTCCAATCCGCTCTGTCTAAAGGAAGGTTCAACTCTCTGATTTGAATACATACATCCCAAAAGAAGTTACTGAGAATTCTTCTGTCTAGCATTATGTGAAGAAATCCCGTTTCCAACGAAAGCCTCAAAGAGGTCCAAATATCCAGTTGCAGAATTTACAAACTGACTGTTTCCAAACTCATCTATGAAAAGAAAGGTTAAACTCTGTGAGTTGAATGCACATATCACAAACTAGTTCCTGAGAATGATTCTGTCTAGTTTTCATACGAAGATATTTCCTTTTCCACCAATGGCCTCAAAGTGCTTGAAATCTCCCCTTGCAAATTCCACAGACAAGTGTTTCAAATCTGCACTGTCTAAAGGAAGGTTCAACCCTGTGAGTTGAATACACACACACAGAAAAAAATTCACTGAGAATTCTATTGTCTATCATTACACGAAGAAATCCCGTTTACTACGAAGGCCTCAAAGAGGTCCAAATATCCAGCTGCAGACATTACAAACTGAGTGTTTCCAAATTGCTCTATGAAAAGAAGTGTTAAACACTGTGAGTTCAATGCACACATCCCAAAGCAGTTTCTGAGAATGATTCCGTCTATTTTTTCTACGAAGATATTTCCTTTTCTGCCGTTGGCCTCAAAGCGCTTGAAATCTCCACTTGCAAATTCCACAAAAAGAGAGTTTCAAATCTGCTCTGTCTAAAGGAAGGTTCAACTCTGTGAGTTGAATACACACCACAAAAAGAAGTTACTGAGAATTCTTCTGTCTAGCATTATATGAAAAATCCCATTTCCAACGAAGGCCACAAAGAGGTCCAAATATCCACTTGCAGATTCTGCAAAAAGAGTGTTTCCAAACTGCTCTATGAAAAGAAACGTTAAACTCTGTGAGTTGAACGCAAACATCACAAAGTAGTTTCTGAGAATGACTCCGTCTAGTTTTTATACGAAGATATTTCCTTTCCTACCATTCACTTCAAAGCGCTTGAAGTCTCCCCCTGAAAATTCCACAAAAAGTGTTTCCAATCTGCTCCGCCTAAAGGAAGCTTCAACTCTGTGACTTGAATACCCACAACCCAAAGAAGTTACTGAGAATTCTTCTGTCTAGCATTATATGAAGAAATCCCGTTTCCAACGAAGGCCTCAAATACATCCAAATATCCAGTTGCTGACTTTACAAACTGAGTGTTTCCAAACTGCTCTATGAAAAGAAAGGTTAAACACTGTGAGTTGAACACACACGTACCAAAGTAGTTTCTGAGAATGATTCTGTCTAGTTTGCATACGAAGATATTTCCTTTTCTACCATTGGCCTCAAAGCTCCGAAATCTCCACTTGCAAATTCCACAAAAAGAGAGTTTCAAATCTGCTGTTTCTAAAGGAAAGTTCAACTCTGAGAGTTCAATACACACCAGAAAAAGCAGTTACTGAGAAGTCTTCTGTCTAGCATTATATGAAGAAATCCCATTTCCAACGAAGACTTCAAAGAGGTCCAAATATCCACTTGCAGATTCTGCAAAAAGAGTGTTTCGAAACAACTGTATGAAAAGAAAGGTTAAACACTGTGAGTTGAACGCACACATTGCAAAGCGGTTTCTGAGAATGATTCCGTCTAATTATTATACCGAAGGTATTTCCTTTTCTATCATTGGCCTCAAAGCGCTTGATACCTCCACCTGAAAATTCCACAAAAAGAGTGTTTCCAATCTACTCTGTCTAAAGGAACGTTCAACTCTGTGAGTTGAATACACACACACAGAAAGAATTCACTGAGAATTCTTCTGTCTGGCATTACATGAAGAAATCCCGTTTCCAACGAAGGCCTCAAAGAGGTCCAAATATCCACTTGCAGATTCTGCAAAAAGAGTGTTTCAAAACCGCTCCATTAAAAGGAATGTTGAACTCTGTGAGTTGAATGCAAACATCACAACTCAGTTGCTGAGAATGCTTCTGACTAGATTTTATGGTAAGATATTTCCTTTTCTACCGTAGGCTTCAATGCCCTGTAAATACTCCCTTGCAAATTCTACAAAGAGACTGTTTCATAACTGCTCTACAGGAGGAAAGGTTCAACTCTGTGAGTTGAATGCAGAGATCACAACGTGGTTTCTGCGAATGATTCTTTGTAGTTTTTACATGAAGATATTTCGTTGTCTACCGTAGGCTTCAAAGCACTCAAAGTATTCACTTGGAACTTTTACAAAAAGAGTGTTAGAAAACTGCTCTTTCCAAAGTAAGGTTCAACTCTGTGTGTTGAATGCACACATAACAAACAAGAAGTTTCTGAGAATTCTTCTGTCCTGGTTTATATGAAGAAATCCCGTTTCCAACGAAGGCCTCAAAGACGTTTAAATATCCACTTGCAGACTTCACAAACAGAGTGTTTCCAAACTGCTCTATGAAAAGAAAGGGTAAACACTGTGAGTTGAACGCACACCTCACAAAGTAGTTTCTGAGAATGATACTGTCTAGTTTTTATACGAAGATATTTCCTTTTGTACCATTGGCCTCATACTGCTAGAATTTTCCACTTGCAAATTCCACAAAAAGAGTGTTTCCAATCTGCTCTGTCTAAAGGAAGGTTCAACTCTGTGAGTTGAGTACACACACACAAAGAAGCTACTGAGAATTGTTTTGTCAAGAATTATAAGAAGAAATCCCGTTTCCAACCAAGGCCTCAAAGAGTTCCAAATATCCACTTGCACACTGCACAAACTAAGTCTTTCCATACTGCTCTATGCAAAGAAATGTTCAACTCTGTGAGTTTAATACACACATCACAAAGCAGTTTCTGAGAATGATACTGTCTAGTTTTTATACGAAGAATATTTCCTTTTGTACCATTGGCCTCATACTGCTAGAATTTTCCACTTGCAAATTCCACAAAAAGAGTGTTTCCAATCCGCTCTGTCTAAAGGAAGGTTCAACTCTCTGATTTGAATACATACATCCCAAAAGAAGTTACTGAGAATTCTTCTGTCTAGCATTATGTGAAGAAATCCCGTTTCCAACGAAAGCCTCAAAGAGGTCCAAATATCCAGTTGCAGAATTTACAAACTGACTGTTTCCAAACTCATCTATGAAAAGAAAGGTTAAACTCTGTGAGTTGAATGCACATATCACAAAGTAGTTCCTGAGAATGATTCTGTCTAGTTTTTATACGAAGATATTTCCTTTTCCACCAATGGCCTCAAAATGCTTGAAATCTCCCCTTGCAAATTCCACAGAAAAGTGTTTCAAATCTGCACTGTCTGAAGGAAGGTTCAACCCTGTGAGTTGAATACACACACACAGAAAGAAATTCACTGAGAATTCTATTGTCTATCATTACATGAAGAAATCCCGTTTACTACGAAGGCCTCAAAGAGGTCCAAATATCCAGCTGCAGACATTACAAACTGAGTGTTTCCAAAGTGCTCTATGAAAAGAAGTGTTAAACACTGTGAGTTCAATGCACACATCCCAAAGCAGTTTCTGAGAATGATTCCGTCTATTTTTTCTACGAAGATATTTCCTTTTCTACCATTGGCCTCAAAGCGCTTGAAATCTCCACTTGCAAATTCCACGAAAAGAGAGTTTCAAATCTGCTCTGTCTAAAGGAAGGTTCAAATCTGTGAGTTGAATACACACCACAAAAAGAAGTTACTGAGAATTCTTCTGTCTAGCATTATATGAAAAATCCCGTTTCCAACGAAGGCCACAAAGAGGTCCAAATATCCACTTGCAGATTCTGCAAAAAGAGTGTTTCCAAACTGCTCTATGAAAAGAAACGTTAAACTCTGTGAGTTGAACGCAAACATCACAAAGTAGTTTCTGAGAATGACTCCGTCTAGTTTTTATACGAAGATATTTCCTTTCCTACCATTCACTTCAAAGCGCTTGAAGTCTCCCCCTGAAAATTCCACAAAAAGTGTTTCCAATCTGCTCCGCCTAAAGGAAGCTTCAACTCTGTGACTTGAATACCCACAACCCAAAGAAGTTACTGAGAATTCTGCTGCCTACCATTATATGAAGAAATCCCGTTTCCAACGAAGGCCTCAAATACATCCAAATATCCAGTTGCTGACTTTACAAACTGAGTGTTTCCAAACTGCTCTATGAAAAGAAAGGTTAAACACTGTGAGTTGAACACACACGTACCAAAGTAGTTTCTGAGAATGATTCTGTCTAGTTTGCATACGAAGATATTTCCTTTTCTACCATTGGCCTCAAAGCTCTGAAATCTCCACTTGCAAATTCCACAAAAAGAGAGTTTCAAATCTGCTGTTTCTAAAGGAAAGTTCAACTCTGAGAGTTGAATACACACCAGAAAAAGCAGTTACTGAGAAGTCTTCTGTCTAGCATTGTATGAAGAAATCCCATTTCCAACGAAGACTTCAAAGAGGTCCAAATATCCACTTGCAGATTCTGCAAAAAGAGTGTTTCGAAACAACTGTATGAAAAGAAAGGTTAAACACTGTGAGTTGAACGCACACATTGCAAAGCAGTTTCTGAGAATGATTCCGTCTAATTATTATACGAAGGTATTTCCTTTTCTATCATTGGTCTCAAAGCGCTTGATACCTCCACCTGAAAATTCCACAAAAAGAGTGTTTCCAATCTACTCTGTCTAAAGGAACGTTCAACTCTGTGAGTTGAATACACACACACAGAAAGAATTCACTGAGAATTCTTCTGTCTGGCATTACATGAAGAAATCCCGTTTCCAACGAAGGCCTCAAAGAGGTCCAAATATCCACTTGCAGATTCTGCAAAAAGAGTGTTTCAAAACCGCTCCATTAAAAGGAATGTTGAACTCTGTGAGTTGAATGCAAACATCACAACTCAGTTTCTGAGAATGCTTCTGACTAGATTTTATGGTAAGATATTTCCTTTTCTACCGTAGGCTTCAATGCCCTCTAAATACACCCTTGCAAATTCTACAAAGAGTCTGTTTCATAACTGCTCTATAGGAAGAAAGGTTCAACTCTGTGAGTTGAATACAGAGATCACAACGTGGTTTCTGCGAATGATTCTTTGTAGTTTTTACATGAAGATATTTCGTTGTCAACCGTAGGCTTCAAAGCACTCAAAGTATTCACTTGGAACTTTTACAAAAAGAGTGTTAGAAAACTGCTCTTTCCAAAGTAAGGTTCAACTCTGTGAGTTGAATGCACACATAACAATCAAGAAGTTTCTGAGAATTCTTCTGTCCTGGTTTATATGAAGAAATCCCGTTTCCAACGAAGGCCTCAAAGACGTTTAAATATCCACTTGCAGACTTCACAAACAGAGGGTTTCCAAACTGCTCTATGAAAAAAAAGGTTAAACTCTGTCAGTTGAACGCACACATCACAAAGTAGCTTCTGAGAATGATACTGTCTAGTTTTTATACGAAGATATTTCCTTTCTACCATTGGCGTCAAAGCGCTAGAATTCTCCACTTGCAAATTCCACAAAAAGAGTGTTTCCAATCTGCTCTGTCTAAAGGAAGGTTCAACTCTGTGAGTTGAATACACACACACAAAGAAGCTACTGAGAATTCTTTTGTCAAGAATTATAAGAAGAAATCCCGTTTCCAACGAAGGCCTCAAAGAGTTCCAAATATCCACTTGCACACTGCACAAACTAAGTCTTTCCAAACTGCTCTATGCAAAGAAATGTTCAACTCTGTGAGTTTAATACACACATCACAAAGCACTTTCTGAGAATGATACTGTCTAGTTTTTATACGAAGATATTTCCTTTTGTACCATTGGCCTCATACTGCTAGAATTTTCCACTTGCAAATTCCACAAAAAGAGTGTTTCCAATCCGCTCTGTCTAAAGGAAGGTTCAACTCTCTGATTTGAATACATACATCCCAAAAGAAGTTACTGAGAATTCTTCTGTCTAGCATTATGTGAAGAAATCCCGTTTCCAACGAAAGCCTCAAAGAGGTCCAAATATCCAGTTGCAGAATTTACAAACTGACTGTTTCCAAACTCATCTATGAAAAGAAAGGTTAAACTCTGTGAGTTGAATGCACATATCACAAAGTAGTTCCTGAGAATGATTCTGTCTAGTTTTTATACGAAGATATTTCCTTTTCCACCAATGGCCTCAAAGTGCTTGAAATCTCCCCTTGCAAATTCCACAGACAAGTGTTTCAAATCTGCACTGTCTAAAGGAAGGTTCAACCCTGTGAGTTGAATACACACACACAGAAAAAAATTCACTGAGAATTCTATTGTCTATCATGACACGAAGAAATCCCGTTTACTACGAAGGCCTCAAAGAGGTCCAAATATCCAGCTGCAGACATTACAAACTGAGTGTTTCCAAAGTGCTCTATGAAAAGAAGTGTTAAACACTGTGAGTTCAATGCACACATCCCAAAGCAGTTTCTGAGAATGATTCCGTCTATTTTTTCTACGAAGATATTTCCTTTTCTACCGTTGGCCTCAAAGCGCTTGAAATCTCCACTTGCAAATTCCACAAAAAGAGAGTTTCAAATCTGCTCTGTCTAAAGGAAGGTTCAACTCTGTGAGTTGAATACACACCACAAAAAGAAGTTACTGAGAATTCTTCTGTCTAGCATTATATGAAAAATCCCGTTTCCAACGAAGGCCCCAAAGAGGTCCAAATATCCACTTGCAGATTCTGCAAAAAGAGTGTTTCCAAACTGCTCTATGAAAAGAAACGTTAAACTCTGTGAGTTGAACGCAAACATCACAAAGTAGTTTCTGAGAATGACTCCGTCTAGTTTTTATACGAAGATATTTCCTTTTCTACCGTTGGCCTCAAAGCGCTTGAAGTCTCCCCCTGAAAATTCCACAAAAAGTGTTTCCAATCTGCTCCGCCTAAAGGAAGCTTCAACTCTGTGAGTTGAATACCCACAACACAAAGAAGTTACTGAGAATTCTTCTGTCTCGCATTATAGGAAGAAATCCCGTTTCCAACGAAGGCCTCAAATACATCCACATATCCAGTTGCTGACTTTACAAACTGAGTGTTTCCAAACTGCTCTATGAAAAGAAAGGTTAAACACTGTGAGTTGAACACACACGTACCAAAGTAGTTTCTGAGAATGATTCTGTCTAGTTTGCATACAAAGATATTTCCTTTTCTACCACTGGCCTCAAAGCTTTGAAATCTCCACTTGCAAATTCCACAAAAAGAGAGTTTCAAATCTGCTGTTCCTAAAGGAAAGTTCAACTCTGAGAGTTGAATACACACCAGAAAAAGCAGTTACTGAGAAGTCTTCTGTCTAGCATTATATGAAGAAATCCCATTTCCAAAGAAGACTTCAAACAGGTCCAAATATCCACTTGCAGATTCTGCAAAAAGAGTGTTTCGAAACAACTGTATGAAAAGAAAGGTTAAACACTGTGAGTTGAACGCACCCATTGCAAAGCATTTTCTGACAATGATTCCGTCTAATTATTATACGAAGGTATTTCCTTTTCTATCATTGGCCTCAAAGCACTTGATACCTCCACCTGAAAATTCCACAAAAAGAGTGTTTCCAATCTACTCTGTCTAAAGGAACGTTCAACTCTGTGAGTTGAATACACACACACAGAAAGAATTCACTGAGAGTTCTTCTGTCTGGCATTACATGAAGAAATCCCGTTTCCAACGAAGGCCTCAAAGAGGTCCAAATATCCACTTGCAGATTCTGCAAAAAGAGTGTTTCAAAACCGCTCTATTAAAAGGAATGTTGAACTCTGTGAGTTGAATGCAAACATCACAACTCAGTTTCTGAGAATGCTTCTGACTAGATTTTATGGTCAGATATTTCCTTTTCTACCGTAGGCCTCAATGCCCTCTAAATACACCCTTGCAAATTCTACAAAGAGACTGTTTAATAATTGCTCTATAGGAAGAAAGGTTGAACTCTGTGAGTTGAATGCAGAGATCACAAAGTGGTTTCTGCGAATGATTCTTTGTAGTTTTTACATGAAGATATTTCGTTGTCTACCGTAGGCTTCAAAGCACTCAAAGTATTCACTTGGAACTTTTACAAAAAGAGTGTTAGAAAACTGCTCTTTCCAAAGTAAGGTTCAACTCTGTGAGTTGAATGCACACATAACAAACAAGAAGTTTCTGAGAATCCTTCTGTCCTGGTTTATATGAAAAAATCCCGTTTCCAACGAAGGCCTCAAAGACGTTTAAATATCCACTTGCAGACTTCACAAACAGAGTGTTTCCAAACTGCTCTATGAAAAGAAAGGTTAAACTCTGTGAGTTGAACGCACACATCACAAAGTAGCTTCTGAGAATGATACTGTCTAGTTTTTATACGAAGATATTTCCTTTCCACCATTGGCGTCAAAGCGCTAGAATTCTCCACTTGCAAATTCCACAAAAAGAGTGTTTCCAATCTGCTCTGTCTAAAGGAAGGTTCAACTCTGTGAGTTGAATACACACACACAAAGAAGCTACTGAGAATTCTTTTGTCAAGAATTATAAGAAGAAATCCCGTTTCCAACGAAGGCCTCAAAGAGTTCCAAATATCCACTTGCACACTGCACAAACTAAGTCTTTCCAAACTGCTCTATGCAAAGAAATGTTCAACTCTGTGAGTTTAATACACACATCACAAAGCAGTTTCTGAGAATGATACTGTCTAGTTTTTATACGAAGATATTTCCTTTTGTACCATTGGCCTCATACTGCTAGAATATTCCACTTGCAAATTCCACAAAAAGAGTGTTTCCAATCCGCTCTGTCTAAAGGAAGGTTCAACTCTCTGATTTGAATACACACATCCCAAAAGAAGTTACTGAGAATTCTTCTGTCTAGCATTATGTGAAGAAATCCCGTTTCCAATGAAAGCCTCAAAGAGGTCCAAATATCCAGTTGCAGAATTTACAAACTGACTGTTTCCAAACTCATCTATGAAAAGAAAGGTTGAACTCTGGGAGTTGAATGCACATATCACAAAGTAGTTCCTGAGAATGATTCTGTCTAGTTTTCATACGAAGATATTTCCTTTTCCACCAATGGCCTCAAAGTGCTTGAAATCTCCCCTTGCAAATTCCACAGACAAGTGTTTCAAATCTGCACTGTCTAAAGGAAGGTTCAACCCTGTGAGTTGAATACACACACACAGAAAAAAATTCACTGAGAATTCTATTGTCTATCATTACACGAAGAAATCCCGTTTACCACGAAGGCCTCAAAGAGGTCCAAATATCCAGCTGCAGACATTACAAACTGAGTGTTTCCAAAGTGCTCTATGAAAAGAAGTGTTAAACACTGTGAGTTCAATGCACACATCCCAAAGCAGTTTCTGAGAATGATGCCGTCTATTTTTTCTACGAAGATATTTCCTTTTCTGCCGTTGGCCTCAAAGCGCTTGAAATCTCCACTTGCAAATTCCACAAAAAGAGAGTTTCAAATCTGCTCTGTCTAAAGGAAGGTTCAACTCTGTGAGTTGAATACACACCACAAAAAGAAGTTACTGAGAATTCTTCTGTCTAGCATTATATGAAAAATCCCGTTTCCAACGAAGGCCACAAAGAGGTCCAAATATCCACTTGCAGATTCTGCAAAAAGAGTGTTTCCAAACTGCTCTATGAAAAGAAACGTTAAACTCTGTGAGTTGAACGCAAACATCACAAAGTAGTTTCTGAGAATGACTCCGTCTAGTTTTTATACGAAGATATTTCCTTTCCTACCATTCACTTCAAAGCGCTTGAAGTCTCCCCCTGAAAATTTCACAAAAAGTGTTTCCAATCTGCTCCGCCTAAAGGAAGCTTCAACTCTGTGAGTTGAATACCCACAACCCAAAGAAGTTACTGAGAATTCTTCTGTCTAGCATTATATGAAGAAATCCCGTTTCCAACGAAGGCCTCAAATACATCCAAATATCCAGTTGCTGACTTTACAAACTGAGTGTTTCCAAACTGCTCTATGAAAAGAAAGGTTAAACACTGTGAGTTGAACACACACGTACCAAAGTAGTTTCTGAGAATGATTCTGTCTAGTTTGCATACGAAGCATATTTCCTTTTCTACCATTGGCCTCAAAGCTCTGAAATCTCCACTTGCAAATTCCACAAAAAGAGAGTTTCAAATCTGCTGTTTCTAAAGGAAAGTTCAACTCTGAGAGTTGAATACACACCAGAAAAAGCAGTTACTGAGAAGTCTTCTGTCTAGCATTATATGAAGAAATCCCATTTCCAACGAAGACTTCAAAGAGGTCCAAATATCCACTTGCAGATTCTGCAAAAAGAGTGTTTCGAAACAACTGTATGAAAAGAAAGGTTAAACACTGTGAGTTGAACGCACACATTGCAAAGCAGTTTCTGAGAATGATTCCGTCTAATTATTATACGAAGGTATTTCCTTTTCTATCATTGGCCTCAAAGCGCTTGATACCTCCACCTGAAAATTCCACAGAAAGAGTGTTTCCAATCTACTCTGTCTAAAGGAACGTTCAACTCCGTGAGTTGAATACACACACACAGAAAGAATTCACTGAGAATTCTTCTGTCTGGCATTACATGAAGAAATCCCGTTTCCAACGAAGGCCTCAAAGAGGTCCAAATATCCACTTGCAGATTCTGCAAAAAGAGTGTTTCAAAACCGCTCCATTAAAAGGAATGTTGAACTCTGTGAGTTGAATGCAAACATCACAACTCAGTTTCTGAGAATGCTTCTGACTAGATTTTATGGTAAGATATTTCCTTTTCTACCGTAGGCTTCAATGCCCTCTAAATACACCCTTGCAAATTCTACAAAGAGACTGTTTCATAACTGCTCTATAGGAAGAAAGGTTGAACTCTGTGAGTTGAATGCAGAGATCACAACGTGGTTTCTGCGAATGATTCTTTGTAGTTTTTACATGAAGATATTTCGTTGTCAACCGTAGGCTTCAAAGCACTCAAAGTATTCACTTGGAACTTTTACAAAAAGAGTGTTAGAAAACTGCTCTTTCCAAAGTAAGGTTCAACTCTGTGAGTTGAATGCACACATAACAATCAAGAAGTTTCTGAGAATTCTTCTGTCCTGGTTTATATGAAAAAATCCCGTTTCCAACGAAGGCCTCAAAGACGTTTAAATATCCACTTGCAGACTTCACAAACAGAGGGTTTCCAAACTGCTCTATGAAAAGAAAGGTTAAACTCTGTGAGTTGAACGCACACATCACAAAGTAGCTTCTGAGAATGATACCGTCTAGTTTTTATACGAAGATATTTCCTTTCTACCATTGGCGTCAAAGCGCTAGAATTCTCCACTTGCAAATTCCACAAAAAGAGTGTTTCCAATCTGCTCTGTCTAAAGGAAGGTTCAACTCTGTGAGTTGAATACACACACACAAAGAAGCTACTGAGAATTCTTTTGTCAAGAATTATAAGAAGAAATCCCGTTTCCAATGAAGGCCTCAAAGAGTTCCAAATATCCACTTACAGACTGTACAAACTAAGTCTTTCCAAACTGCTGTAGGCAAAGAAATGTTCAACTCTGTGAGTTTAATGCACACATCACAAAGCAGTTTCTGAGAATGATTACTGTCTAGTTTTTATACGAAGAATATTTCCTTTTGTACCATTGGCCTCATACTGCTAGAATTTTCCACTTGCAAATTCCACAAAAAGAGTGTTTCCAATCCGCTCTGTCTAAAGGAAGGTTCAACTCTCTGATTTGAATACATACATCCCAAAAGAAGTTACTGAGAATTCTTCTGTCTAGCATTATGTGAAGAAATCCCGTTTCCAACGAAAGCCTCAAAGAGGTCCAAATATCCAGTTGCAGAATTTACAAACTGACTGTTTCCAAACTCATCTATGAAAAGAAAGGTTAAACTCTGGGAGTTGAATGCCCATATCACAAAGTAGTTCCTGAGAATGATTCTGTATAGTTTTCATACGAAGATATTTCCTTTTCCACCAATGGCCTCAAAGTGCTTGAAATCTCCCCTTGCAAATTCCACAGACAAGTGTTTCAAATCTGCACTGTCTAAAGGATGGTTCAACCCTGTGAGTTGAATACACACACACAGAAAAAAATTCACTGAGAATTCTATTGTCTATCATTACACGAAGAAATCCCGTTTACTACGAAGGCCTCAAAGAGGTCCAAATATCCAGCTGCAGACATTACAACCTGAGTGTTTCCAAAGTGCTCTATGAAAAGAAGTGTTAAACACTGTGAGTTCAATGCACACATCCCAAAGCAGTTTCTGAGAATGATGCCGTCTATTTTTTCTACGAAGATATTTCCTTTTCTGCCGTTGGCCTCAAAGCGCTTGAAATCTCCACTTGCAAATTCCACAAAAAGAGATTTTCAAATCTGCTCTGTCTAAAGGAAGGTTCAACTCTGTGAGTTGAATACACACCACAAAAAGAAGTTACTGAGAATTCTTCTGTCTAGCATTATATGAAAAATCCCGTTTCCAACGAAGGCCACAAAGAGGTCCAAATATCCACTTGCAGATTCTGCAAAAAGAGTGTTTCCAAACTGCTCTATGAAAAGAAACGTTAAACTCTGTGAGTTGAACGCAAACATCACAAAGTAGTTTCTGAGAATGACTCCATCTAGTTTTTATACGAAGATATTTCCTTTCCTACCATTCACTTCAAAGCGCTTGAAGTCTCCCCCTGAAAATTCCACAAAGTGTTTCCAATCTGCTCCGCCTAAAGGAAGCTTCAACTCTGTGAGTTGAATACCCACAACCCAAAGAAGTTACTGAGAATTCTTCTGTCTAGCATTATATGAAGAAATCCCGTTTCCAACGAAGGCCTCAAATACATCCAAATATCCAGTTGCTGACTTTACAAACTGAGTGTTTCCAAACTGCTCTATGAAAAGAAAGGTTAAACACTGTGAGTTGAACACACACGTACCAAAGTAGTTTCTGAGAATGATTCTGTCTAGTTTGCATACGAAGATATTTCCTTTTCTACCAGTGGCCTCAAAGCTCTGAAATCTCCACTTGCAAATTCCACAAAAAGAGAGTTTCAAATCTGCTGTTTCTAAAGGAAAGTTCAACTCTGAGAGTTGAATACACACCAGAAAAAGCAGTTACTGAGAAGTCTTCTGTCTAGCATTATATGAAGAAATCCCATTTCCAACGAAGACTTCAAAGAGGTCCAAATATCCACTTGCAGATTCTGCAAAAAGAGTGTTTCGAAACAACTGTATGAAAAGAAAGGTTAAACACTGTGAGTTGAACGCACACATTGCAAAGCAGTTTCTGAGAATGATTCCGTCTAATTATTATACGAAGGTATTTCCTTTTCTATCATTGGCCTCAAAGCGCTTGATACCTCCACCTGAAAATTCCACAAAAAGAGTGTTTCCAATCTACTCTGTCTAAAGGAACGTTCAACTCTGTGAGTTGAATACACACACACAGAAAGAATTCACTGAGAATTCTTCTGTCTGGCATTACATGAAGAAATCCCGTTTCCAACGAAGGCCTCAAAGAGGTCCAAATATCCACTTGCAGATTCTGCAAAAAGAGTGTTTCAAAACCGCTCCATTAAAAGGAATGTTGAACTCTGTGAGTTGAATGCAAACATCACAACTCAGTTGCTGAGAATGCTTCTGACTAGATTTTATGGTAAGATATTTCCTTTTCTACCGTAGGCTTCAATGCCCTCTAAATACACCCTTGCAAATTCTACAAAGAGACTGTTTCATAACTGCTCTATAGGGAGAAAGGTTCAACTCTGTGAGTTGAATGCAGAGATCACAACGTGGTTTCTGCGAATGATTCTTTGTAGTTTTTACATGAAGATATTTCGTTGTCAACCGTAGGCTTCAAAGCACTCAAAGTATTCACTTGGAACTTTTACAAAAAGAGTGTTAGAAAACTGCTCTTTCCAAAGTAAGGTTCAACTCTGTGAGTTGAATGCACACATAACAATCAAGAAGTTTCTGAGAATTCTTCTGTCCTGGTTTATATGAAAAAATCCCGTTTCCAACGAAGGCCTCAAAGACGTTTAAATATCCACTTGCAGACTTCACAAAAAGAGGGTTTCCAAACTGCTCTATGAAAAGAAAGGTTAAACTCTGTGAGTTTAATACACACATCACAAAGCAGTTTCTGAGAATGATACTGTCTAGTTTTTATACGAAGATATTTCCTTTTGTACCATTGGCCTCATACTGCTAGAATTTTCCACTTGCAAATTCCACAAAAAGAATGTTTCCAATCCGCTCTGTCTAAAGGAAGGTTCAACTCTCTGATTTGAATACATACATCCCAAAAGAAGTTACTGAGAATTCTTCTGTCTAGCATTATGTGAAGAAATCCCGTTTCCAACGAAAGCCTCAAAGAGGTCCAAATATCCAGTTGCAGAATTTACAAACTGACTGTTTCCAAACTCATCTATGAAAAGAAAGGTTAAACTCTGTGAGTTGAATGCACATATCACAAAGTAGTTCCTGAGAATGATTCTGTCTAGTTTTTATACGAAGATATTTCCTTTTCCACCAATGGCCTCAAAGTGCTTGAAATCTCCCCTTGCAAATTCCACAGACAAGTGTTTCAAATCTGCACTGTCTAAAGGAAGGTTCAACCCTGTGAGTTGAATACACACACACAGAAAAAAATTCACTGAGAATTCTATTGTCTATCATTACACGAAGAAATCCCGTTTACTACGAAGGCCTCAAAGAGGTCCAAATATCCAGCTGCAGACATTACAAACTGAGTGTTTCCAAAGTGCTCTATGAAAAGAAGTGTTAAACACTGTGAGTTCAATGCACACATCCCAAAGCAGTTTCTGAGAATGATTCCGTCTATTTTTTCTACGAAGATATTTCCTTTTCTACCGTTGGCCTCAAAGCGCTTGAAATCTCCACTTGCAAATTCCACAAAAAGAGAGTTTCAAATCTGCTCTGTCTAAAGGAAGGTTCAACTCTGTGAGTTGAATACACACCACAAAAAGAAGTTACTGAGAATTCTTCTGTCTAGCATTATATGAAAAATCCCGTTTCCAACGAAGGCCACAAAGAGGTCCAAATATCCACTTGCAGATTCTGCAAAAAGAGTGTTTCCAAACTGCTCTATGAAAAGAATCGTTAAACTCTGTGAGTTGAACGCAAACATCACAAAGTAGTTTCTGAGAATGACTCCGTCTAGTTTTTATACGAAGATATTTCCTTTTCTACCATTCACTTCAAAGCGCTTGAAGTCTCCCCCTGAAAATTCCACAAAAAGTGTTTCCAATCTGCTCCGCCTAAAGGAAGCTTCAACTCTGTGAGTTGAATACCCACAACCCAAAGAAGTTACTGAGAATTCTTCTGTCTAGCATTATATGAAGAAATCCCGTTTCCAACGAAGGCCTCAAATACATCCAAATATCCAGTTGCTGACTTTACAAACTGAGTGTTTCCAAACTGCTCTATGAAAAGAAAGGTTAAACACTGTGACTTGAACACACACGTACCAAAGTAGTTTCTGAGAATGATTCTGTCTAGTTTGCATACGAAGATATTTCCTTTTCTACCATTGGCCTCAAAGCTTTGAAATCTCCACTTGCAAATTCCACAAAAAGAGAGTTTCAACTCTGCTGTTTCTAAAGGAAAGTTCAACTCTGAGAGTTGAATACACACCAGAAAAAGCAGTTACTGAGAAGTCTTCTGTCTAGCATTATATGAAGAAATCCCATTTCCAACGAAGACTTCAAAGAGGTCCAAATATCCACTTGCAGATTCTGCAAAAAGAGTGTTTCGAAACAACTGTATGAAAAGAAAGGTTAAACACTGTTAGTTGAACGCACACATTGCAAAGCAGTTTCTGAGAATGATTCCGTCTAATTATTATACGAAGGTATTTCCTTTTCTATCATTGGCCTCAAAGCGCTTGATACCTCCACCTGAAAATTCCACAAAAAGAGTGTTTCCAATCTACTCTGTCTAAAGGAACGTTCAACTCTGTGAGTTGAATACACACACACAGAAAGAATTCACTGAGAATTCTTCTGTCTGGGATTACATGAAGAAATCCCGTTTCCAACGAAGGCCTCAAAGAGGTCCAAATATCCACTTGCAGATTCTGGAAAAAGAGTGTTTCAAAACCGCTCTATGAAAAGGAATGTTGAACTCCTGTGAGTTGAATGCAAACATCACAACTCAGTTTGCTGAGAATGCTTCTGACTAGCATTTTATGGTAAGATATTTCCTTTTCTACCGTAGGCTTCAATGCCCTCTAAATACACCCTTGCAAATTCTACAAAGAGACTGTTTCATAACTGCTCTATAGGAAGAAAGGTTCAACTCTGTGAGTTGAATGCAGAGATCACAACGTGGTTTCTGCAAATGATTCTTTGTAGTTTTTACATGAAGATATTTCGTTGTCAACCGTAGGCTTCAAAGCACTCAAAGTATTCACTTGGAACTTTTACAAAAAGAGTGTTAGAAAACTGCTCTTTCCAAAGTAAGGTTCAACTCTGTGAGTTGAATGCACACATAACAATCAAGAAGTTTCTGAGAATTCTTCTGTCCTGGTTTATATGAAAAAATCCCGTTTCCAACGAAGGCCTCAAAGACGTTTAAATATCCACTTGCAGACTTCACAAACAGAGTGTTTCCAAACTGCTCTATGAAAACAAAGTTTAAACTACTGTGAGTTTAACGCACACATCACAAAGTAGCTTCTGAGAATGATACTGTCTAGTTTTTATACGAAGATATTTCCTTTCTACCATTGGCGTCAAAGCGCTAGAATTCTCCACTTGCAAATTCCACAAAAAGAGTGTTTCCAATCTGCTCTGTCTAAAGGAAGGTTCAACTCTGTGAGTTGAATACACACACACAAAGAAGCTACTGAGAATTCTTTTGTCAAGAATTATAAGAAGAAATCCCGTTTCCAACGAAGGCCTCAAAGAGTTCCAAATATCCACTTGCACACTGCACAAACTAAGTCTTTCCAAACTGCTCTATGCAAAGAAATGTTCAACTCTGTGAGTTTAATACACACATCACAAAGCAGTTTCTGAGAACGATACTGTCTAGTTTTTATACGAAGATATTTCCTTTTGTACCATTGGCCTCATACTGCTAGAATTTTCCACTTGCAAATTCCACAAAAGAGTGTTTCCAATCCGCTCTGTCTAAAGGAAGGTTCAACTCTCTGATTTGAATACATACATCCCAAAAGAAGTTCCTGAGAATTCTTCTGTCTAGCATTATGTGAAGAAATCCCGTTTCCAACGAAAGCCTCAAAGAGGTCCAAATATCCAGTTGCAGAATTTACAAACTGACTGTTTCCAAACTCATCTATGAAAAGAAAGGTTAAACTCTGTGAGTTGAATGCACATATCACAAAGTAGTTCCTGAGAATGATTCTGTCTAGTTTTTATACGAAGATATTTCCTTTTCCACCAATGGCCTCAAAGTGCTTGAAATCTCCCCTTGCAAATTCCACAGACAAGTGTTTCAAATCTGCACTGTCTAAAGGAAGGTTCAACCCTGTGAGTTGAATACACACACACAGAAAAAAATTCACTGAGAATTCTATTGTCTATCATTACACGAAGAAATCCCGTTTACTACGAAGGCCTCAAAGAGGTCCAAATATCCAGCTGCAGACATTACAAACTGAGTGTTTCCAAAGTGCTCTATGAAAAGAAGTGTTAAACACTGTGAGTTCAATGCACACATCCCAAAGCAGTTTCTGAGAATGATTCCGTCTATTTTCTCTACGAAGATATTTCCTTTTCTGCCGTTGGCCTCAAAGCGCTTGAAATCTCCACTTGCAAATTCCACAAAAAGAGAGTTTCAAATCTGCTCTGTCTAAAGGAAGGTTCAACTCTGTGAGTTGAATACACACCACAAAAAGAAGTTACTGAGAATTCTTCTGTCTAGCATTATATGAAAAATCCCGTTTCCAACGAAGGCCACAAAGAGGTCCAAATATCAACTTGCAGATTCTGCAAAAAGAGTGTTTCCAAACTGCTCTATGAAAAGAAACGTTAAACTCTGTGAGTTGAACGCAAACATCACAAAGTAGTTTCTGAGAATGACTCCGTCTAGTTTTTATACGAAGATATTTCCTTTCCTACCGTTCACTTCAAAGCGCTTGAAGTCTCCCCCTGAAAATTCCACAAAAAGTGTTTCCAATCTGCTCCGCCTAAAGGAAGCTTCAACTCTGTGAGTTGAATACCCACAACCCAAAGAAGTTACTGAGAAATCTTCTGTCTAGCATTATATGAAGAAATCCCGTTTCCAACGAAGGCCTCAAATACATCCAAATATCCAGTTGCTGACTTTACAAACTGAGTGTTTCCAAACTGCTCTATGAAAAGAAAGGTTAAACACTGTGAGTTGAACACACACGTACCAAAGTAGTTTCTGAGAATGATTCTGTCTAGTTTGCATACGAAGATATTTCCTTTTCTACCATTGGCCTCAAAGCTCTGAAATCTCCACTTGCAAATTCCACAAAAAGAGAGTTTCAAATCTGCTGTTTCTAAAGGAAAGTTCAACTCTGAGAGTTGAATACACACCAGAAAAAGCAGTTACTGAGAAGTCTTCTGTCTAGCATTATATGAAGAAATCCCATTTCCAACGAAGACTTCAAAGAGGTCCAAATATCCACTTGCAGATTCTGCAAAAAGAGTGTTTCGAAACAACTGTATGAAAAGAAAGGTTAAACACTGTGAGTTGAACGCACACATTGCAAAGCAGTTTCTGAGAATGATTCCGTCTAATTATTATACGAAGGTATTTCCTTTTCTATCATTGGCCTCAAAGCGCTTGATACCTCCACCTGAAAATTCCACAAAAAGAGTGTTTCCAATCTACTCTGTCTAAAGGAACGTTCAACTCCGTGAGTTGAATACACACACACAGAAAGAATTCACTGAGAATTCTTCTGTCTGGCATTACATGAAGAAATCCCGTTTCCAACGAAGGCCTCAAAGAGGTCCAAATATCCACTTGCAGATTCTGCAAAAAGAGTGTTTCAAAACCGCTCCATTAAAAGGAATGTTGAACTCTGTGAGTTGAATGCAAACATCACAACTCAGTTTCTGAGAATGCTTCTGACTAGATTTTATGGTAAGATATTTCCTTTTCTACCATAGGCTTCAATGCCCTGTAAATACACCCTTGCAAATTCAACAAAGAGACTGTTTCATAACTGCTCTATAGGAGGAAAGGTTCAACTCTGTGAGTTGAAAGCAGAGATCACAACGTGGTTTCTGCGAATGATTCTTTGTAGTTTTTACATGAAGATATTTCGTTGTCAACCGTAGGCTTCAAAGCACTCAAAGTATTCACTTGGAACTTTTACAAAAAGAGTGTTAGAAAACTGCTCTTTCCAAAGTAAGGTTCAACTCTGTGAGTTGAATGCACACATAACAATCAAGACGTTTCTGAGAATTCTTCTGTCCTGGTTTATATGAAAAAATCCCGTTTCCAACGAAGGCCTCAAAGACGTTTAAATATCCACTTGCAGACTTCACAAACAGAGGGTTTCCAAACCGCTCTATGAAAAGAAAGGTTAAACTCTGTGAGTTGAACGCACACATCACAAAGTAGCTTCTGAGAATGATACTGTCTAGTTTTTATACGAAGATATTTCCTTTCTACCATTGGCGTCAAAGCGCTAGAATTCTCCACTTGCAAATTCCACAAAAAGAGTGTTTCCAATCTGCTCTGTCTAAAGGAAGGTTCAACTCTGTGAGTTGAATACACACACACAAAGAAGCTACTGAGAATTCTTTTTTCAAGAAATTATAAGAAGAAATCCCGTTTCCAACGAAGGCCTCAAAGAGTTCCAAATATCCACTTGCACACTGCACAAACTAAGTCTTTCCAAACTGCTCTATGCAAAGAAATGTTCAACTCTGTGAGTTTAATACACACATCACAAAGCAGTTTCTGAGAATGATTCCGTCTAGTTTTTATACGAAGATAGCCTTTTCTACCATGGGCCTCAAGGCTCTTGAAATCTCCACCTGAAAATTCCGCAAAAAGCGTGTTTTCAATCTGCTCTGTCTAAAGGAAGGTTCAACTCTCTGAGTTGAATACATACATCCCAAAAGAAGTTACTGAGAATTCTTCTGTCTAGCATTATGTGAAGAAATCCCGTTTCCAACGAAAGCCTCAAAGAGGTCCAAATATCCAGTTGCAGCATTTACAAACTGACTGTTTCCAAACTCATCTATGAAAAGAAAGGTTAAACTCTGTGAGTTGAATGCACATATCACAAAGTAGTTCCTGAGAATGATTCTGTCTAGTTTTTATACGAAGATATTTCCTTTTCCACCAATGGCCTCAAAGTGCTTGAAATCTCCCCTTGCAAATTCCACAGACAAGTGTTTCAAATCTGCACTGTCTAAAGGAAGGTTCAACCCTGTGAGTTGAATACACACACACAGAAAAAAATTCACTGAGAATTCTATTGTCTATCATTACACGAAGAAATCCCGTTTACTACGAAGGCCTCAAAGAGGTCCAAATATCCAGCTGCAGATATTACAAACTGAGTGTTTCCAAAGTGCTCTATGAAAAGAAGTGTTAAACACTGTGAGTTCAATGCACACATCCCAAAGCAGTTTCTGAGAATGATTCCGTCTATTTTTTCTACGAAGATATTTCCTTTTCTACCGTTGGCCTCAAAGCGCTTGAAATCTCCACTTGCAAATTCCACGAAAAGAGAGTTTCAAATCTGCTCTGTCTAAAGGAAGGTTCAACTCTGTGAGTTGAATACACACCACAAAAAGAAGTTACTGAGAATTCTTCTGTCTAGCATTATATGAAAAATCCCGTTTCCAACGAAGGCCACAAAGAGGTCCAAATATCCACTTGCAGATTCTGCAAAAAGAGTGTTTCCAAACTGCTCTATGAAAAGAAACGTTAAACTCTGTGAGTTGAACGCAAACATCACAAAGTAGTTTCTGAGAATGACTCCGTCTAGTTTTTATATGAAGATATTTCCTTTCCTACCATTCACTTCAAAGCGCTTGAAGTCTCCCCCTGAAAATTCCACAAAAAGTGTTTCCAATCTGCTCCGCCTAAAGGAAGCTTCAACTCTGTGAGTTGAATACCCACAACCCAAAGAAGTTACTGAAAATTCTTCTGTCTCGCATTATATGAAGAAATCCCGTTTCCAACGAAGGCCTCAAATACATCCAAATATCCAGTTGCTGACTTTACAAACTGAGTGTTTCCAAACTGCTCTATGAAAAGAAAGGTTAAACACTGTGAGTTGAACACACACGTACCAAAGTAGTTTCTGAGAATGATTCTGTCTAGTTTGCATACGAAGATATTTCCTTTTTTACCAGTGGCCTCAAAGCTCTGAAATCTCCACTTGCAAATTCCACAAAAAGAGAGTTTCAAATCTGCTGTTTCTAAAGGAAAGTTCAACTCTGAGAGTTGAATACACACCAGAAAAAGCAGTTACTGAGAAGTCTTCTGTCTAGCATTATATGAAGAAATCCCATTTCCAACGAAGACTTCAAAGAGGTCCAAATATCCATTTGCAGATTCTGCAAAAAGAGTGTTTCGAAACAACTGTATGAAAAGAAAGGTTAAACACTGTGAGTTGAACGCACACATTGCAAAGCAGTTTCTGAGAATGATTCCGTCTAATTATTATACGAAGGTATTTCCTTTTCTATCATTGGCCTCAAAGCGCTTGATACCTCCACCTGAAAATTCCACAAAAAGAGTGTTTCCAATCTACTCTGTCTAAAGAAACGTTCAACTCTGTGAGTTGAATACACACACACAGAAAGAATTCACTGAGAATTCTTCTGTCTGGCATTACATGAAGAAATCCCGTTTCCAACGAAGGCCTCAAAGAGGTCCAAATATCCACTTGCAGATTCTGCAAAAAGAGTGTTTCAAAACCGCTCCATTAAAAGGAATGTTGAACTCTGTGAGTTGAATGCAAACATCACAACTCAGTTGCTGAGAATGCTTCTGACTAGATTTTATGGTAAGATATTTCCTTTTCTACCGTAGGCTTCAATGCCCTCTAAATACACCCTTGCAAATTCTACAAAGAGACTGTTTCATAACTGCTCTATAGGAAGAAAGGTTCAACTCTGTGAGTTGAATACAGAGATCACAACGTGGTTTCTGCGAATGATTCTTTGTAGTTTTTACATGAAGATATTTCGTTGTCAACCGTAGGCTTCAAAGCACTCAAAGTATTCACTTGGAACTTTTACAAAAAGAGTGTTAGAAAACTGCTCTTTCCAAAGTAAGGTTCAACTCTGTGAGTTGAATGCACACATAACAATCAAGAAGTTTCTGAGAATTCTTCTGTCCTGGTTTATATGAAAAAATCCCGTTTCCAATGAAGGCCTCAAAGACGTTTAAATATCCACTTGCAGACTTCACAAACAGAGTGTTTCCAAACTGCTCTATGAAAAGAAAGGTTAAACTCTGTGAGTTGAACGCACACATCACAAAGTAGTTTCTGAGAATCATACTGTCTAGTTTTTATACGAAGATATTTCCTTTCTACCATTGGCGTCAAAGCGCTAGAATTCTCCACTTGCAAATTCCACAAAAAGAGTGTTTCCAATCTGCTCTGTCTAAAGGAAGGTTCAACTCTGTGAGTTGAATACACACACACAAAGAAGCTACTGAGAATTCTTTTGTCAAGAATTATAAGAAGAAATCCCGTTTCCAACGAAGGCCTCAAAGAGTTCCAAATATCCACTTGCACACTGCACAAACTAAGTCTTTCCAAACTGCTCTATGCAAAGAAATGTTCAACTCTGTGAGTTTAATACACACATCACAAAGCAGTTTCTGAGAATGATACTGTCTAGTTTTTATACGAAGATATTTCCTTTTGTACCATTGGCCTCATACTGCTAGAATTTTCCACTTGCAAATTCCACAAAAAGAGTGTTTCCAATCCGCTCTGTCTAAAGGAAGGTTCAACTCTCTGATTTGAATACATACATCCCAAAAGAAGTTACTGAGAATTCTTCTGTCTAGCATTATGTGAAGAAATCCCGTTTCCAACGAAAGCCTCAAAGAGGCCCAAATATCCAGTTGCAGCATTTACAAACTGACTGTTTCCAAACTCATCTATGAAAAGAAAGGTTAAACTCTGTGAGTTGAATGCGCATATCACAAAGTAGTTCCTGAGAATGATTCTGTCTAGTTTTTATACGAAGATATTTCCTTTTCCACCAATGGCCTCAAAGTGCTTGAAATCTCCCCTTGCAAATTCCACAGACAAGTGTCTCAAATCTGCACTGTCTAAAGGAAGGTTCAACCCTGTGAGTTGAATACACACACACAGAAAAAAATTCACTGAGAATTCTATTGTCTATCATTACACGAAGAAATCCCGTTTACTACGAAGGCCTCAAAGAGGTCCAAATATCCAGCTGCAGACATTACAAACTGAGTGTTTCCAAAGTGCTCTATGAAAAGAAGTGTTAAACACTGTGAGTTCAATGCACACATCCCAAAGCAGTTTCTGAGAATGATTCCGTCTATTTTTTCTACGAAGATATTTCCTTTTCTACCGTTGGCCTCAAAGCGCTTGAAATCTCCACTTGCAAATTCCACAAAAAGAGAGTTTCAAATCTGCTCTGTCTAAAGGAAGGTTCAACTCTGTGAGTTGAATACACACCACAAAAAGAAGTTACTGAGAATTCTTCTGTCTAGCATTATATGAAAAATCCCGTTTCCAACGAAGGCCACAAAGAGGTCCAAATATCCACTTGCAGATTCTGCAAAAAGAGTGTTTCCAAACTGCTCTATGAAAAGAAACGTTAAACTCTGTGAGTTGAACGCAAACATCACAAAGTAGTTTCTGAGAATGACTCCGTCTAGTTTTTATACGAAGATATTTCCTTTTCTACCATTCACTTCAAAGCGCTTGAAGTCTCCCCCTGAAAATTCCACAAAAAGTGTTTCCAATCTGCTCCGCCTAAAGGAAGCTTCAACTCTGTGACTTGAATACCCACAACCCAAAGAAGTTACTGAGAATTCTTCTGTCTAGCATTATATGAAGAAATCCCGTTTCCAACGAAGGCCTCAAATACATCCAAATATCCAGTTGCTGACTTTACAAACTGAGTGTTTCCAAACTGCTCTATGAAAAGAAAGGTTAAACACTGTGAGTTGAACACACACGTACCAAAGTAGTTTCTGAGAATGATTCTGTCTAGTTTGCATACGAAGATATTTCCTTTTCTACCATTGGCCTCAAAGCTCTGAAATCTCCACTTGCAAATTCCACAAAAAGAGAGTTTCAACTCTGCTGTTTCTAAAGGAAAGTTCAACTCCTGAGAGTTGAATACACACCAGAAAAAGCAGTTACTGAGAAGTCTTCTGTCTAGCATTATATGAAGAAATCCCATTTCCAACGAAGACTTCAAAGAGGTCCAAATATCCACTTGCAGATTCTGCAAAAAGAGTGTTTCGAAACAACTGTATGAAAAGAAAGGTTAAACACTGTGAGTTGAACGCACACATTGCAAAGCGGTTTCTGAGAATGATTCCGTCTAATTATTATACGAAGGGTATTTCCTTTTCTATCATTGGCCTCAAAGCGCTTGATACCTCCACCTGAAAATTCCACAAAAAGAGTGTTTCCAATCTACTCTGTCTAAAGGAACGTTCAACTCCGTGAGTTGAATACACACACACAGAAAGAATTCACTGAGAATTCTTCTGTCTGGCATTACATGAAGAAATCCCGTTTCCAACGAAGGCCTCAAAGAGGTCCAAATATCCACTTGCAGATTCTGCAAAAAGAGTGTTTCAAAACCGCTCCATTAAAAGGAATGTTGAACTCTGTGAGTTGAATGCAAACATCACAACTCAGTTGCTGAGAATGCTTCTGACTAGATTTTATGGTAAGATATTTCCTTTTCTACCGTAGGCTTCAATGCCCTCTAAATACACCCTTGCAAATTCTACAAAGAGACTGTTTCATAACTGCTCTATAGGAAGAAAGGTTGA
Organism: Homo sapiens; assembly: GCF_000001405.40. Classification (NCBI taxonomy): domain Eukaryota; kingdom Metazoa; phylum Chordata; class Mammalia; order Primates; family Hominidae; genus Homo; species Homo sapiens. Next base: position 93,054,559 of record NC_000003.12, on the reverse strand, counting down.
ACTCTGTGAGTTGAATGCAGAGATCACAACGTGGTTTCTGCGAATGATTCTTTGTAGTTTTTACATGAAGATATTTCGTTGTCAACCGTAGGCTTCAAAGCACTCAAAGTATTCACTTGGAACTTTTACAAAACGAGTGTTAGGAAACTGCTCTTTCCAAAGTAAGGTTCAACTCTGTGAGTTGAATGCACACATAACAATCAAGAAGTTTCTGAGAATTCTTCTGTCCTGGTTTATATGAAAAAATCCCGTTTCCAACGAAGGCCTCAAAGACGTTTAAATATCCACTTGCAGACTTCACAAACAGAGGGTTTCCAAACTGCTCTATGAAAAGAAAGGTTAAACTCTGTGAGTTGAACGCACACATCACAAAGTAGCTTCTGAGAATGATACTGTCTAGTTTTTATACGGAGATATTTCCTTTCCTTCCATTGGCGTCAAAGCGCTAGAATTCTCCACTTGCAAATTCCACAAAAAGAGTGTTTCCAATCTGCTCTGTCTAAAGGAAGGTTCAACTCTGTGAGTTGAATACACACACACAAAGAAGCTACTGAGAATTCTTTTGTCAAGAATTATAAGAAGAAATCCCGTTTCCAACGAAGGCCTCAAAGAGTTCCAAATATCCACTTGCACACTGTACAAACTAAGTCTTTCCAAACTGCTCTATGCAAAGAAATGTTCAACTCTGTGAGTTTAATGCACACATCACAAAGCAGTTTCTGAGAATGATTCCGTCTAGTTTTTATACGAAGTTAGCCTTTTCTACCATTGGCCTCAAGGCTCTTGAAATCTCCACCTGAAAATTCCGCAAAAAGCGTGTTTCCAATCCGCTCTGTCTAAAGGAAGGTTCAACTCTCTGAGTTGAATACATACATCCCAAAAGAAGTTACTGCGAATTCTTCTGTCTAGCATTATGTGAAGAAATCCCGTTTCCAACGAAAGCCTCAAAGAGGTCCAAATATCCAGTTGCAGAATTTACAAACTGACTGTTTCCAAACTCATCTATGAAAAGAAAGGTTAAACTCTGTGAGTTGAATGCACATATCACAAAGTAGTTTCCTGAGAATGATTGTGTCTAGTTTTTATACGAAGATATTTCCTTTTCCACCAATGGCCTCAAAGTGCTTGAAATCTCCCCTTGCAAATTCCACAGACAAGTGTTTCAAATCTGCACTGTCTAAAGGAAGGTTCAACCCTGTGAGTTGAATACACACACACAGAAAAAAATTCACTGAGAATTCTATTGTCTATCATTACACGAAGAAATCCCGTTTACTGCGAAGGCCTCAAAGAGGTCCAAATATCCAGCTGCAGACATTACAAACTGAGTGTTTCCAAAGTGCTCTATGAAAAGAAGTGTTAAACACTGTGAGTTCAATGCACACATCCCAAAGCAGTTTCTGAGAATGATTCCGTCTATTTTTTCTACGAAGATATTTCCTTTTCTGCCGTTGGCCTCAAAGCGCTTGAAATCTCCACTTGCAAATTCCACAAAAAGAGAGTTTCAAATCTGCTCTGTCTAAAGGAAGGTTCAACTCTGTGAGTTGAATACACACCACAAAAAGAAGTTACTGAGAATTCTTCTGTCTAGCATTATATGAAAAATCCCGTTTCCAACGAAGGCCACAAAGAGGTCCAAATATCCACTTGCAGATTCTTCAAAAAGAGTGTTTCCAAACTGCTCTATGAAAAGAAACGTTAAACTCTGTGAGTTGAACGCAAACATCACAAAGTAGTTTCTGAGAATGACTCCGTCTAGTTTTTATACGAAGATATTTCCTTTCCTACCATTCACTTCAAAGCGCTTGAAGTCTCCCCCTGAAAATTCCACAAAAAGTGTTTCCAATCTGCTCCGCCTAAAGGAAGCTTCAACTCTGTGACTTGAATACCCACAACCCAAAGAAGTTACTGAGAATTCTTCTGTCTAGCACTATATGAAGAAATCCCGTTTCCAACGAAGGCCTCAAATACATCCAAATATCCAGTTGCTGACTTTACAAACTGAGTGTTTCCAAACTGCTCTATGAAAAGAAAGGTTAAACACTGTGAGTTGAACACACACGTACCAAAGTAGTTTCTGAGAATGATTCTGTCTAGTTTGCATACGAAGATATTTCCTTTTCTACCATTGGCCTCAAAGCTCTGAAATCTCCACTTGCAAATTCCACAAAAAGAGAGTTTCAAATCTGCTGTTTCTAAAGGAAAGTTCAACTCTGAGAGTTGAATACACACCAGAAAAAGCAGTTACTGAGAAGTCTTCTGTCTAGCATTATATGAAGAAATCCCATTTCCAACGAAGACTTCAAAGAGGTCCAAATATCCACTTGCAGATTCTGCAAAAAGAGTGTTTCGAAACAACTGTATGAAAAGAAAGGTTAAACACTGTGAGTTGAACGCACACATTGCAGAGCAGTTTCTGAGAATGATTCCGTCTAATTATTATACGAAGGTATTTCCTTTTCTATCATTGGCCTCAAAGCGCTTGATACCTCCACCTGAAAATTCCACAAAAAGAGTGTTTCCAATCTACTCTGTCTAAAGGAACGTTCAACTCCGTGAGTTGAATACACACACACAGAAAGAATTCACTGAGAATTCTTCTGTCTGGCATTACATGAAGAAATCCCGTTTCCAACGAAGGCCTCAAAGAGGTCCAAATATCCACTTGCAGATTCTGCAAAAAGAGTGTTTCAAAACCGCTCCATTAAAAGGAATGTTGAACTCTGTGAGTTGAATGCAAACATCACAACTCAGTTTCTGAGAATGCTTCTGACTAGATTTTATGGTAAGATATTTCCTTTTCTACCGTAGGCTTCAATGCCCTGTAAATACACCCTTGCAAATTCAACAAAGAGACTGTTTCATAACTGCTCTATAGGAGGAAAGGTTCAACTCTGTGAGTTGAATGCAGAGATCACAACGTGGTTTCTGCGAATGATTCTTTGTAGTTTTTACATGAAGATATTTCGTTGTCTACCGTAGGCTTCAAAGCACTCAAAGTATTCACTTGGAACTTTTACAAAAAGAGTGTTAGAAAACTGCTCTTTCCAAAGTAAGGTTCAACTCTGTGAGTTGAATGCACACATAACAAACAAGAAGTTTCTGAGAATTCTTCTGTCCTGGTTTATATGAAGAAATCCCGTTTCCAACGAAGGCCTCAAAGACGTTTAAATATCCACTTGCAGACTTCACAAACAGAGTGTTTCCAAACTGCTCTATGAAAAGAAAGGGTAAACACTGTGAGTTGAACGCACACCTCACAAAGTAGTTTCTGAGAATGATACTGTCTAGTTTTTATACGAAGATATTTCCTTTTGTACCATTGGCCTCATACTGCTAGAATTTTCCACTTGCAAATTCCACAAAAAGAGTGTTTCCAATCTGCTCTGTCTAAAGGAAGGTTCAACTCTGTGAGTTGAGTACACACACACAAAGAAGCTACTGAGAATTCTTTTGTCAAGAATTATAAGAAGAAATCCCGTTTCCAAAGAAGGCCTCAAAGAGTTCCAAATATCCACTTGCACACTACACAAACTAAGTCTTTCCAAACTGCTCTAGGAAAAGAAATGTTCAACTCTGTGAGTTTAATACACACATCACAAAGCAGTTTCTGAGAATGATACTGTCTAGTTTTTATACGAAGATATTTCCTTTTGTACCATTGGCCTCATACTGCTAGAATTTTCCACTTGCAAATTCCACAAAAAGAGTGTTTCCAATCCGCTCTGTCTAAAGGAAGGTTCAACCCTCTGATTTGAATACATACATCCCAAAAGAAGTTACTGAGAATTCTTCTGTCTAGCATTATGTGAAGAAATCCCGTTTCCAACGAAAGCCTCAAAGAGGTCCAAATATCCAGTTGCAGAATTTACAAACTGACTGTTTCCAAACTCATCTATGAAAAGAAAGGTTAAACTCTGTGAGTTGAATGCACATATCACAAAGTAGTTCCTGAGAATGATTCTGTCTAGTTTTCATACGAAGATATTTCCTTTTCCACCAATGGCCTCAAAGTGCTTGAAATCTCCCCTTGCAAATTCCACAGACAAGTGTTTCAAATCTGCACTGTCTAAAGGAAGGTTCAACCCTGTGAGTTGAATACACACACACAGAAAAAAATTCACTGAGAATTCTATTGTCTATCATTACACGAAGAAATCCCGTTTACCACGAAGGCCTCAAAGAGGTCCAAATATCCAGCTGCAGACATTACAAACTGAGTGTTTCCAAAGTGCTCTATGAAAAGAAGTGTTAAACACTGTGAGTTCAATGCACACATCCCAAAGCAGTTTCTGAGAATGATTCCGTCTATTTTTTCTACGAAGATATTTCCTTTTCTGCCGTTGGCCTCAAAGCGCTTGAAATCTCCACTTGCAAATTCCACAAAAAGAGAGTTTCAAATCTGCTCTGTCTAAAGGAAGGTTCAACTCTGTGAGTTGAATACACACCACAAAAAGAAGTTACTGAGAATTCTTCTGTCTAGCATTATATGAAAAATCCCGTTTCCAACGAAGGCCACAAAGAGGTCCAAATATCCACTTGCAGATTCTGCAAAAAGAGTGTTTCCAAACTGCTCTATGAAAAGAAACGTTAAACTCTGTGAGTTGAACGCAAACATCACAAAGTAGTTTCTGAGAATGACTCCGTCTAGTTTTTATACGAAGATATTTCCTTTCCTACCATTCACTTCAAAGCGCTTGAAGTCTCCCCCTGAAAATTCCACAAAAAGTGTTTCCAATCTGCTCCGCCTAAAGGAAGCTTCAACTCTGTGACTTGAATACCCACAACCCAAAGAAGTTACTGAGAATTCTTCTGTCTAGCATTATATGAAGAAATCCCGTTTCCAACGAAGGCCTCAAATACATCCAAATATCCAGTTGCTGACTTTACAAACTGAGTGTTTCCAAACTGCTCTATGAAAAGAAAGGTTAAACACTGTGAGTTGAACACACACGTACCAAAGTAGTTTCTGAGAATGATTCTGTCTAGTTTGCATACGAAGATATTTCCTTTTCTACCATTGGCCTCAAAGCTCTGAAATCTCCACTTGCAAATTCCACAAAAAGAGAGTTTCAAATCTGCTGTTTCTAAAGGAAAGTTCAACTCTGAGAGTTGAATACACACCAGAAAAAGCAGTTACTGAGAAGTCTTCTGTCTAGCATTATATGAAGAAATCCCATTTCCAACGAAGACTTCAAAGAGGTCCAAATATCCACTTGCAGATTCTGCAAAAAGAGTGTTTCGAAACAACTGTATGAAAAGAAAGGTTAAACACTGTGAGTTGAACGCACACATTGCAAAGCGGTTTCTGAGAATGATTCCGTCTAATTATTATACGAAGGTATTTCCTTTTCTATCATTGGCCTCAAAGCGCTTGATACCTCCACCTGAAAATTCCACAAAAAGAGTGTTTCCAATCTACTCTGTCTAAAGGAACGTTCAACTCTGTGAGTTGAATACACACACACAGAAAGAATTCACTGAGAATTCTTCTGTCTGGCATTACATGAAGAAATCCCGTTTTCAACGAAGGCCTCAAAGAGGTCCAAATATCCACTTGCAGATTCTGCAAAAAGAGTGTTTCAAAACCGCTCCATGAAAAGGAATGTTGAACTCTGTGAGTTGAATGCAAACATCACAACTCAGTTTCTGAGAATGCTTCTGACTAGATTTTATGGTAAGATATTTCCTTTTCTACCGTAGGCTTCAATGCCCTGTAAATACACCCTTGCAAATTCTACAAAGAGACTGTTTCATAACTGCTCTATAGGAGGAAAGGTTCAACTCTGTGAGTTGAATGCAGAGATCACAACGTGGTTTCTGCGAATGATTCTTTGTAGTTTTTACATGAAGATATTTCGTTGTCTACCGTAGGCTTCAAAGCACTCAAAGTATTCACTTGGAACTTTTACAAAAAGAGTGTTAGAAAACTGCTCTTTCCAAAGTAAGGTTCAACTCTGTGAGTTGAATGCACACATAACAAACAAGAAGTTTCTGAGAATTCTTCTGTCCTGGTTTATATGAAGAAATCCCGTTTCCAACGAAGGCCTCAAAGACGTTTAAATATCCACTTGCAGACTTCACAAACAGAGTGTTTCCAAACTGCTCTATGAAAAGAAAAGGTAAACACTGTGAGTTGAACGCACACCTCACAAAGTAGTTTCTGAGAATGATACTGTCTAGTTTTTATACGAAGATATTTCCTTTTGTACCATTGGCCTCATACTGCTAGAATTTTCCACTTGCAAATTCCACAAAAAGAGTGTTTCCAATCTGCTCTGTCTAAAGGAAGGTTCAACTCTGTGAGTTGAGTACACACACACAAAGAAGCTACTGAGAATTCTTTTGTCAAGAATTACAAGAAGAAATCCCGTTTCCAACGAAGGCCTCAAAGAGTTCCAAATATCCACTTGCACACTGCACAAACTAAGTCTTTCCAAACTGCTCTATGCAAAGAAATGTTCAACTCTGTGAGTTTAATACGCACATCACAAAGCAGTTTCTGAGAATGATTACTGTCTAGTTTTTATACGAAAGATATTTCCTTTTGTACCATTGGCCTCATACTGCTAGAATTTTCCACTTGCAAATTCCACAAAAAGAGTGTTTCCAATCCGCTCTGTCTAAAGGAAGGTTCAACTCTCTGATTTGAATACATACATCCCAAAAGAAGTTCCTGAGAATTCTTCTGTCTAGCATTATGTGAAGAAATCCCGTTTCCAACGAAAGCCTCAAAGAGGTCCAAATATCCAGTTGCAGAATTTACAAACTGACTGTTTCCAAACTCATCTATGAAAAGAAAGGTTAAACTCTGTGAGTTGAATGCACATATCACAAAGTAGTTCCTGAGAATGATTCTGTCTAGTTTTCATACGAAGATATTTCCTTTTCCACCAATGGCCTCAAAGTGCTTGAAATCTCCCCTTGCAAATTCCACAGACAAGTGTTTCAAATCTGCACTGTCTAAAGGAAGGTTCAACCCTGTGAGTTGAATACACACACACAGAAAAAAATTCACTGAGAATTCTATTGTCTATCATTACATGAAGAAATCCCGTTTACTACGAAGGCCTCAAAGAGGTCCAAATATCCAGCTGCAGACATTACAAACTGAGTGTTTCCAAAGTGCTCTATGAAAAGAAGTGTTAAACACTGTGAGTTCAATGCACACATCCCAAAGCAGTTTCTGAGAATGATTCCGTCTATTTTTTCTACGAAGATATTTCCTTTTCTGCCGTTGGCCTCAAAGCGCTTGAAATCTCCACTTGCAAATTCCACAAAAAGAGAGTTTCAAATCTGCTCTGTCTAAAGGAAGGTTCAACTCTGTGAGTTGAATACACACCACAAAAAGAAGTTACTGAGAATTCTTCTGTCTAGCATTATATGAAAAATCCCGTTTCCAACGAAGGCCACAAAGGAGGTCCAAATATCCACTTGCAGATTCTGCAAAAAGAGTGTTTCCAAACTGCTCTATGAAAAGAAACGTTAAACTCTGTGAGTTGAACGCAAACATCACAAAGTAGTTTCTGAGAATGACTCCGTCTAGTTTTTATACGAAGATATTTCCTTTCCTACCATTCACTTCAAAGCGCTTGAAGTCTCCCCCTGAAAATTCCACAAAAAGTGTTTCCAATCTGCTCCGCCTAAAGGAAGCTTCAACTCTGTGAGTTGAATACCCACAACCCAAAGAAATTACTGAGAATTCTTCTGTCTAGCATTATATGAAGAAATCCCGTTTCCAACGAAGGCCTCAAATACATCCAAATATCCAGTTGCTGACTTTACAAACTGAGTGTTTCCAAACTGCTCTATGACAAGAAAGGTTAAACACTGTGAGTTGAACACACACGTACCAAAGTAGTTTCTGAGAATGATTCTGTCTAGTTTGCATACGAAGATATTTCCTTTTCTACCATTGGCCTCAAAGCTTTGAAATCTCCACTTGCAAATTCCACAAAAAGAGAGTTTCAACTCTGCTGTTTCTAAAGGAAAGTTCAACTCTGAGAGTTGAATACACACCAGAAAAAGCAGTTACTGAGAAGTCTTCTGTCTAGCATTATATGAAGAAATCCCATTTCCAACGAAGACTTCAAAGAGGTCCAAATATCCACTTGCAGATTCTGCAAAAAGAGTGTTTCGAAACAAAACTGTATGAAAAGAAAGGTTAAACACTGTGAGTTGAACGCACACATTGCAAAGCAGTTTCTGAGAATGATTCCGTCTAATTATTATACGAAGGTATTTCCTTTTCTATCATTGGCCTCAAAGCGCTTGATACCTCCACCTGAAAATTCCACAAAAAGAGTGTTTCCAATCTACTCTGTCTAAAGGAACGTTCAACTCTGTGAGTTGAATACACACACACAGAAAGAATTCACTGAGAATTCTTCTGTCTGGCATTACATGAAGAAATCCCGTTTCCAACGAAGGCCTCAAAGAGGTCCAAATATCCACTTGCAGATTCTGCAAAAAGAGTGTTTCAAAACCGCTCCATTAAAAGGAATGTTGAACTCTGTGAGTTGAATGCAAACATCACAACTCAGTTTCTGAGAATGCTTCTGACTAGATTTTATGGTAAGATATTTCCTTTTCTACCGTAGGCTTCAATGCCCTCTAAATACACCCTTGCAAATTCTACAAAGAGACTGTTTCATAACTGCTCTATAGGAAGAAAGGTTGAACTCTGTGAGTTGACTGCAGAGATCACAACGTGGTTTCTGCGAATGATTCTTTGTTGTTTTTACATGAAGATATTTCGTTGTCAACCGTAGGCTTCAAAGCACTCAAAGTATTCACTTGGAACTTTTACAAAAAGAGTGTTAGAAAACTGCTCTTTCCAAAGTAAGGTTCAACTCTGTGAGTTGAATGCACACATAACAATCAAGAAGTTTCTGAGAATTCCTCTGTCCTGGTTTATATGAAAAAATCCCGTTTCCAACGAAGGCCTCAAAGACGTTTAAATATCCACTTGCAGACTTCACAAACAGAGTGTTTCCAAACTGCTCTATGAAAAGAAAGGTTAAACTCTGTGAGTTGAACGCACACATCACAAAGTAGCTTCTGAGAATGATACTGTCTAGTTTTTATACGAAGATATTTCCTTTCTACCATTGGCGTCAAAGCGCTAGAATTCTCCACTTGCAAATTCCACAAAAAGAGTGTTTCCAATCTGCTCTGTCTAAAGGAAGGTTCAACTCTGTGAGTTGAATACACATACACAAAGAAGCTACTGAGAATTCTTTTGTCAAGGAATTATAAGAAGAAATCCCGTTTCCAACGAAGGCCTCAAAGAGTTCCAAATATCCACTTGCACACTGCACAAACTAAGTCTTTCCAAACTGCTCTATGCAAAGAAATGTTCAACTCTGTGAGTTTAATACACACATCACAAAGCAGTTTCTGAGAATGATACTGTCTAGTTTTTATACGAAGATATTTCCTTTTGTACCATTGGCCTCATACTGCTAGAATTTTCCACTTGCAAATTCCACAAAAAGAGGGTTTCCAATCCGCTCTGTCTAAAGGAAGGTTCAACTCTCTGATTTGAATACATACATCCCAAAAGAAGTTAGTGAGAATTCTTCTGTCTAGCATTATGTGAAGAAATCCCGTTTCCAACGAAAGCCTCAAAGAGGTCCAAATATCCAGTTGCAGAATTTACAAACTGACTGTTTCCAAACTCATCTATGAAAAGAAAGGTTAAACTCTGTGAGTTGAATGCCCATATCACAAAGTAGTTCCTGAGAATGATTCTGTATAGTTTTCATACGAAGATATTTCCTTTTCCACCAATGGCCTCAAAGTGCTTGAAATCTCCCCTTGCAAATTCCACAGACAAGTGTTTCAAATCTGCACTGTCTAAAGGATGGTTCAACCCTGTGAGTTGAATACACACACACAGAAAAAAATTCACTGAGAATTCTATTGTCTATCATTACACGAAGAAATCCCGTTTACCACGAAGGCCTCAAAGAGGTCCAAATATCCAGCTGCAGACATTACAAACTGAGTGTTTCCAAAGTGCTCTATGAAAAGAAGTGTTAAACACTGTGAGTTCAATGCACACATCCCAAAGCAGTTTCTGAGAATGATTCCGTCTATTTTTTCTACGAAGATATTTCCTTTTCTGCCGTTGGCCTCAAAGCGCTTGAAATCTCCACTTGCAAATTCCACAAAAAGAGAGTTTCAAATCTGCTCTGTCTAAAGGAAGGTTCAACTCTGTGAGTTGAATACACACCACAAAAAGAAGTTACTGAGAATTCTCTGTCTAGCATTATATGAAAAATCCCGTTTCCAACGAAGGCCACAAAGAGGTCCAAATATCCACTTGCAGATTCTGCAAAAAGAGTGTCTCCAAACTGCTCTATGAAAAGAAACGTTAAACTCTGTGAGTTGAATGCAAACATCACAAAGTAGTTTCTGAGAATGACTCCGTCTAGTTTTTATACGAAGATATTTCCTTTTCTACCGTTGGCCTCAAAGCGCTTGAAGTCTCCCCCTGAAAATTCCACAAAAAGTGTTTCCAATCTGCTCCGCCTAAAGGAAGCTTCAACTCTGTGAGTTGAATACCCACAACACAAAGAAGTTACTGAGAATTCTTCTGTCTAGCATTATATGAAGAAATCCCGTTTCCAACGAAGGCCTCAAATACATCCAAATATCCAGTGGCTGACTTTACAAACTGAGTGTTTCCAAACTGCTCTATGAAAGGAAAGGTTAAACACTGTGAGTTGAACACACACGTACCAAAGTAGTTTCTGAGAATGATTCTGTCTAGTTGGCATACGAAGATATTTCCTTTTCTACCATTGGCCTCAATGCTTTGAAATCTCCACTTGCAAATTCCACAAAAAGAGAGTTTCATATCTGCTGTTTCTAAAGGAAAGTTCAACTCTGAGAGTTGAATACACACCAGAAAAACCAGTTACTGAGAAGTCTTCTGTCTAGCATTATATGAAGAAATCCCATTTCCAACGAAGACTTCAAAGAGGTCCAAATATCCACTTCCAGATTCCGCAAAAAGGGTGTTTCGAAACAACTGTATGAAAAGAAAGGTTAAACACTGTGAGTTGAAGGCACACATTGCAAAGCAGTTTCTGAGAATGAATCCATCTAATTATTATACGAAGGTATTTCCTTTTCTATCATGGGCCTCAAAGCGCTTGATACCTCCACGTGAACATTCCACAAAAAGAGTGTTTCCAATCTACTCTGTCTAAGGGAACGTTCAACTCTGTGAGTTGAGTACACACACACAGAAAGAATTCACTGAGAGTTCTTCTGTCTGGGATTACATGAAGAAATCCCGTTTCCAACGAAGGCCTCAAAGAGGTCCAAATATCCACTTGCAGATTCTGGAAAAAGAGTGTTTCAAAACCGCTTTATGAAAAGGAATGTTGAACTCTGTGAGTTGAATGCAAACATCACAACTCAGTTTCTGAGAATGCTTCTGACTAGATTTTATGGTCAGATATTTCCTTTTCTACCGTAGGCCTCAATGCCCTCTAAATACACCCTTGCAAATTCTACAAAGAGACTGTTTAATAACTGCTCTATAGGAAGAAAGGTTGAACTCTGTGAGTTGAATGCAGAGATCACAACGTGGTTTCGGCGAATGATTCTTTGCAGTTTTTACATGAAGATATTTCGTTGTCTACCATAGGCTTCAAAGCACTCAAAGTATTCACTTGGAACTTTTACAAAAAGAGTGTTAGAAAACTGCTCTTTCCGAAGTAAGGTTCAACTCTGTGAGTTGAATGCACACATAACAAACAAGAAGTTTCTGAGAATTCTTCTGTCCTGGTTTATATGAAAAAATCCCGTTTCCAACGAAGGCCTCAAAGACGTTTAAATATCCTCTTGCAGACTTCACAAACAGAGTGTTTCCAAACTGCTCTATGAAAAGAAAGGTTAAACTCTGTGAGTTGAACGCACACATCACAAAGTAGTTTCTGAGAATGATACTGTCTAGTTTTTATACGGAGATATTTCCTTTCCTACCATTGGCGTCAAAGCGCTAGAATTCTCCACTTGCCAATTCCACAAAAAGTGGGTTTCCAATCTGCTCTGCCTAAAGGAAGGTTCAACTCTGTGAGTTGAATACACACACACAAAGAAGCTACTGAGAATTCTTTTGTCAAGAATTATAAGAAGAAATCCCGTTTCCAACGAAGGCCTCAAAGAGTTCCAAATATCCACTTGCACACTGTACAAACTAAGTCTTTCCAAACTGCTCTATGCAAAGAAATGTTCAACTCTGTGAGTTTAATGCACACATCACAAAGCAGTTTCTGAGAATGATACTGTCTAGTTTTTATACGAACATATTTCCTTTTGTACCATTGGCCTCATACTGCTAGAATTTTCCACTTGCAAATTCCACAAAAAGAGTGTTTCCAATCCGCTCTGTCTAAAGGAAGGTTCAACTCTCTGATTTGAATACATACATCCCAAAAGAAGTTACTGAGAATTCTTCTGTCTAGCATTATGTGAAGAAATCCCGTTTCCAACGAAAGCCTCAAAGAGGTCCAAATATCCAGTTGCAGAATTTACAAACTGACTGTTTCCAAACTCATCTATGAAAAGAAAGGTTAAACTCTGTGAGTTGAATGCACATATCACAAAGTAGTTCCTGAGAATGATTCTGTCTAGTTTTTATACGAAGATATTTCCTTTTCCACCAATGGCCTCAAAGTGCTTGAAATCTCCCCTTGCAAATTCCACAGACAAGTGTTTCAAATCTGCACTGTCTAAAGGAAGGTTCAACCCTGTGAGTTGAATACACACACACAGAAAAAAATTCACTGAGAATTCTATTGTCTATCATTACACGAAGAAATCCCGTTTACTACGAAGGCCTCAAAGAGGTCCAAATATCCAGCTGCAGACATTACAAACTGAGTGTTTCCAAAGTGCTCTATGAAAAGAAGTGTTAAACACTGTGAGTTCAATGCACACATCCCAAAGCAGTTTCTGAGAATGATTCCGTCTATTTTTTCTACGAAGATATTTCCTTTTCTGCCGTTGGCCTCAAAGCGCTTGAAATCTCCACTTGCAAATTCCACAAAAAGAGAGTTTCAAATCTGCTCTGTCTAAAGGAAGGTTCAACTCTGTGAGTTGAATACACACCACAAAAAGAAGTTACTGAGAATTCTTCTGTCTAGCATTATATGAAAAATCCCGTTTCCAACGAAGGCCACAAAGAGGTCCAAATATCCACTTGCAGATTCTGCAAAAAGAGTGTTTCCAAACTGCTCTATGAAAAGAAACGTTAAACTCTGTGAGTTGAACGCAAACATCACAAAGTAGTTTCTGAGAATGACTCCGTCTAGTTTTTATACGAAGATATTTCCTTTCCTACCATTCACTTCAAAGCGCTTGAAGTCTCCCTCTGAAAATTCCACAAAAAGTGTTTCCAATCTGCTCCGCCTAAAGGAAGCTTCAACTCTGTGACTTGAATACCCACAACCCAAAGAAGTTACTGAGAATTCTTCTGTCTAGCATTACATGAAGAAATCCCGTTTCCAACGAAGGCCTCAAATACATCAAGATATCCAGTTGCTGACTTTACAAACTGAGTGTTTCCAAACTGCTCTATGAAAGGAAAGGTTAAACACTGTGAGTTGAACACACACGTACCAAAGTAGTTTCTGAGAATGATTCTGTCTAGTTTGCATACGAAGATATTTCCTTTTCTACCATTGGCCTCAAAGCTTTGAAATCTCCACTTGCAAATTCCACAAAAAGAGAGTTTCAAATCTGCTGTTTCTAAAGGAAAGTTCAACTCTGAGAGTTGAATACACACCAGAAAAAGCAGTTACTGAGAAGTCTTCTGTCTAGCATTATATGAAGAAATCCCATTTCCAACGAAGCCTTCAAAGAGGTCCAAATATCCACTTGCAGATTCTGCAAAAAGAGTGTTTCGAAACAACTGTATGAAAAGAAAGGTTAAACGCTGTGAGTTGAAGGCACACATTGCAAAGCAGTTTCTGAGAATGATTCCGTCTAATTATTATATGAAGGTATTTCCTTTTCTATCATGGGCCTCAAAGCCCTTGATACCTCCACCTGAAAATTCCACAAAAAGAGTGTTTCCAATCTACTCTGTCTAAAGGAACGTTCAACTCTGTGAGTTGAATACACACACACAGAAAGAATTCACTGAGAGTTCTTCTGTCTGGCATTACATGAAGAAATCCCGTTCCCAACGAAGGCCTCAAAGAGGTCCAAATATCCACTTGCAGATTCTGCAAAAAGAGTGTTTCAAAACCGCTCCATGAAAAGGAATGTTGAACTCTGTGAGTTGAATGCAAACATCACAACTCAGTTTCTGAGAATGCTTCTGACTAGATTTTATGGTCAGATATTTCCTTTTCTACCGTAGGCCTCAATGCCCTCTAAATACACCCTTGCAAATTCTACAAAGAGACTGTTTCATAACTGCTCTATAGGAAGAAAGGTTGAACTCTGTGAGTTGAATGCAGAGATCACAACGTGGTTTCGGCGAATGATTCTTTGCAGTTTTTACATGAAGATATTTCGTTGTCTACCGTAGGCTTCAAAGCACTCAAAGTATTCACTTGGAACTTTTACAAAAAGAGTGTTAGAAAACTGCTCTTTCCGAAGTAAGGTTCAACTCTGTGAGTTGAATGCACACATAACAAACAAGAAGTTTCTGAGAATTCTTCAGTCCTGGTTTATATGAAAAAATCCCGTTTCCAACGAAGGCCTCAAAGACGTTTAAATATCCTCTTGCAGACTTCACAAACAGAGTGTTTCCAAACTGCTCTATGAAAAGAAAGGTTAAACTCTGTGAGTTGAACGCACACATCACAAAGTAGTTTCTGAGAATGATACTGTCTAGTTTTTATACGGAGATATTTCCTTTCCTACCATTGGCGTCAAAGCGCTAGAATTCTCCACTTGCAAATTCCACAAAAAGTGGGTTTCCAATCTGCTCTGCCTAAAGGCAGGTTCAACTCTGTGAGTTGAATACACACACACAAAGAAGCTACTGAGAATTCTTTTGTCAAGAATTATAAGAAGAAATCCCGTTTCCAACGAAGGCCTCAAAGAGTTCCAAATATCCACTTGCACACTGCACAAACTAAGTCTTTCCAAACTGCTCTATGCAAAGAAATGTTCAACTCTGTGAGTTTAATACACACATCACAAAGCAGTTTCTGAGAATGATAACTGTCTAGTTTTTATACGAAGATATTTCCTTTTGTACCATTGGCCTCATACTGCTAGAATTTTCCACTTGCAAATTCCACAAAAAGAGTGTTTCCAATCCGCTCTGTCTAAAGGAAGGTTCAACTCTCTGAGTTGAATACATACATCCCAAAAGAAGTTACTGAGAATTCTTCTGTCTAGCATTATGTGAAGAAATCCCGTTTCCAACGAAAGCCTCAAAGAGGTCCAAATATCCAGTTGCAGAATTTACAAACTGACTGTTTCCAAACTCATCTATGAAAAGAAAGGTTAAACTCTGTGAGTTGAATGCACATATCACAAAGTAGTTCCTGAGAATGATTCTGTCTAGTTTTTATACGAAGATATTTCCTTTTCCACCAATGGCCTCAAAGTGCTTGAAATCTCCCCTTGCAAATTCCACAGACAAGTGTTTCAAATCTGCACTGTCTAAAGGAAGGTTCAACCCTGTGAGTTGAATACACACACACAGAAACAAATTCACTGAGAATTCTATTGTCTATCATTACACGAAGAAATCCCGTTTACTACGAAGGCCTCAAAGAGGTCCAAATATCCAGCTGCAGACATTACAAACTGAGTGTTTCCAAAGTGCTCTATGAAAAGAAGTGTTAAACACTGTGAGTTCAATGCACACATCCCAAAGCAGTTTCTGAGAATGATTCCGTCTATTTTTTCTACGAAGATATTTCCTTTTCTGCCGTTGGCCTCAAAGCGCTTGAAATCTCCACTTGCAAATTCCACAAAAAGAGAGTTTCAAATCTGCTCTGTCTAAAGGAAGGTTCAACTCTGTGAGTTGAATACACACCACAAAAAGAAGTTACTGAGAATTCTTCTGTCTAGCATTATATGAAAAATCCCGTTTCCAACGAAGGCCACAAAGAGGTCCAAATATCCACTTGCAGATTCTGCAAAAAGAGTGTTTCCAAACTGCTCTATGAAAAGAAACGTTAAACTCTGTGAGTTGAACGCAAACATCACAAAGTAGTTTCTGAGAATGACTCCGTCTAGTTTTTATACGAAGATATTTCCTTTCCTACCATTCACTTCAAAGCGCTTGAAGTCTCCCCCTGAAAATTCCACAAAAAGTGTTTCCAATCTGCTCCGCCTAAAGGAAGCTTCAACTCTGTGACTTGAATACCCACAACCCAAAGAAGTTACTGAGAATTCTTCTGTCTAGCATTATATGAAGAAATCCCGTTTCCAACGAAGGCCTCAAATACATCCAAATATCCAGTTGCTGACTTTACAAACTGAGTGTTTCCAAACTGCTCTATGAAAAGAAAGGTTACACACTGTGAGTTGAACACACACGTACCAAAGTAGTTTCTGAGAATGATTCTGTCTAGTTTGCATACGAAGATATTTCCTTTTCTACCATTGGCCTCAAAGCTCTGAAATCTCCACTTGCAAATTCCACAAAAAGAGAGTTTCAAATCTGCTGTTTCTAAAGGAAAGTTCAACTCTGAGAGTTGAATACACACCAGAAAAAGCAGTTACTGAGAAGTCTTCTGTCTAGCATTATATGAAGAAATCCCATTTCCAACGAAGACTTCAAAGAGGTCCAAATATCCACTTGCAGATTCTGCAAAAAGAGTGTTTCGAAACAAAACTGTATGAAAAGAAAGGTTAAACACTGTGAGTTGAACGCACACATTGCAAAGCAGTTTCTGAGAATGATTCCGTCTAATTATTATACGAAGGTATTTCCTTTTCTATCATTGGCCTCAAAGCGCTTGATACCTCCACCTGAAAATTCCACAAAAAGAGTGTTTCCAATCTACTCTGTCTAAAGGAACGTTCAACTCCGTGAGTTGAATACACACACACAGAAAGAATTCACTGAGAATTCTTCTGTCTGGCATTACATGAAGAAATCCCGTTTCCAACGAAGGCCTCAAAGAGGTCCAAATATCCACTTGCAGATTCTGCAAAAAGAGTGTTTCAAAACCGCTCCATGAAAAGGAATGTTGAACTCTGTGAGTTGAATGCAAACATCACAACTCAGTTGCTGAGAATGCTTCTGACTAGATTTTATGGTAAGATATTTCCTTTTATACCGTAGGCTTCAATGCCCTCTAAATACACCCTTGCAAATTCTACAAAGAGACTGTTTCATAACTGCTCTATAGGAAGAAAGGTTCAACTCTGTGAGTTGAATGCAGAGATCACAACGTGGTTTCTGCGAATGATTCTTTGTAGTTTTTACATGAAGATATTTCGTTGTCAACCGTAGGCTTCAAAGCACTCAAAGTATTCACTTGGAACTTTTACAAAAAGAGTGTTAGAAAACTGCTCTTTCCAAAGTAAGGTTCTACTCTGTGAGTTGAATGCACACATAACAATCAAGAAGTTTCTGAGAATTCTTCTGTCCTGGTTTATATGAAAAAATCCCGTTTCCAACGAAGGCCTCAAAGACGTTTAAATATCCACTTGCAGACTTCACAAACAGAGGGTTTCCAAACCGCTCTATGAAAAGAAAGGTTAAACTCTGTGAGTTGAACGCACACATCACAAAGTAGCTTCTGAGAATGATACTGTCTAGTTTTTATACGAAGATATTTCCTTTCTACCATTGGCGTCAAAGCGCTAGAATTCTCCACTTGCAAATTCCACAAAAAGAGTGTTTCCAATCTGCTCTGTCTAAAGGAAGGTTCAACTCTGTGAGTTGAATACACACACACAAAGAAGCTACTGAGAATTCTTTTGTCAAGAAGTATAAGAAGAAATCCCTTTTCCAACGAAGGCCTCAAAGAGTTCCAAATATCCACTTGCACACTGTACAAACTAAGTCTTTCCAAACTGCTCTATGCAAAGAAATGTTCAACTCTGTGAGTTCAATGCACACATCACAAAGCAGTTTCTGAGAATGTTTCCCTCTAGTTTTTATACGAAGATAGCCTTTTCTACCATTGGCCTCAAGGCTCTTGGAATCTCCACCTGAAAATTCCGCAAAAAGCGTGTTTCCAATGCGCTCTGTCTAAAGGAAGGTTCAACTCTCTGAGTTCAATACATACATCCCAAAGGAAGTTACTGCGAATTCTTCTGTCTAGCATTATGTGAAGAAATCCCGTTTCCAACGAAAGCCTCAAAGAGGTCCAAATATCCAGTTGCAGAATTTACAAACTGACTGTTTCCAAACTCATCTATGAAAAGAAAGGTTAAACCCTGTGAGTTGAATGCACATATCACAAAGTAGTTCCTGAGAATGATTCTGTCTAGTTTTTATACGAAGATATTTCCTTTTCCACCAATGGCCTCAAAGTGCTTGAAATCTCCCCTTGCAAATTCCACAGAAAAGTGTTTCAAATCTGCACTGTCTGAAGGAAGGTTCAACCCTGTGAGTTGAATACACACACACAGAAAAAAATTCACTGAGAATTCTATTGTCTATCATTACACGAAGAAATCCCGTTTACTACGAAGGCCTCAAAGAGGTCCAAATATCCAGCTGCAGACATTACAAACTGAGTGTTTCCAAAGTGCTCTATGAAAAGAAGTGTTAAACACTGTGAGTTCAATGCACACATCCCAAAGCTGTTTCTGAGAATGATGCCGTCTATTTTTTCTACGAAGATATTTCCTTTTCTGCCGTTGGCCTCAAAGCGCTTGAAATCTCCACTTGCAAATTCCACAAAAAGAGAGTTTCAAATCTGCTCTGTCTAAAGGAAGGTTCAACTCTGTGAGTTGAATACACACCACAAAAAGAAGTTACTGAGAATTCTTCTGTCTAGCATTATATGAAAAATCCCGTTTCCAACGAAGGCCACAAAGAGGTCCAAATATCCACTTGCAGATTCTGCAAAAAGAGTGTTTCCAAACTGCTCTATGAAAAGAAACGTTAAACTCTGTGAGTTGAACGCAAACATCACAAAGTAGTTTCTGAGAATGACTCCGTCTAGTTTTTATACGAAGATATTTCCTTTCCTACCATTCACTTCAAAGCGCTTGAAGTCTCCCCCTGAAAATTCCACAAAAAGTGTTTCCAATCTGCTCCGCCTAAAGGAAGCTTCAACTCTGTGAGTTGAATACCCACAACCCAAAGAAGTTACTGAGAATTCTTCTGTCTAGCATTATATGAAGAAATCCCGTTTCCAACGAAGGCCTCAAATACATCCAAATATCCAGTTGCTGACTTTACAAACTGAGTGTTTCCAAACTGCTCTATGAAAAGAAAGGTTAAACACTGTGAGTTGAACACACACGTACCAAAGTAGTTTCTGAGAATGATTCTGTCTAGTTTGCATACGAAGATATTTCCTTTTCTACCATTGGCCTCAAAGCTCTGAAATCTCCACTTGCAAATTCCACAAAAAGAGAGTTTCAAATCTGCTGTTTCTAAAGGAAAGTTCAACTCTGAGAGTTGAATACACACCAGAAAAAGCAGTTACTGAGAAGTCTTCTGTCTAGCATTATATGAAGAAATCCCATTTCCAACGAAGACTTCAAAGAGGTCCAAATATCCACTTGCAGATTCTGCAAAAAGAGTGTTTCGAAACAACTGTATGAAAAGAAAGGTTAAACACTGTGAGTTGAACGCACACATTGCAAAGCAGTTTCTGAGAATGATTCCGTCTAATTATTATACGAAGGTATTTCCTTTTCTATCATTGGCCTCAAAGCGCTTGATACCTCCACCTGAAAATTCCACAAAAAGAGTGTTTCCAATCTACTCTGTCTAAAGGAATGTTCAACTCTGTGAGTTGAATACACACACACAGAAAGAATTCACTGAGAATTCTTCTGTCTGGCATTACATGAAGAAATCCCGTTTCCAACGAAGGCCTCAAAGAGGTCCAAATATCCACTTGCAGATTCTGCACAAAGAGTGTTTCAAAACCGCTCCATTAAAAGGAATGTTGAACTCTGTGAGTTGAATGCAAACATCACAACTCAGTTTCTGAGAATGCTTCTGACTAGATTTTATGGTAAGATATTTCCTTTTCTACCGTAGGCTTCAATGCCCTCTAAATACACCCTTGCAAATTCTACAAAGAGACTGTTTCACAACTGCTCTATAGGAAGAAAGGTTCAACTCTGTGAGTTGAATGCAGAGATCACAACGTGGTTTCTGCGAATGATTCTTTGTAGTTTTTACAGGAAGATATTTCGTTGTCAACCGTAGGCTTCAAAGCACTCAAAGTATTCACTTGGAACTTTTACAAAAAGAGTGTTAGAAAACTGCTCTTTCCAAAGTAAGGTTCAACTCTGTGAGTTGAATGCACACATAACAATCAAGAAGTTTCTGAGAATTCTTCTGTCCTGGTTTATATGAAAAAATCCCGTTTCCAACGAAGGCCTCAAAGACGTTTAAATATCCACTTGCAGACTTCACAAACAGAGTGTTTCCAAACTGCTCTATGAAAAGAAAGGTTAAACTCTGTGAGTTGAACGCACACATCACAAAGTAGCTTCTGAGAATGATACTGTCTAGTTTGCATACGAAGATATTTCCTTTCTACCATTGGCGTCAAAGCGCTAGAATTCTCCACTTGCAAATTCCACAAAAAGAGTGTTTCCAATCTGCTCTGTCTAAAGGAAGGTTCAACTCTGTGAGTTGAATACACACACACAAAGAAGCTACTGAGAATTCTTTTGTCAAGAATTATAAGAAGAAATCCCGTTTCCAACGAAGGCCTCAAAGAGTTCCAAATATCCACTTGCACACTGCACAAACTAAGTCTTTCCAAACTGCTCTATGCAAAGAAATGTTCAACTCTGTGAGTTTAATACACACATCACAAAGCAGTTTCTGAGAATGATACTGTCTAGTTTTTATACGAACATATTTCCTTTTGTACCATTGGCCTCATACTGCTAGAATTTTCCACTTGCAAATTCCACAAAAAGAGTGTTTCCAATCCGCTCTGTCTAAAGGAAGGTTCAACTCTCTGATTTGAATACATACATCCCAAAAGAAGTTACTGAGAATTCTTCTGTCTAGCATTATGTGAAGAAATCCCGTTTCCAACGAAAGCCTCAAAGAGGTCCAAATATCCAGTTGCAGAATTTACAAACTGACTGTTTCCAAACTCATCTATGAAAAGAAAGGTTAAACTCTGTGAGTTGAATGCACATATCACAAAGTAGTTCCTGAGAATGATTCTGTCTAGTTTTTATACGAAGATATTTCCTTTTCCACCAATGGCCTCAAAGTGCTTGAAATCTCCCCTTGCAAATTCCACAGAAAAGTGTTTCAAATCTGCACTGTCTGAAGGAAGGTTCAACCCTGTGAGTTGAATACACACACACAGAAAGAAATTCACTGAGAATTACATTGTCTATCATTACACGAAGAAATCCCGTTTACTACGAAGGCCTCAAAGAGGTCCAAATATCCAGCTGCAGACATTACAAACTGAGTGTTTCCAAAGTGCTCTATGAAAAGAAGTGTTAAACACTGTGAGTTCAATGCACACATCCCAAAGCAGTTTCTGAGAATGATTCCGTCTATTTTTTCTACGAAGATATTTCCTTTTCTACCGTTGGCCTCAAAGCGCTTGAAATCTCCACTTGCAAATTCCACGAAAAGAGAGTTTCAAATCTGCTCTGTCTAAAGGAAGGTTCAACTCTGTGAGTTGAATACACACCACAAAAAGAAGTTACTGAGAATTCTTCTGTCTAGCATTATATGAAAAATCCCGTTTCCAACGAAGGCCACAAAGAGGTCCAAATATCCACTTGCAGATTCTGCAAAAAGAGTGTTTCCAAACTGCTCTATGAAAAGAAACGTTAAACTCTGTGAGTTGAACGCAAACATCACAAAGTAGTTTCTGAGAATGACTCCGTCTAGTTTTTATACGAAGATATTTCCTTTCCTACCATTCACTTCAAAGCGCTTGAAGTCTCCCCCTGAAAATTCCACAAAAAGTGTTTCCAATCTGCTCCGCCTAAAGGAAGCTTCAACTCTGTGACTTGAATACCCACAACCCAAAGAAGTTACTGAGAATTCTTCTGTCTCGCATTATATGAAGAAATCCCGTTTCCAACGAAGGCCTCAAATACATCAAAATATCCAGTTGCTGACTTTACAAACTGAGTGTTTCCAAAGTGCTCTAGGAAAAGAAGTGTTAAACACTGTGAGTTCAATGCACACATCCCAAAGAAGTTTCTGAGAATGATTCTATCTAGTTTGCATACGAAGATATTTCCTTTTCTACCATTGGCCTCAAAGCTCTGAAATCTCCACTTACAAATTCCACAAAAAGAGAGTTTCAAATCTGCTGTTTCTAAAGGAAAGTTCAACTCTGAGAGTTGAATACACACCAGAAAAAGCAGTTACTGAGAAGTCTTCTGTCTAGCATTATATGAAGAAATCCCATTTCCAACGAAGACTTCAAAGAGGTCCAAATATCCACTTGCAGATTCTGCAAAAAGAGTGTTTCGAAACAACTGTATGAAAAGAAAGGTTAAACACTGTGAGTTGAACGCACACATTGCAAAGCAGTTTCTGAGAATGATTCCGTCTAATTATTATACGAAGGGTATTTCCTTTTCTATCATTGGCCTCAAAGCGCTTGATACCTCCACCTGAAAATTCCACAAAAAGAGTGTTTCCAATCTACTCTGTCTAAAGGAACGTTCAACTCCGTGAGTTGAATACACACACACAGAAAGAATTCACTGAGAATTCTTCTGTCTGGCATTACATGAAGAAATCCCGTTTCCAACGAAGGCCTCAAAGAGGTCCAAATATCCACTTGCAGATTCTGCAAAAAGAGTGTTTCAAAACCGCTCCATTAAAAGGAATGTTTAACTCTGTGAGTTGAATGCAAACATCACAACTCAGTTTCTGAGAATGCTTCTGACTAGATTTTATGGTAAGATATTTCCTTTTCTACCGTAGGCTTCAATGCCCTGTAAATACACCCTTGCAAATTCTACAAAGAGACTGCTTCATAACTGCTCTATAGGAAGAAAGGTTCAACTCTGTGAGTTGAATGCAGAGATCACAACGTGGTTTCTGCGAATGATTCTTTGTAGTTTTTACATGAAGATATTTCGTTGTCAACCGTAGGCTTCAAAGCACTCAAAGTATTCACTTGGAACTTTTACAAAAAGAGTGTTAGAAAACTGCTCTTTCCAAAGTAAGGTTCAACTCTGTGAGTTGAATGCACACATAACAATCAAGAAGTTTCTGAGAATTCTTCTGTCCTGGTTTATAGGAACAAATCCCGTTTCCAACGAAGGCCTCAAAGACGTTTAAATATCCACTTGCAGACTTCACAAACAGAGGGTTTCCAAACTGCTCTATGAAAAGAAAGGTTAAACTCTGTGAGTTGAACGCACACATCACAAAGTAGTTTCTGAGAATGATACTGTCTAGTTTTTATACGAAGATATTTCCTTTCTACCATTGGCGTCAAAGCGCTAGAATTCTCCACTTGCAAATTCCACAAAAAGAGTGTTTCCAATCTGCTCTGTCTAAAGGAAGGTTCAACTCTGTGAGTTGAATACACACACACAAAGAAGCTACTGAGAATTCTTTTGTCAAGAATTATAAGAAGAAATCCCGTTTCCAACGAAGGCCTCAAAGAGTTCCAAATATCCACTTGCACACTGCACAAACTAAGTCTTTCCAAACTGCTCTATGCAAAGAAATGTTCAACTCTGTGAGTTTAATACACACATCACAAAGCAGTTTCTGAGAATGATACTGTCTAGTTTTTATACGAAGATATTTCCTTTTGTACCATTGGCCTCATACTGCTAGAATTTTCCACTTGCAAATTCCACAAAAAGAGTGTTTCCAATCCGCTCTGTCTAAAGGAAGGTTCAACTCTCTGATTTGAATACATACATCCCAAAAGAAGTTACTGAGAATTCTTCTGTCTAGCATTATGTGAAGAAATCCCGTTTCCAACGAAAGCCTCAAAGAGGTCCAAATATCCAGTTGCAGAATTTACAAACTGACTGTTTCCAAACTCATCTATGAAAAGAAAGGTTAAACTCTGGGAGTTGAATGCCCATATCACAAAGTAGTTCCTGAGAATGATTCTGTCTAGTTTTCATACGAAGATATTTCCTTTTCCACCAATGGCCTCAAAGTGCTTGAAATCTCCCCTTGCAAATTCCACAGACAAGTGTTTCAAATCTGCACTGTCTAAAGGATGGTTCAACCCTGTGAGTTGAATACACACACACAGAAAAAAATTCACTGAGAATTCTATTGTCTATCATTACACGAAGAAATCCCGTTTACTACGAAGGCCTCAAAGAGGTCCAAATATCCAGCTGCAGACATTATAAACTGAGTGTTTCCAAAGTGCTCTATGAAAAGAAGTGTTAAACACTGTGAGTTCAATGCACACATCCCAAAGCAGTTTCCTGAGAATGATTCCGTCTATTTTTTCTACGAAGATATTTCCTTTTCTGCCGTTGGCCTCAAAGCGCTTGAAATCTCCACTTGCAAATTCCACAAAAAGAGAGTTTCAAATCTGCTCTGTCTAAAGGAAGGTTCAACTCTGTGAGTTGAATACACACCACAAAAAGAAGTTACTGAGAATTCTTCTGTCTAGCATTATATGAAAAATCCCGTTTCCAACGAAGGCCACAAAGAAGTCCAAATATCCACTTGCAGATTCTGCAAAAAGAGTGTTTCCAAACTGCTCTATGAAAAGAAACGTTAAACTCTGTGAGTTGAACGCAAACATCACAAAGTAGTTTCTGAGAATGACTCCGTCTAGTTTTTATACGAAGATATTTCCTTTCCTACCATTCACTTCAAAGCGCTTGAAGTCTCCCCCTGAAAATTCCACAAAAAGTGTTTCCAATCTGCTCCGCCTAAAGGAAGCTTCAACTCTGTGACTTGAATACCCACAACCCAAAGAAGTTACTGAGAATTCTTCTGTCTAGCATTATATGAAGAAATCCCGTTTCCAACGAAGGCCTCAAATACATCCAAATATCCAGTTGCTGACTTTACAAACTGAGTGTTTCCAAACTGCTCTATGAAAAGAAAGATTAAACACTGTGAGTTGAACACACACGTACCAAAGTAGTTTCTGAGAATGATTCTGTCTAGTTTGCATACGAAGATATTTCCTTTTCTACCATTGGCCTCAAAGCTTTGAAATCTCCACTTGCAAATTCCACAAAAAGAGAGTTTCAAATCTGCTGTTTCTAAAGGAAAGTTCAACTCTGAGAGTTGAATACACACCAGAAAAAGCAGTTACTGAGAAGTCTTCTGTCTAGCATTATATGAAGAAATCCCATTTCCAACGAAGACTTCAAAGAGGTCCAAATATCCACTTGCAGATTCTGCAAAAAGAGTGTTTCGAAACAACTGTATGAAAAGAAAGGTTAAACACTGTGAGTTGAACGCACACATTGCAAAGCAGTTTCTGAGAATGATTCCGTCTAATTATTATACGAAGGTATTTCCTTTTCTATCATTGGCCTCAAAGCGCTTGATACCTCCAACTGAAAATTCCACAAAAAGAGTGTTTCCAATCTACTCTGTCTAAAGGAACGTTCAACTCTGTGAGTTGAATACACACACACAGAAAGAATTCACTGAGAATTCTTCTGTCTGGCATTACATGAAGAAATCCCGTTTCCAACGAAGGCCTCAAAGAGGTCCAAATATCCACTTGCAGATTCTGCAAAAAGAGTGTTTCAAAACCGCTCCATTAAAAGGAATGTTGAACTCTGTGAGTTGAATGCAAACATCACAACTCAGTTGCTGAGAATGCTTCTGACTAGATTTTATGGTAAGATATTTCCTTTTCTACCGTAGGCTTCAATGCCCTCTAAATACACCCTTGCAAATTCTACAAAGAGACTGTTTCATAACTGCTCTATAGGAAGAAAGGTTGAACTCTGTGAGTTGAATGCAGAGATCACAACGTGGTTTCTGCGAATGATTCTTTGTAGTTTTTACATGAAGATATTTCGTTGTCAACCGTAGGCTTCAAAGCACTCAAAGTATTCACTTGGAACTTTTACAAAACGAGTGTTAGGAAACTGCTCTTTCCAAAGTAAGGTTCAACTCTGTGAGTTGAATGCACACATAACAATCAAGAAGTTTCTGAGAATTCTTCTGTCCTGGTTTATATGAAAAAATCCCGTTTCCAACGAAGGCCTCAAAGGCGTTTAAATATCCACTTGCAGACATCACAAACAGAGTGTTTCCAAACTGCTCTATGAAAAGAAAGGTTAAACTCTGTGAGTTGAACGCACACATCACAAAGTAGTTTCTGAGAATGATACTGTCCAGTTTTTATACGAAGAGATTTCCTTTCCTACCATTGGCGTCAAAGCGCTAGAATTCTCCACTTGCAAATTCCACAAAAAGAGGGTTTCCAATCTGCTCTGCCTAAAGGAAGGTTCAACTCTGTGAGTTGAATACACACACACAAAGAAGCTACTGAGAATTCTTTTGTCAAGAATTATAAGAAGAAATCCCGTTTCCAACGAAGGCCTCAAAGAGTTCCAAATATCCACTTGCACACTTTGCAAACTAAGTCTTTCCAAATTGCTCTATGCAAAGAAATGTTCAACTCTGTGAGTTTAATGCACACATCACAAAGCAGTTTCTGAGAATGATTCCCTCTAGTTTTTATACGAAGATAGCCTTTTCTACCACTGGCCTCAAGGCTCTTGGAATCTCCACCTGAAAATTCCGCAAAAAGCGTGTTTCCAATCCGCTCTGTCTAAAGGAAGGTTCAACTCTCTGAGTTGAATACATACATCTCAAAAGAAGTTACTGCGAATTCTTCTGTCTAGCATTATGTGAAGAAATCCCGTTTCCAACGAAAGCCTCAAAGAGGTCCAAATATCCAGTTGCAGAATTTCCAAACTGACTGTTTCCAAACTCATCTATGAAAAGAAAGGTTAAAACCTGTGAGTTGAATGCACATATCACAAAGTAGTTCCTGAGAATGATTCTGTCTAGTTTTTATACGAAGATATTCCCTTTTCCACCAATGGCCTCAAAGTGCTTGAAATCTCCCCTTACAAATTCCACAGAAAAGTGTTTCAAATCTGCACTGTCTGAAGGAAGGTTCAACCCTGTGAGTTGAATACACACACACAGAAAAAAATTCACTGAGAATTCTATTGTCTATCATTACACGAAGAAATCCCGTTTACTACGAAGGCCTCAAAGAGGTCCACATATCCAGCTGCAGACATTACAAACTGAGTGTTTCCAAAGTGCTCTATGAAAAGAAGTGTTAAACACTGTGAGTTCAATGCACACATCCCAAAGCAGTTTCTGAGAATGATTCCGTCTATTTTTTCTACGAAGATATTTCCTTTTCTACCGTTGGCCTCAACGTGCTTGAAATCTCCAATGCAAATTCCACAAAAAGAGAGTTTCAAATCTGCTCTGTCTAAAGGAAGGTTCAACTCTGTGAGTTGAATACACACCACAAAAAGAAGTTACTGAGAATTCTTCTGTCTAGCATTATATGAAAAATCCCGTTTCCAACGAAGGCCACAAAGAGGTCCAAATATCCACTTGCAGATTCTGCAAAAACAGTGTCTCCAAACTGCTCTATGAAAAGAAACGTTAAACTCTGTGAGTTGAACGCAAACATCACAAAGTAGTTTCTGAGAATGACTCCGTCTAGTTTTTATACGGAGATATTTCCTTTTCTACCGTTGGCCTGAAAGCGCTTGAAGTCTCCCCCTGAAAATTCCACAAAAAGTGTTTCCAATCTGCTCCGCCTAAAGGAAGCTTCAACTCTGTGAGTTGAATACCCACAACACAAAGAAGTTACTGAGAATTCTTCTGTCTAGCATTATATGAAGAAATCCCGTTTCCAACGAAGGCCTCAAATACATCCAAATATCCAGTGGCTGACTTTACAAACTGAGTGTTTCCAAACTGCTCTATGAAAGGAAAGGTTAAACACTGTGAGTTGAACACACACGTACCAAAGTAGTTTCTGAGAATGATTCTGTCTAGTTTGCATACGAAGGATATTTCCTTTTCTACCATTGGCCTCAAAGCTTTGAAATCTCCACTTGCAAATTCCACAAAAAGAGAGTTTCAACTCTGCTGTTTCTAAAGGAAAGTTCAACTCTGAGAGTTGAATACACACCAGAAAAAGCAGTTACTGAGAAGTCTTCTGTCTAGCATTATATGAAGAAATCCCATTTCCAACGAAGACTTCAAAGAGGTCCAAATATCCACTTGCAGATTCTGCAAAAAGAGTGTTTCGAAACAACTGTATGAAAAGAAAGGTTAAACACTGTGAGTTGAACGCACACATTGCAAAGCAGTTTCTGAGAATGATTCCGTCTAATTATTATACGAAGGGTATTTCCTTTTCTATCATTGGCCTCAAAGCGCTTGATACCTCCACCTGAAAATTCCACAAAAAGAGTGTTTCCAATCTACTCTGTCTAAAGGAACGTTCAACTCCGTGAGTTGAATACACACACACAGAAAGAATTCACTGAGAATTCTTCTGTCTGGCATTACATGAAGAAATCCCGTTTCCAACGAAGGCGTCAAAGAGGTCCAAATATCCACTTGCAGATTCTGCAAAAAGAGTGTTTCAAAACCGCTCCATGAAAAGGAATGTTGAACTCTGTGAGTTGAATGCAAACATCACAACTCAGTTTCTGAGAATGCTTCTGACTAGATTTTATGGTCAGATATTTCCTTTTCTACCGTAGGCTTCAATGCCCTCTAAATACACCCTTGCAAATTCTACAAAGAGACTGTTTCATAACTGCTCTATAGGAAGAAAGGTTGAACTCTGTGAGTTGAATGCAGAGATCACAACGTGGTTTCTGCGAATGATTCTTTGTAGTTTTTACATGAAGATATTTCGTTGTCAACCGTAGGCTTCAAAGCACTCAATGTATTCACTTGGAACTTTTACAAAAAGAGTGTTAGAAAACTGCTCTTTCCAAAGTAAGGTTCAACTCTGTGAGTTGAATGCACCCATAACAATCAAGAAGTTTCTGAGAATTCTTCTGTCCTGGTTTATATGAAGAAATCCCGTTTCCAACGAAGGCCTCAAAGACGTTTAAATATCCACTTGCAGACTTCACAAACAGAGTGTTTCCAAACTGCTCTATGAAAAGAAAGGTTAAACTCTGTGAGTTGAACGCACACATCACAAAGTAGTTTCTGAGAATGATACTGTCTAGTTTTTATACGAAGATATTTCCTTTCTACCATTGGCGTCAAAGCGCTAGAATTCTCCACTTGCAAATTCCACAAAAAGAGTGTTTCCAATCTGCTCTGTCTAAAGGAAGGTTCAACTCTGTGAGTTGAATACACACACACAAAGAAGCTACTGAGAATTCTTTTGTCAAGAATTATAAGAAGAAATCCCGTTTCCAACGAAGGCCTCAAAGAGTTCCAAATATCCACTTGCACACTGCACAAACTAAGTCTTTCCAAACTGCTCTATGCAAAGAAATGTTCAACTCTGTGAGTTTAATTCACACATCACAAAGCAGTTTCTGAGAATGATACTGTCTAGTTTTTATACGAAGATATTTCCTTTTGTACCATTGGCCTCATACTGCTAGAATTTTCCACTTGCAAATTCCACAAAAAGAGTGTTTCCAATCCGCTCTGTCTAAAGGAAGGTTCAACTCTCTGATTTGAATACATACATCCCAAAAGAAGTTACTGAGAATTCTTCTGTCTAGCATTATGTGAAGAAATCCCGTTTCCAACGAAAGCCTCAAAGAGGTCCAAATATCCAGTTGCAGAATTTACAAACTGTTTCCAAACTCATCTATGAAAAGAAAGGTTAAACTCTGTGAGTTGAATGCACATATCACAAAGTAGTTCCTGAGAATGATTCTGTCTAGTTTTTATACGAAGATATTTCCTTTTCCACCAATGGCCTCAAAGTGCTTGAAATCTCCCCTTGCAAATTCCACAGACAAGTGTTTCAAATCTGCACTGTCTAAAGGAAGGTTCAACCCTGTGAGTTGAATACACACACACAGGAAAAAATTGACTGAGAATTCTATTGTCTATCATTACACGAAGAAATCCCGTTTACTACGAAGGCCTCAAAGAGGTCCAAATATCCAGCTGCAGACATTACAAACTGAGTGTTTCCAAAGTGCTCTATGAAAAGAAGTGTTAAACACTGTGAGTTCAATGCACACATCCCAAAGCAGTTTCTGAGAATGATGCCGTCTATTTTTTCTACGAAGATATTTCCTTTTCTGCCGTTGGCCTCAAAGCGCTTGAAATCTCCACTTGCAAATTCCACAAAAAGAGAGTTTCAAATCTGCTCTGTCTAAAGGAAGGTTCAACTCTGTGAGTTGAATACACACCACAAAAAGAAGTTACTGAGAATTCTTCTGTCTAGCATTATATGAAAAATCCCCTTTCCAACGAAGGCCACAAAGAGGTCCAAATATCCACTTGCAGATTCTGCAAAAAGAGTGTTTCCAAACTGCTCTATGAAAAGAAATGTTAAACTCTGTGAGTTGAACGCAAACATCACAAAGTAGTTTCTGAGAATGACTCCGTCTAGTTTTTATACGAAGATATTTCCTTTTCTACCATTCACTTCAAAGCGCTTGAAGTCTCCCCCTGAAAATTCCACAAAAAGTGTTTCCAATCTGCTCCGCCTAAAGGAAGCTTCAACTCTGTGAGTTGAATACCCACAACCCAAAGAAGTTACTGAGAATTCTTCTGTCTAGCACTATATGAAGAAATCCCGTTTCCAACGAAGGCCTCAAATACATCCAAATATCCAGTTGCTGACTTTACAAACTGAGTGTTTCCAAACTGCTCTATGAAAAGAAAGGTTAAACACTGTGAGTTGAACACACACGTACCAAAGTAGTTTCTGAGAATGATTCTGTCTAGTTTGCATACGAAGATATTTCCTTTTCTACCATTGGCCTCAAAGCTCTGAAATCTCCACTTGCAAATTCCACAAAAAGAGAGTTTCAAATCTGCTGTTTCTAAAGGAAAGTTCAACTCTGAGAGTTGAATACACACCAGAAAAAGCAGTTACTGAGAAGTCTTCTGTCTAGCATTATATGAAGAAATCCCATTTCCAACGAAGACTTCAAAGAGGTCCAAATATCCACTTGCAGATTCTGCAAAAAGAGTGTTTCGAAACAACTGTATGAAAAGAAAGGTTAAACACTGTGAGTTGAACGCACACATTGCAAAGCGGTTTCTGAGAATGATTCCGTCTAATTATTATACGAAGGTATTTCCTTTTCTATCATTGGCCTCAAAGCGCTTGATACCTCCACCTGAAAATTCCACAAAAAGAGTGTTTCCAATCTACTCTGTCTAAAGGAACGTTCAACTCTGTGAGTTGAATACACACACACAGAAAGAATTCACTGAGAATTCTTCTGTCTGGCATTACATGAAGAAATCCCGTTTCCAACGAAGGCCTCAAAGAGGTCCAAATATCCACTTGCAGATTCTGCAAAAAGAGTGTTTCAAAACCGCTCCATGAAAAGGAATGTTGAACTCTGTGAGTTGAATGCAAACATCACAACTCAGTTTCTGAGAATGCTTCTGACTAGATTTAATGGTCAGATATTTCCTTTTCTACCGTAGGCTTCAATGCCCTCTAAATACACCCTTGCAAATTCTACAAAGAGACTGTTTAATAACTGCTCTATAGGAAGAAAGGTTGAACTCTGTGAGTTGAATGCAGAGATCACAACGTGGTTTCGGCGAATGATTCTTCATAGTTTTTACATGAAGATATTTCGTTGTCAACCGTAGGCTTCAAAGCACTTAAAGTATTCACTTGGAACTTTTACAAAAAGAGTATTAGAAAACTGCTCTTTCCAAAGTAAGGTTCAACTCTGTGAGTTGAATGCACACATAACAATCAAGACGTTTCTGAGAATTCTTCTGTCCTGGTTTATATGAAAAAATCCCGTTTCCAACGAAGGCCTCAAAGACGTTTAAATATCC
The DNA here is from genome assembly GCF_000001405.40 of Homo sapiens. Lineage (NCBI taxonomy): Eukaryota > Metazoa > Chordata > Mammalia > Primates > Hominidae > Homo > Homo sapiens. The sequence continues at coordinate 93,022,464 of NC_000003.12, read as the reverse complement.
ACTTGCAGACTTCACAAACAGAGGGTTTCCAAACTGCTCTATGAAAAGAAAGGTTAAACTCTGTGAGTTGAACGCACACATCACAAAGTAGCTTCTGAGAATGATACTGTCTAGTTTTTATACGAAGATATTTCCTTTCTACCATTGGCGTCAAAGCGCTAGAATTCTCCACTTGCAAATTCCACAAAAAGAGTGTTTCCAATCTGCTCTGTCTAAAGGAAGGTTCAACTCTGTGAGTTGAATACACACACACAAAGAAGCTACTGAGAATTCTTTTTTCAAGAAATTATAAGAAGAAATCCCGTTTCCAACGAAGGCCTCAAAGAGTTCCAAATATCCACTTGCACACTGCACAAACTAAGTCTTTCCAAACTGCTCTATGCAAAGAAATGTTCAACTCTGTGAGTTTAATACACACATCACAAAGCAGTTTCTGAGAATGATACTGTCTAGTTTTTATACGAAGATATTTCCTTTTGTACCATTGGCCTCATACTGCTAGAATTTTCCACTTGCAAATTCCACAAAAAGAGTGTTTCCAATCCGCTCTGTCTAAAGGAAGGTTCAACTCTCTGATTTGAATACATACATCCCAAAAGAAGTTACTGAGAATTCTTCTGTCTAGCATTATGTGAAGAAATCCCGTTTCCAACGAAAGCCTCAAAGAGGTCCAAATATCCAGTTGCAGAATTTACAAACTGACTGTTTCCAAACTCATCTATGAAAAGAAAGGTTAAACTCTGGGAGTTGAATGCACATATCACAAAGTAGTTCCTGAGAATGATTCTGTCTAGTTTTTATACTAAGATATTTCCTTTTCCACCAATGGCCTCAAAGTGCTTGAAATCTCCCCTTGCAAATTCCACAGAAAAGTGTTTCAAATCTGCACTGTCTGAAGGAAGGTTCAACCCTGTGAGTTGAATACACACACACAGAAAAAAATTCACTGAGAATTCTATTGTCTATCATTACACGAAGAATTCCCGTTTCCTACGAAGGCCTCAGAGAGGTCCAAATATCCAGCTGCAGACATTACAAACTGAGTGTTTTCAAAGTGCTCTATGAAAAGAAGTGTTAAACACTGTGAGTTCAATGCACACATCCCAAAGCAGTTTCTGAGAATGATTCCGTCTATTTTTTCTACGAAGATATTTCCTTTTCTACCGTTGGCCCCAAAGCGCTTGAAATCTCCACTTGCAAATTCCACGAAAAGAGAGTTTCAAATCTGCTCTGTCTAAAGGAAGGTTCAACTCTGTGAGTTGAATACACACCACAAAAAGAAGTTACTGAGAATTCTTCTGTCTAGCATTATATGAAAAATCCCGTTTCCAACGAAGGCCACAAAGAGGTCCAAATATCCACTTGCAGATTCTGCAAAAAGAGTGTTTCCAAACTGCTCTATGAAAAGAAACGTTAAACTCTGTGAGTTGAACGCAAACATCACAAAGTAGTTTCTGAGAATGACTCCGTCTAGTTTATATACGAAGATATTTCCTTTCCTACCGTTCACTTCAAAGCGCTTGAAGTCTCCCCCTGAAAATTCCACAAAAAGTGTTTCCAATCTGCTCCGCCTAAAGGAAGCTTCAACTCTGTGAGTTGAATACCCACAGCCCAAAGAAGTTACTGAGAATTCTTCTGTCTAGCACTATATGAAGAAATCCCGTTTCCAACGAAGGCCTCAAATACATCCAAATATCCAGTTGCTGACTTTACAAACTGAGTGTTTCCAAACTGCTCTATGAAAAGAAAGGTTAAACACTGTGACTTGAACACACACGTACCAAAGTAGTTTTCTGAGAATGATTTCTGTCTAGTTTGCATACGAAGATATTTCCTTTTCTACCATTGGCCTCAAAGCTCTGAAATCTCCACTTGCAAATTCCACAAAAAAGAGTTTCAAATCTGCTGTTTCTAAAGGAAAGTTCAACTCTGAGAGTTGAATACACACCAGAAAAAGCAGTTACTGAGAAGTCTTCTGTCTAGCATTATATGAAGAAATCCCATTTCCAACGAAGACTTCAAAGAGGTCCAAATATCCACTTGCAGATTCTGCAAAAAGAGTGTTTCAAAACCGCTCCATTAAAAGGAATGTTGAACTCTGTGAGTTGAATGCAAACATCACAACTCAGTTGCTGAGAATGCTTCTGACTAGATTTTATGGTAAGATATTTCCTTTTCTACCGTAGGCTTCAATGCCCTCTAAATACACCCTTGCAAATTCTACAAAGAGACTGTTTCATAACTGCTCTATAGGAAGAAAGGTTCAACTCTGTGAGTTGAATGCAGAGATCACAACGTGGTTTCTGCGAATGATTCTTTGTAGTTTTTACATGAAGATATTTCGTTGTCAACCGTAGGCTTCAAAGCACTCAAAGTATTCACTTGGAACTTTTACAAAAAGAGTGTTAGAAAACTGCTCTTTCCAAAGTAAGGTTCAACTCTGTGAGTTGAATGCACACATAACAATCAAGAAGTTTCTGAGAATTCTTCTGTCCTGGTTTATAGGAACAAATCCCGTTTCCAACGAAGGCCTCAAAGACGTTTAAATATCCACTTGCAGACTTCACAAACAGAGGGTTTCCAAACTGCTCTATGAAAAGAAAGGTTAAACTCTGTGAGTTGAACGCACACATCACAAAGTAGCTTCTGAGAATGATACTGTCTAGTTTTTATACGAAGATATTTCCTTTCTACCATTGGCGTCAAAGCGCTAGAATTCTCCCCTTGCAAATTCCACAAAAAGAGTGTTTCCAATCTGCTCTGTCTAAAGGAAGGTTCAACTCTGTGAGTTGAATACACACACACAAAGAAGCTACTGAGAATTCTTTTGTCAAGAATTATAAGAAGAAATCCCGTTTCCAACGAAGGCCTCAAAGAGTTCCAAATATCCACTTGCACACTGCAAAAACTAAGTCTTTCCAAACTGCTCTATGCAAAGAAATGTTCAACTCTGTGAGTTTAATTCACACATCACAAAGCAGTTTCTGAGAATGATACTGTCTAGTTTTTATACGAAGATATTTCCTTTTGTACCATTGGCCTCATACTGCTAGAATTTTCCACTTGCAAATTCCACAAAAAGAGTGTTTCCAATCCGCTCTGTCTAAAGGAAGGTTCAACTCTCTGATTTGAATACATACATCCCAAAAGAAGTTACTGAGAATTCTTCTGTCTAGCATTATGTGAAGAAATCCCGTTTCCAACGAAAGCCTCAAAGAGGTCCAAATATCCAGTTGCAGAATTTACAAACTGACTGTTTCCAAACTCATCTATGAAAAGAAAGGTTAAACTCTGTGAGTTGAATGCACATATCACAAAGTAGTTCCTGAGAATGATTCTGTCTAGTTTTTATACGAAGATATTTCCTTTTCCACCAATGGCCTCAAAGTGCTTGAAATCTCCCCTTGCAAATTCCACAGACAAGTGTTTCAAATCTGCACTGTCTAAAGGAAGGTTCAACCCTGTGAGTTGAATACACACACACAGAAACAAATTCACTGAGAATTCTATTGTCTATCATTACACGAAGAAATCCCGTTTACTACGAAGGCCTCAAAGAGGTCCAAATATCCAGCTGCAGACATTACAAACTGAGTGTTTCCAAAGTGCTCTATGAAAAGAAGTGTTAAACACTGTGAGTTCAATGCACACATCCCAAAGCAGTTTCTGAGAATGATTCCGTCTATTTTTTCTACGAAGATATTTCCTTTTCTACCGTTGGCCTCAAAGCGCTTGAAATCTCCACTTGCAAATTCCACAAAAAGAGAGTTTCAAATCTGCTCTGTCTAAAGGAAAGTTCCACTCTGTGAGTTGAATACACACCACAAAAAGAAGTTACTGAGAATTCTTCTGTCTAGCATTATATGAAAAATCCCGTTTCCAACGAAGGCCACAAAGAGGTCCAAATATCCACTTGCAGATTCTGAAAAAAGAGTGTTTCCAAACTGCTCTATGAAAAGAAACGTTAAACTCTGTGAGTTGAACGCAAACATCACAAAGTAGTTTCTGAGAATGACTCCGTCTAGTTTTTATACGAAGATATTTCCTTTCCTACCATTCACTTCAAAGCGCTTGAAGTCTCCCCCTGAAAATTCCACAAAAAGTGTTTCCAATCTGCTCCGCCTAAAGGAAGCTTCAACTCTGTGACTTGAATACCCACAACCCAAAGAAGTTACTGAGAATTCTTCTGTCTAGCATTATATGAAGAAATCCCGTTTCCAACGAAGGCCTCAAATACATCCAAATATCCAGTTGCTGACTTTACAAACTGAGTGTGTCCAAACTGCTCTATAAAAAGAAAGGTTAAACACTGTGAGTTGAACACACACGTACCAAAGTAGTTTCTGAGAATGATTCTGTCTAGTTTGCATACGAAGATATTTCCTTTTCTACCATTGGCCTCAAAGCTCTGAAATCTCCACTTGCAAATTCCACAAAAAGAGAGTTTCAAATCTGCTGTTTCTAAAGGAAAGTTCAACTCTGAGAGTTGAATACACACCAGAAAAAGCAGTTACTGAGAAGTCTTCTGTCTAGCATTATATGAAGAAATCCCATTTCCAACGAAGACTTCAAAGAGGTCCAAATATCCACTTGCAGATTCTGCAAAAAGAGTGTTTCAAAACAACTGTATGAAAAGAAAGGTTAAACACTGTGAGTTGAACGCACACATTGCAAAGCAGTTTCTGAGAATGATTCCGTCTAATTATTATACGAAGGTATTTCCTTTTCTATCATTGGCCTCAAAGCGCTTGATACCTCCACCTGAAAATTCCACAAAAAGAGTGTTTCCAATCTACTCTGTCTAAAGGAACGTTCAACTCTGTGAGTTGAATACACACACACAGAAAGAATTCACTGAGAATTCTTCTGTCTGGCATTACATGAAGAAATCCCGTTTCCAACGAAGACCTCAAAGAGGTCCAAATATCCACTTGCAGATTCTGCAAAAAGAGTGTTTCAAAACCGCTCCATTAAAAGGAATGTTGAACTCTGTGAGTTGAATGCAAACATCACAACTCAGTTGCTGATAATGCTTCTGACTAGATTTTATGGTAAGATATTTCCTTTTCTACCGTAGGCTTCAATGCCCTCTAAATACACCCTTGCAAATTCTACAAAGAGACTGTTTCATAACTGCTCTATAGGAAGAAAGGTTGAACTCTGTGAGTTGAATGCAGAGATCACAACGTGGTTTCTGCGAATGATTCTTTGTAGTTTTTACATGAAGATATGTCGTTGTCAACCGTAGGCTTCAAAGCACTCAAAGTATTCACTTGGAACTTTTACAAAAAGAGTGTTAGAAAACTGCTCTTTCCAAAGTAAGGTTCAACTCTGTGAGTTGAATGCACACATAACAATCAAGACGTTTCTGAGAATTCTTCTGTCCTGGTTTATATGAAAAAATCCCGTTTCCAACGAAGGCCTCAAAGACGTTTAAATATCCACTTGCAGACTTCACAAACAGAGGGTTTCCAAACTGCTCTATGAAAAGAAAGGTTAAACTCTGTGAGTTGAACGCACACATCACAAAGTAGCTTCTGAGAATGATACTGTCTAGTTTTTATACGAAGATATTTCCTTTCTACCATTGGCGTCAAAGCGCTAGAATTCTCCACTTGCAAATTCCACAAAAAGAGTGTTTCCAATCTGCTCTGTCTAAAGGAAGGTTCAACTCTGTGAGTTGAATACACACACACAAAGAAGCTACTGAGAATTCTTTTGTCAAGAATTATAAGAAGAAATCCCGTTTCCAACGAAGGCCTCAAAGAGTTCCAAATATCCACTTGCACACTGCACAAACTAAGTCTTTCCAAACTGCTCTATGCAAAGAAATGTTCAACTCTGTGAGTTTAATACACACATCACAAAGCAGTTTCTGAGAATGATACTGTCTAGTTTTTATACGAAGATATTTCCTTTTGTACCATTGGCCTCATACTGCTAGAATTTTCCACTTGCAAATTCCACAAAAAGAGTGTTTCCAATCCGCTCTGTCTAAAGGAAGGTTCAACTCTCTGATTTGAATACATACATCCCAAAAGAAGTTACTGAGAATTCTTCTGTCTAGCATTATGTGAAGAAATCCCGTTTCCAACGAAAGCCTCAAAGAGGTCCAAATATCCAGTTGCAGAATTTACAAACTGACTGTTTCCAAACTCATCTATGAAAAGAAAGGTTAAACTCTGTGAGTTGAATGCACATATCACAAAGTAGTTCCTGAGAATGATTCTGTCTAGTTTTTATACGAAGATATTTCCTTTTCCACCAATGGCCTCAAAGTGCTTGAAATCTCCCCTTGCAAATTCCACAGACAAGTGTTTCAAATCTGCACTGTCTAAAGGAAGGTTCAACCCTGTGAGTTGAATACACACACACAGAAAAAAATTCACTGAGAATTCTACTGTCTATCATTACACGAAGAAATCCCGTTTACTGCGAAGGCCTCAAAGAGGTCCAAATATCCAGTTGCAAACCTTACAAACTGAGTGTTTCCAAAGTGCTGTATGAAAAGAAGTGTTAAACACTGTGAGTTGAACGCACACATCACAAAGTAGTTTCTGAGAATGATTCCGTCTATTTTTTCTACGAAGATAGTTTCCTTTTCTGCCGTTGGCCTCAAAGCGCTTGAAATCTCCACTTGCAAATTCCACAAAAAGAGAGTTTCAAATCTGCTCTGTCTAAAGGAAGGTTCAACTCTGTGAGTTGAATACACACCACAAAAAGAAGTTACTGAGAATTCTTCTGTCTAGCATTATATGAAAAATCCCGTTTCCAACGAAGGCCACAAAGAGGTCCAAATATCCACTTGCAGATTCTGCAAAAAGAGTGTTTCCAAACTGCTCTATGAAAAGAAACGTTAAACTCTGTGAGTTGAACGCAAACATCACAAAGTAGTTTCTGAGAATGACTCCGTCTAGTTTTTATACGAAGATATTTCCTTTCCTACCATTCACTTCAAAGCGCTTGAAGTCTCCCCCTGAAAATTCCACAAAAAGTGTTTCCAATCTGCTCCGCCTAAAGGAAGCTTCAACTCTGTGAGTTGAATACCCACAACCCAAAGAAGTTACTGAGAATTCTTCTGTCTAGCATTATATGAAGAAATCCCGTTTCCAACGAAGGCCTCAAATACATCCAAATATCCAGTTGCTGACTTTACAAACTGAGTGTTTCCAAACTGCTCTATGAAAAGAAAGGTTAAACACTGTGAGTTGAACACACACGTACCAAAGTAGTTTCTGAGAATGATTCTGTCTGGTTTGCATACGAAGATATTTCCTTTTCTACCAGTGGCCTCAAAGCTCTGAAATCTCCACTTGCAAATTCCACAAAAAGAGAGTTTCAAATCTGCTGTTTCTAAAGGAAAGTTCAACTCTGAGAGTTGAATACACACCAGAAAAAGCAGTTACTGAGAAGTCTTCTGTCTAGCATTATATGAAGAAATCCCATTTCCAACGAAGACTTCAAAGAGGTCCAAATATCCACTTGCAGATTCTGCAAAAAGAGTGTTTCGAAACAACTGTATGAAAAGAAAGGTTAAACACTGTGAGTTGAACGCACACATTGCAAAGCAGTTTCTGAGAATGATTCCGTCTAATTATTATACGAAGGTATTTCCTTTTCTATCATTGGCCTCAAAGCGCTTGATACCTCCACCTGAAAATTCCACAAAAAGAGTGTTTCCAATCTACTCTGTCTAAAGGAACGTTCAACTCTGTGAGTTGAATACACACACACAGAAGGAATTCACTGAGAATTCTTCTGTCTGGCATTACATGAAGAAATCCCGTTTCCAACGAAGGCCTCAAAGAGGTCCAAATATCCACTTGCAGATTCTGCAAAAAGAGTGTTTCAAAACCGCTCCATTAAAAGGAATGTTGAACTCTGTGAGTTGAATGCAAACATCACAACTCAGTTTCTGAGAGTGCTTCTGACTAGATTTTATGGTAAGATATTTCCTTTTCTACCGTAGGCTTCAATGCCCTCTAAAAACACCCTTGCAAATTCTACAAAGAGACTGTTTCATAACTGCTCTATAGGAAGAAAGGTTCAACTCTGTGAGTTGAATGCAGAGATCACAACGTGGTTTCTGCGAATGATTCTTTGTAGTTTTTACATGAAGATATTTCGTTGTCAACCGTAGGCTTCAAAGCACTCAAAGTATTCACTTGGAACTTTTACAAAAAGAGTGTTAGAAAACTGCTGTTTCTAAAGTAAGGTTCAACTCTGTGAGTTGAATGCACACATAAGAATCAAGAAGTTTCTGAGAATTCTTCTGTCCTGGTTTATATGAAAAAATCCCGTTACCAACGAAGGCCTCAAAGACGTTTAAATATCCACTTGCAGACTTCACAAACAGAGGGTTTCCAAACTGCTCTATGAAAAGAAAGGTTAAACTCTGTGAGTTGAACGCGCACATCACAAAGTAGCTTCTGAGAATGATACTGTCTAGTTTTTATACGAAGATATTTCCTTTCTACCATTGGCGTCAAAGCGCTAGAATTCTCCACTTGCCAATTCCACAAAAAGAGTGTTTCCAATCTGCTCTGTCTAAAGGAAGGTTCAACTCTGTGAGTTGAATACACACACACAAAGAAGCTACTGAGAATTCTTTTGTCAAGAATTATAAGAAGAAATCCCGTTTCCAACGAAGGCCTCAAAGAGTTCCAAATATCCACTTGCACACTGCACAAACTAAGTCTTTCCAAACTGCTCTATGCAAAGAAATGTTCAACTCTGTGAGTTTAATACACACATCACAAAGCAGTTTCTGAGAATGATACTGTCTAGTTTTTATACGAAGATATTTCCTTTTGTACCATTGGCCTCATACTGCTAGAATTTTCCCCTTGCAAATTCCACAAAAAGAGTGTTTCCAATCCGCTCTGTCTAAAGGAAGGTTCAACTCTCTGATTTGAATACATACATCCCAAAAGAAGTTACTGAGAATTCTTCTGTCTAGCATTATGTGAAGAAATCCCGTTTCCAACGAAAGCCTCAAAGAGGTCCAAATATCCAGTTGCAGAATTTACAAACTGACTGTTTCCAAACTCATCTATGAAAAGAAAGGTTAAACTCTGTGAGTTGAATGCACATATCACAAAGTAGTTCCTGAGAATGATTCTGTCTAGTTTTCATACGAAGATATTTCCTTTTCCACCAATGGCCTCAAAGTGCTTGAAATCTCCCCTTGCAAATTCCACAGACAAGTGTCTCAAATCTGCACTGTCTAAAGGAAGGTTCAACCCTGTGAGTTGAATACACACACACAGAAAAAAATTCACTGAGAATTCTATTGTCTATCATTACACCGAAGAAATCCCGTTTACTACGAAGGCCTCAAAGAGGTCCAAATATCCAGCTGCAGACATTACAAACTGAGTGTTTCCAAAGTGCTCTATGAAAAGAAGTGTTAAACACTGTGAGTTCAATGCACACATCCCAAAGCAGTTTCTGAGAATGATTCCGTCTATTTTTTCTACGAAGATATTTCCTTTTCTGCCGTTGGCCTCAAAGCGCTTGAAATCTCCACTTGCAAATTCCACAAAAAGAGAGTTTCAAATCTGCTCTGTCTAAAGGAAGGTTCAACTCTGTGAGTTGAATACACACCACAAAAAGAAGTTACTGAGAATTCTTCTGTCTAGCATTATATGAAAAATCCCGTTTCCAACGAAGGCCACAAAGAGGTCCAAATATCCACTTGCAGATTCTGCAAACAGAGTGTTTCCAAACTGCTCTATGAAAAGAAACGTTAAACTCTGTGAGTTGAACGCAAACATCACAAAGTAGTTTCTGAGAATGACTCCGTCTAGTTTTTATACGAAGATATTTCCTTTCCTACCATTCACTTCAAAGCGCTTGAAGTCTCCCCCTGAAAATTCCACAAAAAGTGTTTCCAATCTGCTCCGCCTAAAGGAAGCTTCAACTCTGTGACTTGAATACCCACAACCCAAAGAAGTTACTGAGAATTCTTCTGTCTAGCATTATATGAAGAAATCCCGTTTCCAACGAAGGCCTCAAATACATCCAAATATCCAGTTGCTGACTTTACAAACTGAGTGTTTCCAAACTGCTCTATGAAAAGAAAGGTTAAACACTGTGAGTTGAACACACACGTACCAAAGTAGTTTCTGAGAATGATTCTGTCTAGTTTGCATACGAAGATATTTCCTTTTCTACCATTGGCCTCAAAGCTCTGAAATCTCCACTTGCAAATTCCACAAAAAGAGAGTTTCAAATCTGCTGTTTCTAAAGGAAAGTTCAACTCTGAGAGTTGAATACACACCAGAAAAAGCAGTTACTGAGAAGTCTTCTGTCTAGCATTATATGAAGAAATCCCATTTCCAACGAAGACTTCAAAGAGGTCCAAATATCCACTTGCAGATTCTGCAAAAAGAGTGTTTCGAAACAACTGTATGAAAAGAAAGGTTAAACACTGTGAGTTGAACGCACACATTGCAAAGCGGTTTCTGAGAATGATTCCGTCTAATTATTATACGAAGGTATTTCCTTTTCTATCATTGGCCTCAAAGCGCTTGATACCTCCACCTGAAAATTCCACAAAAAGAGTGTTTCCAATCTACTCTGTCTAAAGGAACGTTCAACTCTGTGAGTTGAATACACACACACAGAAAGAATTCACTGAGAATTCTTCTGTCTGGCATTACATGAAGAAATCCCGTTTCCAACGAAGGCCTGAAAGAGGTCCAAATATCCACTTGCAGATTCTGCAAAAAGAGTGTTTCAAAACCGCTCTATGAAAAGGAATGTTGAACTCTGTGAGTTGAATGCAAACATCACAACTCAGTTTCTGAGAATGCTTCTGACTAGATTTTATGGTCAGATATTTCCTTTTCTACCGTAGGCCTCAATGCCCTCTAAATACACCCTTGCAAATTCTACAAAGAGACTGTTTAATAACTGCTCTATAGGAAGAAAGGTTGAACTCTGTGAGTTGAATGCAGAGATCACAACGTGGTTTCGGCGAATGATTCTTTGCAGTTTTTACATGAAGATATTTCGTTGTCTACCGTAGGCTTCAAAGCACTCAAAGTATTCACTTGGAACTTTTACAAAAAGAGTGTTAGAAAACTGCTCTTTCCGAAGTAAGGTTCAACTCTGTGAGTTGAATGCACACATAACAAACAAGAAGTTTCTGAGAATTCTTCTGTCCTGGTTTATATGAAAAAATCCCGTTTCCAACGAAGGCCTCAAAGACGTTTAAATATCCTCTTGCAGACTTCACAAACAGAGCGTTTCCAAACTGCTCTATGAAAAGAAAGGTTAAACTCTGTGAGTTGAACGCACACATCACAAAGTAGTTTCTGAGAATGATACTGTCTAGTTTTTATACGGAGATATTTCCTTTCCTACCATTGGCGTCAAAGCGCTAGAATTCTCCACTTGCAAATTCCACAAAAAGTGGGTTTCCAATCTGCTCTGCCTAAAGGAAGGTTCAACTCTGTGAGTTGAATACACACACACAAAGAAGCTACTGAGAATTCTTTTGTCAAGAATTATAAGAAGAAATCCCGTTTCCAACGAAGGCCTCAAAGAGTTCCAAATATCCACTTGCACACTGTACAAACTAAGTCTTTCCAAACTGCTCTATGCAAAGAAATGTTCAACTCTGTGAGTTTAATGCACACATCACAAAGCAGTTTCTGAGAATGATTCCCTCTAGTTTTTATACGAAGATAGCCTTTTCTACCATTGGCCTCAAGGCTCTTGGAATCTCCACCTGAAAATTCCGCAAAAAGCGTGTTTCCAATCCGCTCTGTCTAAAGGAAGGTTCAACTCTCTGAGTTGAATACATACATCCCAAAAGAAGTTACTGAGAATTCTTCTGTCTAGCATTATGTGAAGAAATCCCGTTTCCAATGAAAGCCTCAAAGAGGTCCAAATATCCAGTTGCAGAATTTACAAACTGACTGTTTCCAAACTCATCTATGAAAAGAAAGGTTAAACTCTGTGAGTTGAATGCACATATCACAAAGTAGTTCCTGAGAATGATTCTGTCTAGTTTTCATACGAAGATATTTCCTTTTCCACCAATGGCCTCAAAGTGCTTGAAATCTCCCCTTGCAAATTCCACAGACAAGTGTTTCAAATCTGCACTGTCTAAAGGAAGGTTCAACCCTGTGAGTTGAATACACACACACAGAAAAAAATTCACTGAGAATTCTATTGTCTATCATTACACGAAGAAATCCCGTTTACCACGAAGGCCTCAAAGAGGTCCAAATATCCAGCTGCAGACATTACAAACTGAGTGTTTCCAAAGTGCTCTATGAAAAGAAGTGTTAAACACTGTGAGTTCAATGCACACATCCCAAAGCAGTTTCTGAGAATGATGCCGTCTATTTTTTCTACGAAGATATTTCCTTTTCTGCCGTTGGCCTCAAAGCGCTTGAAATCTCCACTTGCAAATTCCACAAAAAGAGAGTTTCAAATCTGCTCTGTCTAAAGGAAGGTTCAACTCTGTGAGTTGAATACACACCACAAAAAGAAGTTACTGAGAATTCTTCTGTCTAGCATTATATGAAAAATCCCGTTTCCAACGAAGGCCACAAAGAGGTCCAAATATCCACTTGCAGATTCTGCAAAAAGAGTGTTTCCAAACTGCTCTATGAAAAGAAACGTTAAACTCTGTGAGTTGAACGCAAACATCACAAAGTAGTTTCTGAGAATGACTCCGTCTAGTTTTTACACGAAGATATTTCCTTTCCTACCATTCACTTCAAAGCGCTTGAAGTCTCCCCATGAAAATTCCACAAAAAGTGTTTCCAATCTGCTCCGCCTAAAGGAAGCTTCAACTCTGTGAGTTGAATACCCACAACCCAAAGAAGTTACTGAGAATTCTTCTGTCTAGCATTATATGAAGAAATCCCGTTTCCAACGAAGGCCTCAAATACATCCAAATATCCAGTTGCTGACTTTACAAACTGAGTGTTTCCAAACTGCTCTATGAAAAGAAAGGTTAAACACTGTGAGTTGAACACACACGTACCAAAGTAGTTTCTGAGAATGATTCTGTCTAGTTTGCATACGAAGATATTTCCTTTTCTACCATTGGCCTCAAAGCTCTGAAATCTCCACTTGCAAATTCCACAAAAAGAGAGTTTCAACTCTGCTGTTTCTAAAGGAAAGTTCCACTCTGAGAGTTGAATACACACCAGAAAAAGCAGTTACTGAGAAGTCTTCTGTCTAGCATTATATGAAGAAATCCCATTTCCAACGAAGACTTCAAAGAGGTCCAAATATCCACTTGCAGATTCTGCAAAAAGAGTGTTTTGAAACAACTGTATGAAAAGAAAGGTTAAACACTGTGAGTTGAACGCACACATTGCAAAGCAGTTTCTGAGAATGATTCCGTCTAATTATTATACGAAGGTATTTCCTTTTCTATCATTGGCCTCAAAGCGCTTGATACCTCCACCTGAAAATTCCACAAAAAGAGTGTTTCCAATCTACTCTGTCTAAAGGAACGTTCAACTCTGTGAGTTGAATACACACACACAGAAAGAATTCACTGAGAATTCTTCTGTCTGGCATTACATGAAGAAATCCCGTTTCCAACGAAGGCCTCAAAGAGGTCCAAATATCCACTTGCAGATTCTGCAAAAAGAGTGTTTCAAAACCGCTCCATTAAAAGGAATGTTGAACTCTGTGAGTTGAATGGAAACATCACAACTCAGTTGCTGAGAATGCTTCTGACTAGATTTTATGGTAAGATATTTCCTTTTCTACCGTAGGCTTCAATGCCCTCTAAATACACCCTTGCAAATTCTACAAAGAGACTGTTTCATAACTGCTCTATAGGAAGAAAGGTTCAACACTGTGAGTTGAATGCAGAGATCACAACGTGGTTTCTGCGAATGATTCTTTGTAGTTTTTACATGAAGATATTTCGTTGTCAACCGTAGGCTTCAAAGCACTCAAAGTATTCACTTGGAACTTTTACAAAAAGAGTGTTAGAAAACTGCTCTTTCCAAAGTAAGGTTCAACTCTGTGAGTTGAATGCACACATAACAATCAAGAAGTTTCTGAGAATTCTTCTGTCCTGGTTTATATGAAAAAATCCCGTTTCCAACGAAGGCCTCAAAGACGTTTAAATATCCACTTGCAGACTTCACAAACAGAGGGTTTCCAAACTGCTCTATGAAAAGAAAGGTTAAACTCTGTGAGTTTAATACACACATCACAAAGCAGTTTCTGAGAATGATACTGTCTAGTTTTTATACGAAGATATTTCCTTTTGTACCATTGGCCTCATACTGCTAGAATTTTCCACTTGCAAATTCCACAAAAAGAGTGTTTCCAATCCGCTCTGTCTAAAGGAAGGTTCAACTCTCTGATTTGAATACATACATCCCAAAAGAAGTTACTGAGAATTCTTCTGTCTAGCATTATGTGAAGAAATCCCGTTTCCAACGAAAGCCTCAAAGAGGTCCAAATATCCAGTTGCAGAATTTACAAACTGACTGTTTCCAAACTCATCTATGAAAAGAAAGGTTAAACTCTGTGAGTTGAATGCACATATCACAAAGTAGTTCCTGAGAATGATTCTGTCTAGTTTTTATATGAAGATATTTCCTTTTCCACCAATGGCCTCAAAGTACTTGAAATCACCCCTTGCAAATTCCACAGACAAGTGTTTCAAATCTGCACTGTCTAAAGGAAGGTTCAACCCTGTGAGTTGAATACACACACACAGAAACAAATTCACTGAGAATTCTATTGTCTATCATTACACGAAGAAATCCCGTTTACTACGAAGGCCTCAAAGAGGTCCAAATATCCAGCTGCAGACATTACAAACTGAGTGTTTCCAAAGTGCTCTATGAAAAGAAGTGTTAAACACTGTGAGTTCAATGCACACATCCCAAAGCAGTTTCTGAGAATGATTCCGTCTGTTTTTTCTACGAAGATATTTCCTTTTCTACCGTTGGCCTCAAAGCGCTTGAAATCTCCACTTGCAAATTCCACAAAAAGAGAGTTTCAAATCTGCTCTGTCTAAAGGAAGGTTCAACTCTGTGAGTTGAATACACACCACAAAAAGAAGTTACTGAGAATTCTTCTGTCTAGCATTATATGAAAAATCCCGTTTCCAACGAAGGCCACAAAGAGGTCCAAATATCCACTTGCAGATTCTGCAAAAAGAGTGTTTCCAAACTGCTCTATGAAAAGAAACGTTAAACTCTGTGAGTTGAACGCAAACATCACAAAGTAGTTTCTGAGAATGACTCCGTCTAGTTTTTATACGAAGATATTTCCTTTCCTACCATTCACTTCAAAGCGCTTGAAGTCTCCCCCTGAAAATTCCACAAAAAGTGTTTCCAATCTGCTCCGCCTAAAGGAAGCTTCAACTCTGTGACTTGAATACCCACAACCCAAAGAAGTTACTGAGAATTCTTCTGTCTAGCATTATATGAAGAAATCCCGTTTCCAACGAAGGCCTCAAATACATCCAAATATCCAGTTGCTGACTTTACAAACTGAGTGTTTCCAAACTGCTCTATGAAAAGAAAGGTTAAACACTGTGAGTTGAACACACACGTACCAAAGTAGTTTCTGAGAATGATTCTGTCTAGTTTGCATACGAAGATATTTCCTTTTCTACCATTGGCCTCAAAGCTCTGAAATCTCCACTTGCAAATTCCACAAAAAGAGAGTTTCAAATCTGCTGTTTCTAAAGGAAAGTTCAACTCTGAGAGTTGAATACACACCAGAAAAAGCAGTTACTGAGAAGTCTTCTGTCTAGCATTATATGAAGAAATCCCATTTCCAACGAAGACTTCAAAGAGGTCCAAATATCCACTTGCAGATTCTGCAAAAAGAGTGTTTCGAAACAACTGTATGAAAAGAAAGGTTAAACACTGTGAGTTGAACGCACACATTGCAAAGCAGTTTCTGAGAATGATTCCGTCTAATTATTATACGAAGGTATTTCCTTTTCTATCATTGGCCTCAAAGCGCTTGATACCTCCACCTGAAAATTCCACAAAAAGAGTGTTTCCAATCTACTCTGTCTAAAGGAACGTTCAACTCTGTGAGTTGAATACACACACACAGAAAGAATTCACTGAGAATTCTTCTGTCTGGCATTACATGAAGAAATCCCGTTTCCAACGAAGGCCTCAAAGAGGTCCAAATATCCACTTGCAGATTCTGCAAAAAGAGTGTTTCAAAACCGCTCCATTAAAAGGAATGTTGAACTCTGTGAGTTGAATGCAAACATCACAACTCAGTTTCTGAGAATGCTTCTGACTAGATTTTATGGTAAGATATTTCCTTTTCTACCGTAGGCTTCAATGCCCTCTAAATACACCCTTGCAAATTCTACAAAGAGACTGTTTCATAACTGCTCTATAGGAAGAAAGGTTGAACTCTGTGAGTTGACTGCAGAGATCACAACGTGGTTTCTGCGAATGATTCTTTGTAGTTTTTACATGAAGATATTTCGTTGTCAACCGTAGGCTTCAAAGCACTCAAAGTATTCACTTGGAACTTTTACAAAAAGAGTGTTAGAAAACTGCTCTTTCCAAAGTAAGGTTCAACTCTGTGAGTTGAATGCACACATAACAATCAAGAAGTTTCTGAGAATTCTTCTGTCCTGGTTTATATGAAAAAATCCCGTTTCCAACGAAGGCCTCAAAGACGTTTAAATATCCACTTGCAGACTTCACAAACAGAGGGTTTCCAAACTGCTCTATGAAAAGAAAGGTTAAACTCTGTGAGTTGAACGCACACATCACAAAGTAGCTTCTGAGAATGATACTGTCTAGTTTTTATACGAAGATATTTCCTTTCTACCATTGGCGTCAAAGCGCTAGAATTCTCCACTTGCAAATTCCACAAAAAGAGTGTTTCCAATCTGCTCTGTCTAAAGGAAGGTTCAACTCTGTGTGTTGAATACACACACACAAAGAAGCTACTGAGAATTCTTTTGTCAAGAATTATAAGAAGAAATCCCGTTTCCAACGAAGGCCTCAAAGAGTTCCAAATATCCACTTGCACACTGCACAAACTAAGTCTTTCCAAACTGCTCTATGCAAAGAAATGTTCAACTCTGTGAGTTTAATACACACATCACAAAGCAGTTTCTGAGAATGATACTGTCTAGTTTTTATACGAAGATATTTCCTTTTGTACCATTGGCCTCATACTGCTAGAATTTTCCACTTGCAAATTCCACAAAAAGAGTGTTTCCAATCCGCTCTGTCTAAAGGAAGGTTCAACTCTCTGATTTGAATACATACATCCCAAAAGAAGTTCCTGAGAATTCTTCTGTCTAGCATTATGTGAAGAAATCCCGTTTCCAACGAAAGCCTCAAAGAGGTCCAAATATCCAGTTGCAGAATTTACAAACTGACTGTTTCCAAACTCATCTATGAAAAGAAAGGTTAAACTCTGTGAGTTGAATGCACATATCACAAAGTAGTTCCTGAGAATGATTCTGTCTAGTTTTTATACGAAGATATTTCCTTTTCCACCAATGGCCTCAAAGTGCTTGAAATCTCCCCTTGCAAATTCCACAGACAAGTGTCTCAAATCTGCACTGTCTAAAGGAAGGTTCAACCCTGTGAGTTGAATACACACACACAGAAAAAAATTCACTGAGAATTCTATTGTCTATCATTACACGAAGAAATCCCGTTTACTACGAAGGCCTCAAAGAGGTCCAAATATCCAGCTGCAGACATTACAAACTGAGTGTTTCCAAAGTGCTCTATGAAAAGAAGTGTTAAACACTGTGAGTTCAATGCACACATCCCAAAGCAGTTTCTGAGAATGATTCCGTCTATTTTTTCTACGAAGATATTTCCTTTTCTACCGTTGGCCTCAAAGCGCTTGAAATCTCCACTTGCAAATTCCACAAAAAGAGAGTTTCAAATCTGCTCTGTCTAAAGGAAGGTTCAACTCTGTGAGTTGAATACACACCACAAAAAGAAGTTACTGAGAATTCTTCTGTCTAGCATTATATGAAAAATCCCGTTTCCAACGAAGGCCACAAAGAGGTCCAAATATCCACTTGCAGATTCTGCAAAAAGAGTGTTTCCAAACTGCTCTATGAAAAGAAACGTTAAACTCTGTGAGTTGAACCGCAAACATCACAAAGTAGTTTCTGAGAATGACTCCATCTAGTTTTTATACGAAGATATTTCCTTTTCTACCGTTGGCCTCAAAGCGCTTGAAGTCTCCCCCTGAAAATTCCACAAAAAGTGTTTCCAATCTGCTCCGCCTAAAGGAAGCTTCAACTCTGTGAGTTGAATACCCACAACACAAAGAAGTTACTGAGAATTCTTCTGTCTAGCATTATATGAAGAAATCCCGTTTCCAACGAAGGCCTCAAATACATCCAAATATCCAGTTGCTGACTTTACAAACTGAGTGTTTCCAAACTGCTCTATGAAAAGAAAGGTTAAACACTGTGAGTTGAACACACACGTACCAAAGTAGTTTCTGAGAATGATTCTGTCTAGTTTGCATACGAAGATATTTCCTTTTCTACCATTGGCCTCAAAGCTCTGAAATCTCCACTTGCAAATTCCACAAAAAGAGAGTTTCAAATCTGCTGTTTCTAAAGGAAAGTTCAACTCTGAGAGTTGAATACACACCAGAAAAAGCAGTTACTGAGAAGTCTTCTGTCTAGCATTATATGAAGAAATCCCATTTCCAACGAAGACTTCAAAGAGGTCCAAATATCCACTTGCAGATTCTGCAAAAAGAGTGTTTCGAAACAACTGTATGAAAAGAAAGGTTAAACACTGTGAGTTGAACGCACACATTGCAAAGCGGTTTCTGAGAATGATTCCGTCTAATTATTATACGAAGGTATTTCCTTTTCTATCATTGGCCTCAAAGCGCTTGATACCTCCACCTGAAAATTCCACAAAAAGAGTGTTTCCAATCTACTCTGTCTAAAGGAACGTTCAACTCTGTGAGTTGAATACACACACACAGAAAGAATTCACTGAGAATTCTTCTGTCTGGCATTACATGAAGAAATCCCGTTTCCAACGAAGGCCTCAAAGAGGTCCAAATATCCACTTGCAGATTCTGCAAAAAGAGTGTTTCAAAACCGCTCCATTAAAAGGAATGTTGAACTCTGTGAGTTGAATGCAAACATCACAACTCAGTTTCTGAGAATGCTTCTGACTAGATTTTATGGTAAGATATTTCCTTTTCTACCGTAGGCTTCAATGCCCTCTAAATACACCCTTGCAAATTCTACAAAGAGACTGTTTCATAACTGCTCTATAGGAAGAAAGGTTGAACTCTGTGAGTTGAATGCAGAGATCACAACGTGGTTTCTGCGAATGATTCTTTGTAGTTTTTACATGAAGATATTTCGTTGTCAACCGTAGGCTTCAAAGCACTCAAAGTATTCACTTGGAACTTTTACAAAAAGAGTGTTAGAAAACTGCTCTTTCCAAAGTAAGGTTCAACTCTGTGAGTTGAATGCACACATAACAATCAAGAAGTTTCTGAGAATTCTTCTGTCCTGGTTTATATGAAAAAATCCCGTTTCCAACGAAGGCCTCAAAGACGTTTAAATATCCACTTGCAGACTTCACAAACAGAGGGTTTCCAAACTGCTCTATGAAAAGAAAGGTTAAACTCTGTGAGTTGAACGCACACATCACAAAGTAGCTTCTGAGAATGATACTGTCTAGTTTTTATACGAAGATATTTCCTTTCTACCATTGGCGTCAAAGCGCTAGAATTCTCCACTTGCAAATTCCACAAAAAGAGTGTTTCCAATCTGCTCTGTCTAAAGGAAGGTTCAACTCTGTGAGTTGAATACACACACACAAAGAAGCTACTGAGAATTCTTTTTTCAAGAAATTATAAGAAGAAATCCCGTTTCCAACGAAGGCCTCAAAGAGTTCCAAATATCCACTTGCACACTGCACAAACTAAGTCTTTCCAAACTGCTCTATGCAAAGAAATGTTCAACTCTGTGAGTTTAATACACACATCACAAAGCAGTTTCTGAGAATGATACTGTCTAGTTTTTATACGAAGATATTTCCTTTTGTACCATTGGCCTCATACTGCTAGAATTTTCCACTTGCAAATTCCACAAAAAGAGTGTTTCCAATCCGCTCTGTCTAAAGG
Organism: Homo sapiens; assembly: GCF_000001405.40. Classification (NCBI taxonomy): domain Eukaryota; kingdom Metazoa; phylum Chordata; class Mammalia; order Primates; family Hominidae; genus Homo; species Homo sapiens. Next base: position 93,002,343 of record NC_000003.12, on the reverse strand, counting down.
AAGGTTCAACTCTCTGATTTGAATACATACATCCCAAAAGAAGTTACTGAGAATTCTTCTGTCTAGCATTATGTGAAGAAATCCCGTTTCCAACGAAAGCCTCAAAGAGGTCCAAATATCCAGTGGCAGAATTTACAAACTGACTGTTTCCAAACTCATCTATGAAAAGAAAGGTTAAACTCTGGGAGTTGAATGCACATATCACAAAGTAGTTCCTGAGAATGATTCTGTCTAGTTTTCATACGAAGATATTTCCTTTTCCACCAATGGCCTCAAAGTGCTTGAAATCTCCCCTTGCAAATTCCACAGACAAGTGTTTCAAATCTGCACTGTCTAAAGGAAGGTTCAACCCTGTGAGTTGAATACACACACACAGAAAAAAATTCACTGAGAATTCTATTGTCTATCATTACACGAAGAAATCCCGTTTACTACGAAGGCCTCAAAGAGGTCCAAATATCCAGCTGCAGACATTACAAACTGAGTGTTTCCAAAGTGCTCTATGAAAAGAAGTGTTAAACACTGTGAGTTCAATGCACACATCCCAAAGCAGTTTCTGAGAATGATTCCGTCTATTTTCTCTACGAAGATATTTCCTTTTCTGCCGTTGGCCTCAAAGCGCTTGAAATCTCCACTTGCAAATTCCACAAAAAGAGAGTTTCAAATCTGCTCTGTCTAAAGGAAGGTTCAACTCTGTGAGTTGAATACACACCACAAAAAGGAGTTACTGAGAATTCTTCTGTCTAGCATTATATGAAAAATCCCGTTTCCAACGAAGGCCACAAAGAGGTCCAAATATCCACTTGCAGATTCTGCAAAAAGAGTGTTTCCAAACTGCTCTATGAAAAGAAACGTTAAACTCTGTGAGTTGAACGCAAACATCACAAAGTAGTTTCTGAGAATGACTCCGTCTAGTTTTTATACGAAGATATTTCCTTTCCTACCATTCACTTCAAAGCGCTTGAAGTCTCCCCCTGAAAATTCCACAAAAAGTGTTTCCAATCTGCTCCGCCTAAAGGAAGCTTCAACTCTGTGACTTGAATACCCACAACCCAAAGAAGTTACTGAGAATTCTTCTGTCTAGCATTATATGAAGAAATCCCGTTTCCAACGAAGGCCTCAAATACATCCAAATATCCAGTTGCTGACTTTACAAACTGAGTGTTTCCAAACTGCTCTATGAAAAGAAAGGTTAAACACTGTGAGTTGAACACACACGTACCAAAGTAGTTTCTGAGAATGATTCTGTCTAGTTTGCATACGAAGATATTTCCTTTTCTACCATTGGCCTCAAAGCTCTGAAATCTCCACTTGCAAATTCCACAAAAAGAGAGTTTCAAATCTGCTGTTTCTAAAGGAAAGTTCAACTCTGAGAGTTGAATACACACCAGAAAAAGCAGTTACTGAGAAGTCTTCTGTCTAGCATTATATGAAGAAATCCCATTTCCAACGAAGACTTCAAAGAGGTCCAAATATCCACTTGCAGATTCTGCAAAAAGAGTGTTTCGAAACAACTGTATGAAAAGAAAGGTTAAACACTGTGAGTTGAACGCACACATTGCAAAGCGGTTTCTGAGAATGATTCCGTCTAATTATTATACGAAGGTATTTCCTTTTCTATCACTGGCCTCAAAGCGCTTGATACCTCCACCTGAAAATTCCACAAAAAGAGTGTTTCCAATCTACTCTGTCTAAAGGAACGTTCAACTCTGTGAGTTGAATACACACACACAGAAAGAATTCACTGAGAATTCTTCTGTCTGGCATTACATGAAGAAATCCCGTTTCCAACGAAGGCCTCAAAGCAGGTCCAAATATCCACTTGCAGATTCTGCAAAAAGAGTGTTTCAAAACCGCTCCATTAAAAGGAATGTTGAACTCTGTGAGTTGAATGGAAACATCACAACTCAGTTGCTGAGAATGCTTCTGACTAGATTTTATGGTAAGATATTTCCTTTTCTACCGTAGGCTTCAATGCCCTCTAAATACACCCTTGCAAATTCTACAAAGAGACTGTTTCACAACTGCTCTATAGGAAGAAAGGTTCAACTCTGTGAGTTGAATGCAGAGATCACAACGTGGTTTCTGCGAATGATTCTTTGTAGTTTTTACATGAAGATATTTCGTTGTCAACCGTAGGGTTCAAAGCACTCAAAGTATTCACTTGGAACTTTTACAAAAAGAGTGTTAGAAAACTGCTCTTTCCAAAGTAAGGTTCAACTCTGTGAGTTGAATGCACACATAACAATCAAGAAGTTTCTGAGAATTCTTCTGTCCTGGTTTATATGAAAAAATCCCGTTTCCAACGAAGGCCTCAAAGACGTTTAAATATCCACTTGCAGACTTCACAAACAGAGGGTTTCCAAACTGCTCTATGAAAAGAAAGGTTAAACTCTGTGAGTTGAACGCACACATCACAAAGTAGCTTCTGAGAATGATACTGTCTAGTTTTTATACGAAGATATTTCCTTTCTACCATTGGCGTCAAAGCGCTAGAATTCTCCACTTGCAAATTCCACAAAAAGAGTGTTTCCAATCTGCTCTGTCTAAAGGAAGGTTCAACTCTGTGAGTTGAATACACACACACAAAGAAGGTACTGAGAATTCTTTTTTCAAGAAATTATAAGAAGAAATCCCGTTTCCAACGAAGGCCTCAAAGAGTTCCAAATATCCACTTGCACACTGCACAAACTAAGTCTTTCCAAACTGCTCTATGCAAAGAAATGTTCAACTCTGTGAGTTTAATACACACATCACAAAGCAGTTTCTGAGAATGATACTGTCTAGTTTTTATACGAAGATATTTCCTTTTGTACCATTGGCCTCATACTGCTAGAATTTTCCACTTGCAAATTCCACAAAAAGAGTGTTTCCAATCCGCTCTGTCTAAAGGAAGGTTCAACTCTCTGATTTGAATACATACATCCCAAAAGAAGTTACTGAGAATTCTTCTGTCTAGCATTATGTGAAGAAATCCCGTTTCCAACGAAAGCCTCAAAGAGGTCCAAATATCCAGTTGCAGAATTTACAAACTGACTGTTTCCAAACTCATCTATGAAAAGAAAGGTTAAACTCTGGGAGTTGAATGCACATATCACAAAGTAGTTCCTGAGAATGATTCTGTCTAGTTTTCATACGAAGATATTTCCTTTTCCACCAATGGCCTCAAAGTGCTTGAAATCTCCCCTTGCAAATTCCACAGACAAGTGTTTCAAATCTGCACTGTCTAAAGGAAGGTTCAACCCTGTGAGTTGAATACACACACACAGAAAAAAATTCACTGAGAATTCTATTGTCTATCATTACACCGAAGAAATCCCGTTTACTACGAAGGCCTCAAAGAGGTCCAAATATCCAGCTGCAGACATTACAAACTGAGTGTTTCCAAAGTGCTCTATGAAAAGAAGTGTTAAACACTGTGAGTTCAATGCACACATCCCAAAGCAGTTTCTGAGAATGATTCCGTCTATTTTTTCTACGAAGATATTTCCTTTTCTGCCGTTGGCCTCAAAGCGCTTGAAATCTCCACTTGCAAATTCCACAAAAAGAGAGTTTCAAATCTGCTCTGTCTAAAGGAAGGTTCAACTCTGTGAGTTGAATACACACCACAAAAAGAAGTTACTGAGAATTCTTCTGTCTAGCATTATATGAAAAATCCCGTTTCCAACGAAGGCCACAAAGAGGTCCAAATATCCACTTGCAGATTCTGCAAAAAGAGTGTTTCCAAACTGCTCTATGAAAAGAAACGTTAAACTCTGTGAGTTGAACGCAAACATCACAAAGTAGTTTCTGAGAATGACTCCGTCTAGTTTTTATACGAAGATATTTCCTTTCCTACCATTCACTTCAAAGCGCTTGAAGTCTCCCCCTGAAAATTCCACAAAAAGTGTTTCCAATCTGCTCCGCCTAAAGGAAGCTTCAACTCTGTGACTTGAATACCCACAACCCAAAGAAGTTACTGAGAATTCTTCTGTCTAGCATTATATGAAGAAATCCCGTTTCCAACGAAGGCCTCAAATACATCCAAATATCCAGTTGCTGACTTTACAAACTGAGTGTTTCCAAACTGCTCTATGAAAAGAAAGGTTAAACACTGTGAGTTGAACACACACGTACCAAAGTAGTTTCTGAGAATGATTCTGTCTAGTTTGCATACGAAGATATTTCCTTTTCTACCATTGGCCTCAAAGCTCTGAAATCTCCACTTGCAAATTCCACAAAAAGAGAGTTTCAAATCTGCTGTTTCTAAAGGAAAGTTCAACTCTGAGAGTTGAATACACACCAGAAAAAGCAGTTACTGAGAAGTCTTCTGTCTAGCATTATATGAAGAAATCCCATTTCCAACGAAGACTTCAAAGAGGTCCAAATATCCACTTGCAGATTCTGCAAAAAGAGTGTTTCGAAACAACTGTATGAAAAGAAAGGTTAAACACTGTGAGTTGAACGCACACATTGCAAAGCAGTTTCTGAGAATGATTCCGTCTAATTATTATACGAAGGTATTTCCTTTTCTATCATTGGCCTCAAAGCGCTTGATACCTCCACCAGAAAATTCCACAAAAAGAGTGTTTCCAATCTACTCTGTCTAAAGGAACGTTCAACTCTGTGAGTTGAATACACACACACAGAAAGAATTCACTGAGAATTCTTCTGTCTGGCATTATATGAAGAAATCCCGTTTCCAACGAAGGCCTCAAAGAGGTCCAAATATCCACTTGCAGATTCTGCAAAAAGAGTGTTTCAAAACCGCTCCATTAAAAGGAATGTTGAACTCTGTGAGTTGAATGCAAACATCACAACTCAGTTGCTGAGAATGCTTCTGACTAGATTTTATGGTAAGATATTTCCTTTTCTACCGTAGGCTTCAATGCCCTCTAAATACACCCTTGCAAATTCTACAAAGAGACTGTTTCATAACTGCTCTATAGGAAGAAAGGTTCAACTCTGTGAGTTGAATGCAGAGATCACAACGTGGTTTCTGTGAATGATTCTTTGTAGTTTTTACATGAAGATATTTCGTTGTCAACCGTAGGCTTCAAAGCACTCAAAGTATTCACTTGGAACTTTTACAAAAAGAGTGTTAGAAAACTGCTCTTTCCAAAGTAAGGTTCAACTCTGTGAGTTGAATGCACCCATAACAATCAAGAAATTTCTGAGAATTCTTCTGTCCTGGTTTATATGAAGAAATCCCGTTTCCAACGAAGGCCTCAAAGACGTTTAAATATCCACCTGCAGACTTCACAAACCGAGTGTTTCCAAACTGCTCTATGAAAAGAAAGGTTAAACTCTGTGAGTTGAACGCACACATCACAAAGTAGTTTCTGAGAATGATACTGTCTAGTTTTTATACGAAGATATTTCCTTTGTACCATTGGCGTCAAAGCGCTAGAATTCTCCACTTGCAAATTCCACAAAAAGAGTGTTTCCAATCTGCTCTGTCTAAAGGAAGGTTCAACTCTGTGAGTTGAATACACACACACAAAGAAGCTACTGAGAATTCTTTTTTCAAGAAATTATAAGAAGAAATCCCGTTTCCAACGAAGGCCTCAAAGAGTTCCAAATATCCACTTGCACACTGCACAAACTAAGTCTTTCCAAACTGCTCTATGCAAAGAAATGTTCAACTCTGTGAGTTTAATACACACATCACAAAGCAGTTTCTGAGAATGATACTGTCTAGTTTTTATACGAAGATATTTCCTTTTGTACCATTGGCCTCATACTGCTAGAATTTTCCACTTGCAAATTCCACAAAAAGAGGGTTTCCAATCCGCTCTGTCTAAAGGAAGGTTCAACTCTCTGATTTGAATACATACATCCCAAAAGAAGTTACTGAGAATTCTTCTGTCTAGCATTATGTGAAGAAATCCCGTTTCCAACGAAAGCCTCAAAGAGGTCCAAATATCCAGTTGCAGAATTTACAAACTGACTGTTTCCAAACTCATCTATGAAAAGAAAGGTTAAACTCTGGGAGTTGAATGCACATATCACAAAGTAGTTCCTGAGAATGATTCTGTCTAGTTTTCATACGAAGATATTTCCTTTTCCACCAATGGCCTCAAAGTGCTTGAAATCTCCCCTTGCAAATTCCACAGACAAGTGTTTCAAATCTGCACTGTCTAAAGGAAGGTTCAACCCTGTGAGTTGAATACACACACACAGAAAAAAATTCACTGAGAATTCTATTGTCTATCATTACACGAAGAAATCCCGTTTACTACGAAGGCCTCAAAGAGGTCCAAATATCCAGCTGCAGACATTACAAACTGAGTGTTTCCAAAGTGCTCTATGAAAAGAAATGTTAAACACTGTGAGTTCAATGCACACATCCCAAAGCAGTTTCTGAGAATGATTCCGTCTATTTTTTCTACGAAGATATTTCCTTTTCTGCCGTTGGCCTCAAAGCGCTTGAAATCTCCACTTGCAAATTCCACAAAAAGAGAGTTTCAAATCTGCTCTGTCTAAAGGAAGGTTCAACTCTGTGAGTTGAATACACACCACAAAAAGAAGTTACTGAGAATTCTTCTGTCTAGCATTATATGAAAAATCCCGTTTCCAACGAAGGCCACAAAGAGGTCCAAATATCCACTTGCAGATTCTGCAAAAAGAGTGTTTCCAAACTGCTCTATGAAAAGAAACGTTAAACTCTGTGAGTTGAACCGCAAACATCACAAAGTAGTTTCTGAGAATGACTCCGTCTAGTTTTTATACGAAGATATTTCCTTTCCTACCATTCACTTCAAAGCGCTTGAAGTCTCCCCCTGAAAATTCCACAAAAAGTGTTTCCAATCTGCTCCGCCTAAAGGAAGCTTCAACTCTGTGACTTGAATACCCACAACCCAAAGAAGTTACTGAGAATTCTTCTGTCTAGCACTATATGAAGAAATCCCGTTTCCAACGAAGGCCTCAAATACATCCAAATATCCAGTTGCTGACTTTACAAACTGAGTGTTTCCAAACTGCTCTATGAAAAGAAAGGTTAAACACTGTGAGTTGAACACACACGTACCAAAGTAGTTTCTGAGAATGATTCTGTCTAGTTTGCATACGAAGATATTTCCTTTTCTACCATTGGCCTCAAAGCTCTGAAATCTCCACTTGCAAATTCCACAAAAAGAGAGTTTCAAATCTGCTGTTTCTAAAGGAAAGTTCAACTCTGAGAGTTGAATACACACCAGAAAAAGCAGTTACTGAGAAGTCTTCTGTCTAGCATTATATGAAGAAATCCCATTTCCAACGAAGACTTCAAAGAGGTCCAAATATCCACTTGCAGATTCTGCAAAAAGAGTGTTTCGAAACAACTGTATGAAAAGAAAGGTTAAACACTGTGAGTTGAACGCACACATTGCAAAGCGGTTTCTGAGAATGATTCCGTCTAATTATTATACGAAGGTATTTCCTTTTCTATCATTGGCCTCAAAGCGCTTGATACCTCCACCTGAAAATTCCACAAAAAGAGTGTTTCCAATCTACTCTGTCTAAAGGAACGTTCAACTCTGTGAGTTGAATACACACACACAGAAAGAATTCACTGAGAATTCTTCTGTCTGGCATTACATGAAGAAATCCCGTTTCCAACGAAGGCCTCAAAGAGGTCCAAATATCCACTTGCAGATTCTGCAAAAAGAGTGTTTCAAAACCGCTCCATTAAAAGGAATGTTGAACTCTGTGAGTTGAATGCAAACATCACAACTCAGTTTCTGAGAATGCTTCTGACTAGATTTTATGGTAAGATATTTCCTTTTCTACCGTAGGCTTCAATGCCCTTTAAATACACCCTTGCAAATGCTACAAAGAGACTGTTTCATAACTGCTCTATAGGAAGAAAGGTTCAACTCTGTGAGTTGAATGCAGAGATCACAACGTGGTTTCTGCGAATGATTCTTTGTAGTTTTTACATGAAGATATTTCGTTGTCAACCGTAGGCTTCAAAGCACTCAAAGTATTCACTTGGAACTTTTACAAAAAGAGTGTTAGAAAACTGCTCTTTCCAAAGTAAGGTTCAACTCTGTGAGTTGAATGCACACATAACAATCAAGAAGTTTCTGAGAATTCTTCTGTCCTGGTTTATATGAAAAAATCCCGTTTCCAACGAAGGCCTCAAAGACGTTTAAATATCCACTTGCAGACTTCACAAACAGAGTGTTTCCAAACTGCTCTATGAAAAGAAAGTTTAAACTCTGTGAGTTTAACGCACACATCACAAAGTAGCTTCTGAGAATGATACTGTCTAGTTTTTATACGAAGATATTTCCTTTCTACCATTGGCGTCAAAGCGCTAGAATTCTCCACTTGCAAATTCCACAAAAAGAGTGTTTCCAATCTGCTCTGTCTAAAGGAAGGTTCAACTCTGTGAGTTGAATACACACACACAAAGAAGCTACTGAGAATTCTTTTGTCAAGAATTATAAGAAGAAATCCCGTTTCCAACGAAGGCCTCAAAGAGTTCCAAATATCCACTTGCACACTGCACAAACTAAGTCTTTCCAAACTGCTCTATGCAAAGAAATGTTCAACTCTGTGAGTTTAATACACACATCACAAAGCAGTTTCTGAGAATGATACTGTCTAGTTTTTATACGAAGATATTTCCTTTTGTACCATTGGCCTCATACTGCTAGAATTTTCCACTTGCAAATTCCACAAAAAGAGTGTTTCCAATCCGCTCTGTCTAAAGGAAGGTTCAACTCTCTGATTTGAATACATACATCCCAAAAGAAGTTACTGAGAATTCTTCTGTCTAGCATTATGTGAAGAAATCCCGTTTCCAACGAAAGCCTCAAAGCAGGTCCAAATATCCAGTTGCAGAATTTACAAACTGACTGTTTCCAAACTCATCTATGAAAAGAAAGGTTAAACTCTGTGAGTTGAATGCACATATCACAAAGTAGTTCCTGAGAATGATTCTGTCTAGTTTTTATACGAAGATATTTCCTTTTCCACCAATGGCCTCAAAGTGCTTGAAATCTCCCCTTGCAAATTCCACAGAAAAGTGTTTCAAATCTGCACTGTCTAAAGGAAGGTTCAACCCTGTGAGTTGAATACACACACACAGAAAAAAATTCACTGAGAATTCTATTGTCTATCATTACACGAAGAAATCCCGTTTACTACGAAGGCCTCAAAGAGGTCCAAATATCCAGCTGCAGACATTACAAACTGAGTGTTTCCAAAGTGCTCTATGAAAAGAAGTGTTAAACACTGTGAGTTCAATGCACACATCCCAAAGCAGTTTCTGAGAATGATTCCGTCTATTTTTTCTACGAAGATATTTCCTTTTCTACCGTTGGCCTCAAATCGCCTGAAATCTCCACTTGCAAATTCCACGAAAAGAGAGTTTCAAATCTGCTCTGTCTAAAGGAAGGTTCCACTCTGTGAGTTGAATACACACCACAAAAAGAAGTTACTGAGAATTCTTCTGTCTAGCATTATATGAAAAATCCCGTTTCCAACGAAGGCCACAAAGAGGTCCAAATATCCACTTGCAGATTCTGCAAAAAGAGTGTTTCCAAACTGCTCTATGAAAAGAAACGTTAAACTCTGTGAGTTGAACGCAAACATCACAAAGTAGTTTCTGAGAATGACTCCGTCTAGTTTTTATACGAAGATATTTCCTTTCCTACCATTCACTTCAAAGCGCTTGAAGTCTCCCCCTGAAAATTCCACAAAAAGTGTTTCCAATCTGCTCCGCCTAAAGGAAGCTTCAACTCTGTGACTTGAATACCCACAACCCAAAGAAGTTACTGAGAATTCTTCTGTCTAGCATTATATGAAGAAATCCCGTTTCCAACGAAGGCCTCAAATACATCCAAATATCCAGTTGCTGACTTTACAAACTGAGTGTTTCCAAACTGCTCTATGAAAAGAAAGGTTAAACACTGTGAGTTGAACACACACGTACCAAAGTAGTTTCTGAGAATGATTCTGTCTCGTTTGCATACGAAGATATTTCCTTTTCTACCATTGGCCTCAAAGCTTTGAAATCTCCACTTGCAAATTCCACAAAATGAGAGTTTCAAATCTGCTGTTTCTAAAGGAAAGTTCAACTCTGAGAGTTGAATACACACCAGAAAAAGCAGTTACTGAGAATTCTTCTGTCTAGCATTATATGAAGAAATCCCATTTCCAACGAAGACTTCAAAGAGGTCCAAATATCCACTTGCAGATTCTGCAAAAAGAGTGTTTCGAAACAACTGTATGAAAAGAAAGGTTAAACGCTGTGAGTTGAAGGCACACATTGCAAAGCAGTTTCTGAGAATGATTCCGTCTAATTATTATACGAAGGTATTTCCTTTTCTATCATGGGCCTCAAAGCGCTTGATACCTCCACCTGAAAATTCCACAAAAAGAGTGTTTCCAATCTACTCTGTCTAAAGGAACGTTCAACTCTCTGAGTTGAATACACACACACAGAAAGAATTCACTGAGAGTTCTTCTGTCTGGCATTACATGAAGAAATCCCGTTTCCAACGAAGGCCTCAAAGAGGTCCAAATATCCACTTGCAGATTCTGCAAAAAGAGTGTTTCAAAACCGCTCCATGAAAAGGAATGTTGAACTCTGTGAGTTGAATGCAAACATCACAACTCAGTTTCTGAGAATGCTTCTGACTAGATTTTATGGTCAGATATTTCCTTTTCTACCGTAGGCTTCAATGCCCTCTAAATACACCCTTGCAAATTCTACAAAGAGACTGTTTAATAACTGCTCTATAGGAAGAAAGGTTGAACTCTGTGAGTTGAATGCAGAGATCACAACGTGGTTTCTGCGAATGATTCTTTGTAGTTTTTACATGAAGATATTTCGTTGTCTACCGTAGGCTTCAAAGCACTCAAAATATTCACTTGGAACTTTTACAAAAACAGTGTTAGAAAACTGCTCTTTCCAAAGTAAGGTTCAACTCTGTGAGTTGAATGCACACATAACAAACAAGAAGTTTCTGAGAATTCTTCTGTCCTGGTTTATATGAAGAAATCCCGTTTCCAACGAAGGCCTCAAAGACGTTTAAATATCCACTTGCACACTTCACAAACAGAGTGTTTCCAAACTGCTCTATGAAAAGAAAGGGTAAACACTGTGAGTTGAACGCACACATCACAAAGTAGTTTCTGAGAATGATACTGTCTAGTTTTTATACGAAGATATTTCCTTTTGTACCACTGGCCTCATACTGCTAGAATTTTCCACTTGCAAATTCCACAAAAAGAGTGTTTCCAATCTGCTCTGTCTAAAGGAAGGTTCAACTCTGTGAGTTGAGTACACACACACAAAGAAGCTACTGAGAATTCTTTTGTCAAGAATTATAAGAAGAAATCCCCTTTCCAACCAAGGCCTCAAAGAGTTCCAAATATCCACTTGCACACTGCACAAACTAAGTCTTTCCATACTGCTCTATGCAAAGAAATGTTCAACTCTGTGAGTTTAATACACACATCACAAAGCAGTTTCTGAGAATGATACTGTCTAGTTTTTATACGAAGATATTTCCTTTTGTACCATTGGCCTCATACTGCTAGAATTTTCCACTTGCAAATTCCACAAAAAGAGTGTTTCCAATCCGCTCTGTCTAAAGGAAGGTTCAACTCTCTGATTTGAATACATACATCCCAAAAGAAGTTACTGAGAATTCTTCTGTCTAGCATTAAGTGAAGAAATCCCGTTTCCAACGAAAGCCTCAAAGAGGTCCAAATATCCAGTTGCAGAATTTCCAAACTGACTGTTTCCAAACTCATCTATGAAAAGAAAGGTTAAAACCTGTGAGTTGAATGCACATATCACAAAGTAGTTCCTGAGAATGATTCTGTCTAGTTTTTATACGAAGATATTTCCTTTTCCACCAATGGCCTCAAAGTGCTTGAAATCTCCCCTTACAAATTCCACAGAAAAGTGTTTCAAATCTGCACTGTCTGAAGGAAGGTTCAACCCTGTGAGTTGAATACACACACACAGAAAAAAATTCACTGAGAATTCTATTGTCTATCATTACACGAAGAAATCCCGTTTACTACGAAGGCCTCAAAGAGGTCCAAATATCCAGCTGCAGACATTACAAACTGAGTGTTTCCAAAGTGCTCTATGAAAAGAAGTGTTAAACACTGTGAGTTCAATGCACACATCCCAAAGCAGTTTCTGAGAATGATTCCGTCTATTTTTTCTACGAAGATATTTCCTTTTCTACCGTTGGCCTCAAAGTGCTTGAAATCTACACTTGCAAATTCCACAAAAAGAGAGTTTCAAATCTGCTCTGTCTAAAGGAAGGTTCAACTCTGTGAGTTGAATACACACCACAAAAAGAAGTTACTGAGAATTCTTCTGTCTAGCATTATATGAAAAATCCCGTTTCCAACGAAGGCCACAAAGAGGTCCAAATATCCACTTGCAGATTCTGCAAAAAGAGTGTTTCCAAACTGCTCTATGAAAAGAAACGTTAAACTCTGTGAGTTGAACGCAAACATCACAAAGTAGTTTCTGAGAATGACTCCGTCTAGTTTTTATACGAAGATATTTCCTTTCCTACCATTCACTTCAAATCGCTTGAAGTCTCCCCCTGAAAATTCCACAAAAAGTGTTTCCAATCTGCTCCGCCTAAAGGAAGCTTCAACTCTGTGACTTGAATACCCACAACCCAAAGAAGTTACTGAGAATTCTTCTGTCTAGCATTATATGAAGAAATCCCGTTTCCAACGAAGGCCTCAAATACATCCAAATATCCAGTTGCTGACTTTACAAACTGAGTGTTTCCAAACTGCTCTATGAAAAGAAAGGTTAAACACTGTGAGTTGAACACACACGTACCAAAGTAGTTTCTGAGAATGATTCTGTCTAGTTTGCATACGAAGATATTTCCTTTTCTACCATTGGCCTCAAAGCTCTGAAATCTCCACTTGCAAATTCCACAAAAAGAGAGTTTCAAATCTGCTGTTTCTAAAGGAAAGTTCAACTCTGAGAGTTGAATACACACCAGAAAAAGCAGTTACTGAGAAGTCTTCTGTCTAGCATTATATGAAGAAATCCCATTTCCAACGAAGACTTCAAAGAGGTCCAAATATCCACTTGCAGATTCTGCAAAAAGAGTGTTTCGAAACAACTGTATGAAAAGAAAGGTTAAACACTGTGAGTTGAACGCACACATTGCAAAGCAGTTTCTGAGAATGATTCCGTCTAATTATTATACGAAGGTATTTCCTTTTCTATCATTGGCCTCAAAGCGCTTGATACCTCCACCTGAAAATTCCACAAAAAGAGTGTTTCCAATCTACTCTGTCTAAAGGAACGTTCAACTCTGTGAGTTGAATACACACACACAGAAAGAATTCACTGAGAATTCTTCTGTCTGGCATTACATGAAGAAATCCCGTTTCCAACGAAGGCCTCAAAGAGGTCCAAATATCCACTTGCAGATTCTGCAAAAAGAGTGTTTCAAAACCGCTCCATTAAAAGGAATGTTGAACTCTGTGAGTTGAATGCAAACATCACAACTCAGTTGCTGAGAATGCTTCTGACTAGATTTTATGGTAAGATATTTCCTTTTCTACCGTAGGCTTCAATGCCCTCTAAATACACCCTTGCAAATTCTACAAAGAGACTGTTTCATAACTGCTCTATAGGAAGAAAGGTTCAACTCTGTGAGTTGAATGCAGAGATCACAACGTGGTTTCTGCGAATGATTCTTTGTAGTTTTTACATGAAGATATTTCGTTGTCAACCGCAGGCTTCAAAGCACTCAAAGTATTCACTTGGAACTTTTACAAAAAGAGTGTTAGAAAACTGCTCTTTCCAAAGTAAGGTTCAACTCTGTGAGTTGAATGCACACATAACAATGAAGAAGTTTCTGAGAATTCTTCTGTCCTGGTTTATATGAAAAAATCCCGTTTCCAACGAAGGCCTCAAAGACGTTTAAATATCCACTTGCAGACTTCACAAACAGAGTGTTTCCAAACTGCTCTATGAAAAGAAAGGTTAAACTCTGTGAGTTGAACGCACACATCACAAAGTAGTTTCTGAGAATGATACTGTCTAGTTTTTATACGAAGATATTTCCTTTCTACCATTGGGGTCAAAGCGATAGAATTCTCCACTTGCAAATTCCACAAAAAGAGTGTTTCCAATCTGCTCTGTCTAAAGGAAGGTTCAACTCTGTGAGTTGAATACACACACACAAAGAAGCTACTGAGAATTCTTTTGTCAAGAATTATAAGAAGAAATCCCGTTTCCAACGAAGGCCTCAAAGAGTTCCAAATATCCACTTGCACACTGCACAAACTAAGTCTTTCCAAACTGCTCTATGCAAAGAAATGTTCAACTCTGTGAGTTTAATACACACATCACAAAGCAGTTTCTGAGAATGATACTGTCTAGTTTTTATACGAAGATATTTCCTTTTGTACCATTGGCCTCATACTGCTAGAATTTTCCACTTGCAAATTCCACAAAAAGAGTGTTTCCAATCCGCTCTGTCTAAAGGAAGGTTCAACTCTCTGATTTGAATACATACATCCCAAAAGAAGTTACTGAGAATTCTTCTGTCTAGCATTATGTGAAGAAATCCCGTTTCCAACGAAAGCCTCAAAGAGGTCCAAATATCCAGTGGCAGAATTTACAAACTGACTGTTTCCAAACTCATCTATGAAAAGAAAGGTTAAACTCTGTGAGTTGAATGCACATATCACAAAGTAGTTCCTGAGAATGATTCTGTCTAGTTTTTATACGAAGATATTTCCTTTTCCACCAATGGCCTCAAAGTGCTTGAAATCTCCCCTTGCAAATTCCACAGACAAGTGTCTCAAATCTGCACTGTCTAAAGGAAGGTTCAACCCTGTGAGTTGAATACACACACACAGAAAAAATTCACTGAGAATTCTATTGTCTATCATTACACGAAGAAATCCCGTTTACTACGAAGGCCTCAAAGAGGTCCAAATATCCAGCTGCAGACATTACAAACTGAGTGTTTCCAAAGTGCTCTATGAAAAGAAGTGTTAAACACTGTGAGTTCAATGCACACATCCCAAAGCAGTTTCTGAGAATGATTCCGTCTATTTTTTCTACGAAGATATTTCCTTTTCTACCGTTGGCCTCAAAGCGCTTGAAATCTCCACTTGCAAATTCCACAAAAAGAGAGTTTCAAATCTGCTCTGTCTAAAGGAAGGTTCAACTCTGTGAGTTGAATACACACCACAAAAAGAAGTTACTGAGAATTCTTCTGTCTAGCATTATATGAAAAATCCCGTTTCCAACGAAGGCCACAAAGAGGTCCAAATATCCACTTGCAGATTCTGCAAAAAGAGTGTTTCCAAACTGCTCTATGAAAAGAAACGTTAAACTCTGTGAGTTGAACGCAAACATCACAAAGTAGTTTCTGAGAATGACTCCGTCTAGTTTTTATACGAAGATATTTCCTTTCCTACCATTCACTTCAAAGCGCTTGAAGTCTCCCCCTGAAAATTCCACAAAAAGTGTTTCCAATCTGCTCCGCCTAAAGGAAGCTTCAACTCTGTGAGTTGAATACCCACAACCCAAAGAAGTTACTGAGAATTCTTCTGTCTAGCATTATATGAAGAAATCCCGTTTCCAACGAAGGCCTCAAATACATCCAAATATCCAGTTGCTGACTTTACAAACTGAGTGTTTCCAAACTGCTCTATGAAAAGAAAGGTTAAACACTGTGAGTTGAACACACACGTACCAAAGTAGTTTCTGAGAATGATTCTGTCTAGTTTGCATACGAAGATATTTCCTTTTCTACCATTGGCCTCAAAGCTCTGAAATCTCCACTTGCAAATTCCACAAAAAGAGAGTTTCAAATCTGCTGTTTCTAAAGGAAAGTTCAACTCTGAGAGTTGAATACACACCAGAAAAAGCAGTTACTGAGAAGTCTTCTGTCTAGCATTATATGAAGAAATCCCATTTCCAACGAAGACTTCAAAGAGGTCCAAATATCCACTTGCAGATTCTGCAAAAAGAGTGTTTCGAAACAACTGTATGAAAAGAAAGGTTAAACACTGTGAGTTGAACGCACACATTGCAAAGCAGTTTCTGAGAATGATTCCGTCTAATTATTATACGAAGGTATTTCCTTTTCTATCATTGGCCTCAAAGCGCTTGATACCTCCACCTGAAAATTCCACAAAAAGAGTGTTTCCAATCTACTCTGTCTAAAGGAACGTTCAACTCTGTGAGTTGAATACACACACACAGAAAGAATTCACTGAGAATTCTTCTGTCTGGCATTACATGAAGAAATCCCGTTTCCAACGAAGGCCTCAAAGAGGTCCAAATATCCACTTGCAGATTCTGCAAAAAGAGTGTTTCAAAACCGCTCCATTAAAAGGAATGTTGAACTCTGTGAGTTGAATGCAAACATCACAACTCAGTTGCTGAGAATGCTTCTGACTAGATTTTATGGTAAGATATTTCCTTTTCTACCGTAGGCTTCAATGCCCTCTAAATACACCCTTGCAAATTCTACAAAGAGACTGTTTCATAACTGCTCTATAGGAAGAAAGGTTCAACTCTGTGAGTTGAATGCAGAGATCACAACGTGGTTTCTGCGAATGATTCTTTGTAGTTTTTACATGAAGATATTTCGTTGTCAACCGTAGGCTTCAAAGCACTCAAAGTATTCACTTGGAACTTTTACAAAAAGAGTGTTAGAAAACTGCTCTTTCCAAAGTAAGGTTCAACTCTGTGAGTTGAATGCACACATAACAATCAAGAAGTTTCTGAGAATTCTTCTGTCCTGGTTTATATGAACAAATCCCGTTTCCAACGAAGGCCTCAAAGATGTTTAAATATCCACTTGCAGACTTCACAAACAGAGTGTTTCCAAACTGCTCTATGAAAAGAAAGGTTAAACTCTGTGAGTTGAACGCACACATCACAAAGTAGTTTCTGAGAATGATACTGTCTAGTTTTTATACGAAGATATTTCCTTTCTACCATTGGCGTCAAAGCGCTAGAATTCTCCACTTGCAAATTCCACAAAAAGAGTGTTTCCAATCTGCTCTGTCTAAAGGAAGGTTCAACTCTGTGAGTTGAATACACACACACAAAGAAGCTACTGAGAATTCTTTTGTCAAGCAATTATAAGAAGAAATCCCGTTTCCAACCAAGGCCTCAAAGAGTTCCAAATATCCACTTGCACACTGCACAAACTAAGTCTTTCCATACTGCTCTATGCAAAGAAATGTTCAAATCTGTGAGTTTAATACACACATCACAAAGCAGTTTCTGAGAATGATACTGTCTAGTTTTTATACGAAGATATTTCCTTTTGTACCATTGGCCTCATACTGCTAGAATTTTCCACTTGCAAATTCCACAAAAAGAGTGTTTCCAATCCGCTCTGTCTAAAGGAAGGTTCAACTCTCTGATTTGAATACATACATCCCAAAAGAAGTTACTGAGAATTCTTCTGTCTAGCATTATGTGAAGAAATCCCGTTTCCAACGAAAGCCTCAAAGAGGCCCAAATATCCAGTTGCAGCATTTACAAACTGACTGTTTCCAAACTCATCTATGAAAAGAAAGGTTAAACTCTGTGAGTTGAATGCACATATCACAAAGTAGTTCCTGAGAATGATTTCTGTCTAGTTTTCATACGAAGATATTTCCTTTTCCACCAATGGCCTCAAAGTGCTTGAAATCTCCCCTTGCAAATTCCACAGACAAGTGTCTCAAATCTGCACTGTCTAAAGGAAGGTTCAACCCTGTGAGTTGAATACACACACACAGAAAAAAATTCACTGAGAAGTCTATTGTCTATCATTACCCGAAGAAATCCCGTTTACTACGAAGGCCTCAAAGAGGTCCAAATATCCAGCTGCAGACATTCCAAACTGAGTGTTTCCAAAGTGCTCTATGAAAAGAAGTGTTAAACACTGTGAGTTCAATGCACACATCCCAAAGCAGTTTCTGAGAATGATTCCGTCTATTTTTTCTACGAAGATATTTCCTTTTCTACCGTTGGCCTCAAAGCGCTTGAAATCTCCACTTGCAAATTCCACAAAAAGAGAGTTTCAAATCTGCTCTGTCTAAAGGAAGGTTCAACTCTGTGAGTTGAATACACACCACAAAAAGAAGTTACTGAGAATTCTTCTGTCTAGCATTATATGAAAAATCCCGTTTCCAACGAAGGCCACAAAGAGGTCCAAATATCCACTTGCAGATTCTGCAAAAAGAGTGTTTCCAAACTGCTCTATGAAAAGAAACGTCAAACTCTGTGAGTTGAACGCAAACATCACAAAGTAGTTTCTGAGAATGACTCCGTCTAGTTTTTATACGAAGATATTTCCTTTTCTACCGTTGGCCTCAAAGCGCTTGAAGTCTCCGCCTGAAAATTCCACAAAAAGTGTTTCCAATCTGCTCCGCCTAAAGGAAGCTTCAACTCTGTGAGTTGAATACCCACAACACAAAGAAGTTACTGAGAATTCTTCTGTCTCGCATTATATGAAGAAATCCCGTTTCCAACGAAGGCCTCAAGTACATCAAAATATCCAGTTGCTGACTTTACAAACTGAGTGTTTCCAAAGTGCTCTAGGAAAAGAAGTGTTAAACACTGTGAGTTCAATGCACACATCCCAAAGAAGTTTCTGAGAATGATTCCGTCTATTTTTTCTACGAAGATATTTCCTTTTCTACCGTTGGCCTCAAAGCGCTTGAAATCTCAACTTGCAAATTCCACAAAAAGAGAGTTTCAAATCTGCTCTGTCTAAAGGAAGGTTCCACTCTGTGAGTTGAATACACACCACAAAAAGAAGTTACTGAGAATTCTTCTGTCTAGCATTATATGAAAAATCCCGTTTCCAACGAAGGCCACAAAGAGGTCCAAATATCCACTTGCAGATTCTGCAAAAAGAGTGTTTCCAAACTGCTCTATGAAAAGAAACGTTAAACTCTGTGAGTTGAACGCAAACATCACAAAGTAGTTTCTGAGAATGACTCCGTCTAGTTTTTATACGAAGATATTTCCTTTCCTACCATTCACTTCAAAGCGCTTGAAGTCTCCCCCTGAAAATTCCACAAAAAGTGTTTCCAATCTGCTCCGCCTAAAGGAAGCTTCAACTCTGTGAGTTGAATACCCACAACCCAAAGAAGTTACTGAGAATTCTTCTGTCTAGCATTATATGAAGAAATCCCGTTTCCAACGAAGGCCTCAAATACATCCAAATATCCAGTTGCTGACTTTACAAACTGAGTGTTTCCAAACTGCTCTATGAAAAGAAAGGTTAAACACTGTGAGTTGAACACACACGTACCAAAGTAGTTTCTGAGAATGATTCTGTCTAGTTTGCATACGAAGATATTTCCTTTTCTACCATTGGCCTCAAAGCTCTGAAATCTCCACTTGCAAATTCCACAAAAAGAGAGTTTCAAATCTGCTGTTTCTAAAGGAAAGTTCAACTCTGAGAGTTGAATACACACCAGAAAAAGCAGTTACTGAGAAGTCTTCTGTCTAGCATTATATGAAGAAATCCCATTTCCAACGAAGACTTCAAAGAGGTCCAAATATCCACTTGCAGATTCTGCAAAAAGAGTGTTTCGAAACAACTGTATGAAAAGAAAGGTTAAACACTGTGAGTTGAACGCACACATTGCAAAGCGGTTTCTGAGAATGATTCCGTCTAATTATTATACGAAGGTATTTCCTTTTCTATCATTGGCCTCAAAGCGCTTGATACCTCCACCTGAAAATTCCACAAAAAGAGTGTTTCCAATCTACTCTGTCTAAAGGAACGTTCAACTCTGTGAGTTGAATACACACACACAGAAAGAATTCACTGAGAATTCTTCTGTCTGGCATTACATGAAGAAATCCCGTTTCCAACGAAGACCTCAAAGAGGTCCAAATATCCACTTGCAGATTCTGCAAAAAGAGTGTTTCAAAACCGCTCCATTAAAAGAAATGTTGAACTCTGTGAGTTGAATGCAAACATCACAACTCAGTTGCTGAGAATGCTTCTGACTAGATTTTATGGTAAGATATTTCCTTTTCTACCGTAGGCTTCAATGCCCTCTAAATACACCCTTGCAAATTCTACAAAGAGACTGTTTCATAACTGCTCTATAGGAAGAAAGGTTGAACTCTGTGAGTTGACTGCAGAGATCACAACGTGGTTTCTGCGAATGATTCTTTGTAGTTTTTACATGAAGATATTTCGTTGTCAACCGTAGGCTTCAAAGCACTCAAAGTATTCACTTGGAACTTTTACAAAAAGAGTGTTAGAAAACTGCTCTTTCCAAAGTAAGGTTCAACTCTGTGAGTTGAATGCACACATAACAATCAAGAAGTTTCTGAGAATTCTTCTGTCCTGGTTTATATGAAAAAATCCCGTTTCCAACGAAGGCCTCAAAGACGTTTAAATATCCACTTGCAGACTTCACAAACAGAGGGTTTCCAAACTGCTCTATGAAAAGAAAGGTTAAACTCTGTGAGTTGAACGCACACATCACAAAGTAGCTTCTGAGAATGATACTGTCTAGTTTTTATACGAAGATATTTCCTTTTGTACCATTGGCCTCAAATCGCTAGAATTCTCCACTTGCAAATTCCACAAAAAGAGTGTTTCCAATCTGCTCTGTCTAAAGGAAGGTTCAACTCTGTGAGTTGAGTACACACACACAAAGAAGCTACTGAGAATTCTTTTGTCAAGAATTATAAGAAATCCCGTTTCCAACGAAAGCCTCAAAGAGTTCCAAGTATACACTTGCACACTGTACAAACTAAGTCTTTCCAAACAGTTCTATGAAAAGAAATGTTCAACTCTGTGAGTTTAATACACACATCACAAAGCAGTTTCTGAGAATGATTCCGTCTAGTTTTTATACGAAGATAGCCTTTTCTACCATTGGCCTCAAGGCTCTTGAAATCTCCACCTGAAAATTCCACAAAAAGCGTGTTTTCAATCTGCTCTGTCTAAAGGAAGGTTCAACTCTCTGAGTTGAATACATACATCCCAAAAGAAGTTACTGAGAATTCTTCTGTCTAGCATTATGTGAAGAAATCCCGTTTCCAACGAAAGCCTCAAAGAGGTCCAAATATCCAGTTGCAGAATTCACAAACTGACTGTTTCCAAACTCATCTATGAAAAGAAAGGTTAAACTCTGTGAGTTGAATGCACATATCACAAAGTAGTTCCTGAGAATGATTCTGTCTAGTTTTTATACGAAGATATTTCCTTTTCCACCAATGACCTCAAAGTGCTTGAAATCTCCCCTTGCAAATTCCACAGACAAGTGTTGCAAATCTGCACTGTCTAAAGGAAGGTTCAACCCTGTGAGTTGAATACACACACACAGAAAAAAATTCACTGAGAATTCTATTGTCTATCATTACACGAAGAAATCCCGTTTACTACGAAGGCCTCAAAGAGGTCCAAATAACCAGCTGCAGACATTACAAACTGAGTGTTTCCAAAGTGCTCTATGAAAAGAAGTGTTAAACACTGTGAGTTCAATGCACACATCCCAAAGCAGTTTCTGAGAATGATTCCGTCTATTTTTTCTACGAAGATATTTCCTTTTCTACCGTTGGCCTCAAAGCGCTTGAAATCTCCACTTGCAAATTCCACAAAAAGAGAGTTTCAAATCTGCTCTGTCTAAAGGAAGGTTCAACTCTGTGAGTTGAATACACACCACAAAAAGAAGTTACTGAGAATTCTTCTGTCTAGCATTATATGAAAAATCCCGTTTCCAACGAAGGCCACAAAGAGGTCCAAATATCCACTTGCAGATTCTGCAAAAAGAGTGTTTCCAAACTGCTCTATGAAAAGAAACGTTAAACTCTGTGAGTTGAACGCAAACATCACAAAGTAGTTTCTGAGAATGACTCCGTCTAGTTTTTATACGAAGATATTTCCTTTTCTACCATTCACTTCAAAGCGCTTGAAGTCTCCCCCTGAAAATTCCACAAAAAGTGTTTCCAATCTGCTCCGCCTAAAGGAAGCTTCAACTCTGTGAGTTGAATACCCACAACCCAAAGAAGTTACTGAGAATTCTTCTGTCTAGCACTATATGAAGAAATCCCGTTTCCAACGAAGGCCTCAAATACATCCAAATATCCAGTTGCTGACTTTACAAACTGAGTGTTTCCAAACTGCTCTATGAAAAGAAAGGTTAAACACTGTGAGTTGAACACACACGTACCAAAGTAGTTTCTGAGAATGATTCTGTCTAGTTTGCATACGAAGATATTTCCTTTTCTACCATTGGCCTCAAAGCTTTGAAATCTCCACTTGCAAATTCCACAAAAAGAGAGTTTCAACTCTGCTGTTTCTAAAGGAAAGTTCAACTCTGAGAGTTGAATACACACCAGAAAAAGCAGTTACTGAGAAGTCTTCTGTCTAGCATTATATGAAGAAATCCCATTTCCAACGAAGACTTCAAAGAGGTCCAAATATCCACTTGCAGATTCTGCAAAAAGAGTGTTTCGAAACAACTGTATGAAAAGAAAGGTTAAACACTGTGAGTTGAACGCACACATTGCAAAGCAGTTTCTGAGAATGATTCCGTCTAATTATTATACGAAGGTATTTCCTTTTCTATCATTGGCCTCAAAGCGCTTGATACCTCCACCTGAAAATTCCACAAAAAGAGTGTTTCCAATCTACTCTGTCTAAAGGAACGTTCAACTCTGTGAGTTGAATACACACACACAGAAAGAATTCACTGAGAATTCTTCTGTCTGGCATTACATGAAGAAATCCCGTTTCCAACGAAGGCCTCAAAGAGGTCCAAATATCCACTTGCAGATTCTGCAAAAAGAGTGTTTCAAAACCGCTCCATTAAAAGGAATGTTGAACTCTGTGAGTTGAATGCAAACATCACAACTCAGTTTCTGAGAATGCTTCTGACTAGATTTTATGGTAAGATATTTCCTTTTCTACCGTAGGCTTCAATGCCCTCTAAATACACCCTTGCAAATTCTACAAAGAGACTGTTTCATAACTGCTCTATAGGAAGAAAGGTTGAACTCTGTGAGTTGACTGCAGAGATCACAACGTGGTTTCTGCGAATGATTCTTTGTAGTTTTTACATGAAGATATTTCGTTGTCAACCGTAGGCTTCAAAGCACTCAAAGTATTCACTTGGAACTTTTACAAAAAGAGTGTTAGAAAACTGCTCTTTCCAAAGTAAGGTTCAACTCTGTGAGTTGAATGCACACATAACAATCAAGAAGTTTCTGAGAATTCTTCTGTCCTGGTTTATATGAAAAAATCCCGTTTCCAACGAAGGCCTCAAAGACGTTTAAATATCCACTTGCAGACTTCACAAACAGAGGGTTTCCAAACTGCTCTATGAAAAGAAAGGTTAAACTCTGTGAGTTGAACGCACACATCACAAAGTAGCTTCTGAGAATGATACTGTCTAGTTTTTATACGAAGATATTTCCTTTCTACCATTGGCGTCAAAGCGCTAGAATTCTCCACTTGCAAATTCCACAAAAAGAGTGTTTCCAATCTGCTCTGTCTAAAGGAAGGTTCACCTCTGTGAGTTGAATACACACACACAAAGAAGCTACTGAGAATTCTTTTGTCAAGAATGATAAGAAGAAATCCCGTTTCCAACGAAGGCCTCAAAGAGTTCCAAATATCCACTTGCACACTGCACAAACTGAGTCTTTCCAAACTGCTCTATGCAAAGAAATGTTCAACTCTGTGAGTTTAATACACACATCACAAAGCAGTTTCTGAGAATGATACTGTCTAGTTTTTATACGAAGATATTTCCTTTTGTACCATTGGCCTCATACTGCTAGAATTTTCCACTTGCAAATTCCACAAAAAGAGTGTTTCCAATCCGCTCTGTCTAAAGGAAGGTTCAACTCTCTGATTTGAATACATACATCCCAAAAGAAGTTACTGAGAATTCTTCTGTCTAGCATTATGTGAAGAAATCCCGTTTCCAACGAAAGCCTCAAAGAGGTCCAAATATCCAGTTGCAGAATTTACAAACTGACTGTTTCCAAACTCATCTATGAAAAGAAAGGTTAAACTCTGGGAGTTGAATGCACATATCACAAAGTAGTTCCTGAGAATGATTCTGTCTAGTTTTTATACGAAGATATTTCCTTTTCCACCAATGGCCTCAAAGTGCTTCAAATCTCCCCTTGCAAATTCCACAGACAAGTGTTTCAAATCTACACTGTCTAAAGGAAGGTTCAACCCTGTGAGTTGAATACACACACACAGAAAAAAATTCACTGAGAATTCTACTGTCTATCATTACACGAAGAAATCCCGTTTACTACGAAGGCCTCAAAGAGGTCCAAATATCCAGCTGCAGACATTACAAACTGAGTGTTTCCAAAGTGCTCTATGAAAAGAAGTGTTAAACACTGTGAGTTCAATGCACACATCCCAAAGCAGTTTCTGAGAATGATTCCGTCTATTTTTTCTACGAAGATATTTCCTTTTCTGCCGTTGGCCTCAAAGCGCTTGAAATCTCCACTTGCAAATTCCACAAAAAGAGAGTTTCAAATCTGCTCTGTCTAAAGGAAGGTTCAACTCTGTGAGTTGAATACACACCACAAAAAGAAGTTACTGAGAATTCTTCTGTCTAGCATTATATGAAAAATCCCGTTTCCAACGAAGGCCACAAAGAGGTCCAAATATCCACTTGCAGATTCTGCAAAAAGAGTGTTTCCAAACTGCTCTATGAAAAGAAACGTTAAACTCTGTGAGTTGAACGCAAACATCACAAAGTAGTTTCTGAGAATGACTCCGTCTAGTTTTTATACGAAGATATTTCCTTTCCTACCATTCACTTCAAAGCGCTTGAAGTCTCCCCCTGAAAATTCCACAAAAAGTGTTTCCAATCTGCTCCGCCTAAAGGAAGCTTCAACTCTGTGACTTGAATACCCACAACCCAAAGAAGTTACTGAGAATTCTTCTGTCTAGCATTATATGAAGAAATCCCGTTTCCAACGAAGGCCTCAAATACATCCAAATATCCAGTTGCTGACTTTACAAACTGAGTGTTTCCAAACTGCTCTATGAAAAGAAAGGTTAAACACTGTGAGTTGAACACACACGTACCAAAGTAGTTTCTGAGAATGATTCTGTCTAGTTTGCATACGAAGATATTTCCTTTTCTACCATTGGCCTCAAAGCTCTGAAATCTCCACTTGCAAATTCCACAAAAAGAGAGTTTCAAATCTGCTGTTTCTAAAGGAAAGTTCAACTCTGAGAGTTGAATACACACCAGAAAAAGCAGTTACTGAGAAGTCTTCTGTCTAGCATTATATGAAGAAATCCCATTTCCAACGAAGACTTCAAAGAGGTCCAAATATCCACTTGCAGATTCTGCAAAAAGAGTGTTTCGAAACAACTGTATGAAAAGAAAGGTTAAACACTGTGAGTTGAACGCACACATTGCAAAGCAGTTTCTGAGAATGATTCCGTCTAATTATTATACGAAGGTATTTCCTTTTCTATCATTGGCCTCAAAGCGCTTGATACATCCACCTGAAAATTCCACAAAAAGAGTGTTTCCAATCTACTCTGTCTAAAGGAACGTTCAACTCTGTGAGTTGAATACACACACACAGAAAGAATTCACTGAGAATTCTTCTGTCTGGCATTACATGAAGAAATCCCGTTTCCAACGAAGGCCTCAAAGAGGTCCAAATATCCACTTGCAGATTCTGCAAAAAGAGTGTTTCAAAACCGCTCCATTAAAAGGAATGTTGAACTCTGTGAGTTGAATGCAAACATCACAACTCAGTTGCTGAGAATGCTTCTGACTAGATTTTATGGTAAGATATTTCCTTTTCTACCGTAGGCTTCAATGCCCTCTAAATACACCCTTGCAAATTCTACAAAGAGACTGTTTCATAACTGCTCTATAGGAAGAAAGGTTGAACTCTGTGAGTTGAATGCAGAGATCACAACTTGGTTTCTGCGAATGATTCTTTGTAGTTTTTACATGAAGATATTTCGTTGTCAACCGTAGGCTTCAAAGCACTCAAAGTATTCACTTGGAACTTTTACAAAAAGAGTGTTAGAAAACTGCTCTTTCCAAAGTAAGGTTCAACTCTGTGAGTTGAATACACACCACAAAAAGAAGTTACTGAGAATTCTTCTGTCTAGCATTATATGAAAAATCCCGTTTCCAACGAAGGCCACAAAGAGGTCCAAATATCCACTTGCAGATTCTGCAAAAAGAGTGTTTCCAAACTGCTCTATGAAAAGAAACGTTAAACTCTGTGAGTTGAACGCAAACATCACAAAGTAGTTTCTGAGAATGACTCCGTCTAGTTTTTATACGAAGATATTTCCTTTCCTACCATTCACTTCAAAGCGCTTGAAGTCTCCCCCTGAAAATTCCACAAAAAGTGTTTCCAATCTGCTCCGCCTAAAGGAAGCTTCAACTCTGTGAGTTGAATACCCACAACCCAAAGAAGTTACTGAGAATTCTTCTGTCTAGCATTATATGAAGAAATCCCGTTTCCAACGAAGGCCTCAAATACATCCAAATATCCAGTTGCTGACTTTACAAACTGAGTGTTTCCAAACTGCTCTATGAAAAGAAAGGTTAAACACTGTGAGTTGAACACACACGTACCAAAGTAGTTTCTGAGAATGATTCTGTCTAGTTTGCATACGAAGATATTTCCTTTTCTACCATTGACCTCAAAGCTCTGAAATCTCCACTTGCAAATTCCACAAAAAGAGAGTTTCAAATCTGCTGTTTCTAAAGGAAAGTTCAACTCTGAGAGTTGAATACACACCAGAAAAAGCAGTTACTGAGAAGTCTTCTGTCTAGCATTATATGAAGAAATCCCATTTCCAACGAAGACTTCAAAGAGGTCCAAATATCCACTTGCAGATTCTGCAAAAAGAGTGTTTCGAAACAACTGTATGAAAAGAAAGGTTAAACACTGTGAGTTGAACGCACACATTGCAAAGCGGTTTCTGAGAATGATTCCGTCTAATTATTATACGAAGGGTATTTCCTTTTCTATCATTGGCCTCAAAGCGCTTGATACCTCCACCTGAAAATTCCACAAAAAGAGTGTTTCCAATCTACTCTGTCTAAAGGAACGTTCAACTCCGTGAGTTGAATACACACACACAGAAAGAATTCACTGAGAATTCTTCTGTCTGGCATTACATGAAGAAATCCCGTTTCCAACGAAGGCCTCAAAGAGGTCCAAATATCCACTTGCAGATTCTGCAAAAAGAGTGTTTCAAAACCGCTCCATTAAAAGGAATGTTGAACTCTGTGAGTTGAATGCAAACATCACAACTCAGTTTCTGAGAATGCTTCTGACTAGATTTTATGGTAAGATATTTCCTTTTCTACCGTAGGCTTCAATGCCCTCTAAATACACCCTTGCAAATTCTACAAAGAGACTGTTTCACAACTGCTCTATAGGAAGAAAGATTCAACTCTGTGAGTTGAATGCAGAGATCACAACGTGGTTTCTGCGAATGATTCTTTGTAGTTTTTACATGAAGATATTTCGTTGTCAACCGTAGGCTTCAAAGCACTCAAAGTATTCACTTGGAACTTTTACAAAAAGAGTGTTAGAAAACTGCTCTTTCCAAAGTAAGGTTCAACTCTGTGAGTTGAATGCACACATAACAATCAAGAAGTTTCTGAGAATTCTTCTGTCCTGGTTTATATGGAAAAATCCCGTTTCCAACGAAGGCCTCAAAGACGTTTAAATATCCACTTGCAGACTTCACAAACAGAGGGTTTCCAAACTGCTCTATGAAAAGAAAGGTTAAACTCTGTGAGTTGAACGCACACATCACAAAGTAGCTTCTGAGAATGATACTGTCTAGTTTTTATACGAAGATATTTCCTTTCTACCATTGGCGTCAAAGCGCTAGAATTCTCCACTTGCAAATTCCACAAAAAGAGTGTTTCCAATCTGCTCTGTCTAAAGGAAGGTTCAACTCTGTGAGTTGAATACACACACACAAAGAAGCTACTGAGAATTCTTTTTTCAAGAAATTATAAGAAGAAATCCCGTTTCCAACGAAGGCCTCAAAGAGTTCCAAATATCCACTTGCACACTGCACAAACTAAGTCTTTCCAAACTGCTCTATGCAAAGAAATGTTCAACTCTGTGAGTTTAATACACACATCACAAAGCAGTTTCTGAGAATGATACTGTCTAGTTTTTATACGAAGATATTTCCTTTTGTACCATTGGCCTCATACTGCTAGAATTTTCCACTTGCAAATTCCACAAAAAGAGTGTTTCCAATCCGCTCTGTCTAAAGGAAGGTTCAACTCTCTGATTTGAATACATACATCCCAAAAGAAGTTACTGAGAATTCTTCTGTCTAGCATTATGTGAAGAAATCCCGTTTCCAACGAAAGCCTCAAAGAGGCCCAAATATCCAGTTGCAGCATTTACAAACTGACTGTTTCCAAACTCATCTATGAAAAGAAAGGTTAAACTCTGTGAGTTGAATGCACATATCACAAAGTAGTTCCTGAGAATGATTCTGTCTAGTTTTTATACGAAGATATTTCCTTTTCCACCAATGGCCTCAAAGTGCTTGAAATCTCCCCTTGCAAATTCCACAGACAAGTGTCTCAAATCTGCACTGTCTAAAGGAAGGTTCAACCCTGTGAGTTGAATACACACACACAGAAAAAAATTCACTGAGAATTCTATTGTCTATCATTACACGAAGAAATCCCGTTTACTACGAAGGCCTCAAAGAGGTCCAAATATCCAGCTGCAGACATTACAAACTGAGTGTTTCCAAAGTGCTCTATGAAAAGAAGTGTTAAACACTGTGAGTTCAATGCACACATCCCAAAGCAGTTTCTGAGAATGATTCCGTCTATTTTCTCTACGAAGATATTTCCTTTTCTGCCGTTGGCCTCAAAGCGCTTGAAATCTCCACTTGCAAATTCCACAAAAAGAGAGTTTCAAATCTGCTCTGTCTAAAGGAAGGTTCAACTCTGTGAGTTGAATACACACCACAAAAAGAAGTTACTGAGAATTCTTCTGTCTAGCATTATATGAAAAATCCCGTTTCCAACGAAGGCCCCAAAGAGGTCCAAATATCCACTTGCAGATTCTGCAAAAAGAGTGTCTCCAAACTGCTCTATGAAAAGAAACGTTAAACTCTGTGAGTTGAACGCAAACATCACAAAGTAGTTTCTGAGAATGACTCCGTCTAGTTTTTATACGAAGAATATTACCTTTCCTAACATTCACTTCAAAGCGCTTGAAGTCTCCCCCTGAAAATTCCACAAAAAGTGTTTCCAATCTGCTCCGCCTAAAGGAAGCTTCAACTCTGTGAGTTGAATACCCACAACCCAAAGAAGTTACTGAGAATTCTTCTGTCTAGCATTATATGAAGAAATCCCGTTTCCAACGAAGGCCTCAAATACATCCAAATATCCAGTTGCTGACTTTACAAACTGAGTGTTTCCAAACTGCTCTATGAAAAGAAAGGTTAAACACTGTGAGTTGAACACACACGTACCAAAGTAGTTTCTGAGAATGATTCTGTCTAGTTTGCATACGAAGATATTTCCTTTTCTACCATTGGCCTCAAAGCTCTGAAATCTCCACTTGCAAATTCCACAAAAAGAGAGTTTCAAATCTGCTGTTTCTAAAGGAAAGTTCAACTCTGAGAGTTGAATACACACCAGAAAAAGCAGTTACTGAGAAGTCTTCTGTCTAGCATTATATGAAGAAATCCCATTTCCAACGAAGACTTCAAAGAGGTCCAAATATCCACTTGCAGATTCTGCAAAAAGAGTGTTTCGAAACAACTGTATGAAAAGAAAGGTTAAACACTGTGAGTTGAACGCACACATTGCAAAGCGGTTTCTGAGAATGATTCCGTCTAATTATTATACGAAGGTATTTCCTTTTCTATCATTGGCCTCAAAGCGCTTGATACTTCCACCTGAAAATTCCACAAAAAGAGTGTTTCCAATCTACTCTGTCTAAAGGAACGTTCAACTCTGTGAGTTGAATACACACACACAGAAAGAATTCACTGAGAATTCTTCTGTCTGGCATTACATGAAGAAATCCCGTTTCCAACGAAGGCCTCAAAGAGGTCCAAATATCCACTTGCAGATTCTGCAAAAAGAGTGTTTCAAAACCGCTCCATTAAAAGGAATGTTGAACTCTGTGAGTTGAATGGAAACATCACAACTCAGTTGCTGAGAATGCTTCTGACTAGATTTTATGGTAAGATATTTCCTTTTCTACCGTAGGCTTCAATGCCCTCTAAATACACCCTTGCAAATTCTACAAAGAGACTGTTTCATAACTGCTCTATAGGAAGAAAGGTTGAACTCTGTGAGTTGAATGCAGGGATCACAACGTGGTTTCTGCGAATGATTCTTTGTAGTTTTTACATGAAGATATTTCGTTGTCAACCGTAGGCTTCAAAGCACTCAAAGTATTCACTTGGAACTTTTACAAAAAGAGTGTTAGAAAACTGCTCTTTCCAAAGTAAGGTTCAACTCTGTGAGTTGAATGCACACATAACAATCAAGAAGTTTCTGAGAATTCTTCTGTCCTGGTTTATATGAAAAAATCCCGTTTCCAACGAAGGCCTCAAAGACGTTTAAATATCCACTTGCAGACTTCACAAACAGAGGGTTTCCAAACTGCTCTATGAAAAGAAAGGTTAAACTCTGTGAGTTGAACGCACACATCACAAAGTAGCTTCTGAGAATGATACTGTTTAGTTTTTATACGAAGATATTTCCTTTTCTACCATTGACCTCAAATCGTAGAATTCTCCACTTGCAAATTCCACCAAAAGGGTGTTTCCAATCTGCTCTGTCTAAAGGAAGGTTCAACTCTGTGAGTTGAATACACACACACAAAGAAGCTACTGAGAATTCTTTTGTCAAGAATTATAAGAAATCCCGTTTCCAACGAAGGCCTCAAAGAGTTCCAAATATCCACTTGCAGACTGTACAAACTAAGTCTTTCCAAACTGCTCTATGAAAAAGAAATGTTCAACTCTGTGAGTTTAATGCACACATCACAAAGCAGTTTCTGAGAATGATTCCGTCTAGTTTTTATACGAAGATAGCCTTTTCTACCATTGGCCTCAAAGCTCTTGAAATCTCCACCTGAAAATTCGGCAAAAAGAGGGTTTCCAATCTGCTCTGTCTAAAGGAAGGTTCAACTCTCTGAGTTGAATACACACAACCCATAAGAAGTTACTTAGAATTCTTCTGTCTAGAATTATGTGAAGAAATCCCGTTTCCAACGAAAGCCTCAAAGAGGTCCAAATATCCAGTTGTAGAATTACAAACTGAGTGTTTCCAAACTCCTCTATGAAAAGAAAGGTTAAACTGTGTGAGTTGAATGCACATATCACAAAGTAGTTCCTGAGAATGATTCTGTCTAGTTTTTATACGAACATATTTCCTTTTCCACCACTGGCCTCAAGGTGCTTGAAATCTCCCCTTGCAAATTCCACAAAAAGTGTTTCAAATCTGCACTGTCTAAAGGAAAGTTCAACCCTGTGAGTTGAATACACACACACAAAAAAAATTCACTGAGAATTCTACTGTCTATCATTACACGAAGAAATCCCGTTTACTGCGAATGCCTCAAAGAGGTACAAATATCCAGTTGCAAACCTTACAAACAGAGTGTTTCCAAAGTGCTCTATGAAAAGAAGTGTTAAACACTGTGAGTTGAATGCACACATCCCAAAGTAGTTTCTGAGAATGATACTGTCTAGTTTTTATACGAAGATATTCCCTTTTGTACCATTGGCCTCATACTGCTAGAATTTTCCACTTGCAAATTCCACAAAAAGAGTGTTTCCAATCTGCTCTGTCTAAAGGAAGGTTCAACTCTGTGAGTTGAGTACACACACACAAAGAAGCTACTGAGAATTCTTTTGTCAAGAATTATAAGAAGAAATCCCGTTTCCAAAGAAGGCCTCAAAGAGTTCCAAATATCCACTTGCACACTACACAAACTAAGTCTTTCCAAACTGCTCTAGGAAAAGAAATGTTCAACTCTGTGAGTTTAATACACACATCACAAAGCAGTTTCTGAGAATGATTCCGTCTAGTTTTTATACGAAGATAGCCTTTTCTACCATGGGCCTCAAGGCTCTTGAAATCTCCACCTGAAAATTCCGCAAAAAGCGTGTTTTCAATCTGCTCTGTCTAAAGGAAGGTTCAACTCTCTGAGTTGAATACATACATCCCAAAAGAAGTTACTGAGAATTCTTCTGTCTAGCATTATGTGAAGAAATCCCGTTTCCAACGAAAGCCTCAAAGAGGTCCAAATATCCAGTTGCAGAATTTACAAACTGACTGTTTCCAAACTCATCTATGAAAAGAAAGGTTATACTCTGGGAGTTGAATGCACATATCACAAAGTAGTTCCTGAGAATGATTCTGTCTAGTTTTCATACGAAGATATTTCCTTTTCCACCAATGGCCTCAAAGTGCTTGAAATCTCCCCTTGCAAATTCCACAGACAAGTGTTTCAAATCTGCACTGTCTAAAGGAAGGTTCAACCCTGTGAGTTGAATACACACACACAGAAAAAAATTCATTGAGAATTCTATTGTCTATCATTACACGAAGAAATCCCGTTTACTACGAAGGCCTCAAAGAGGTCCAAATATCCAGCTGCAGACATTACAAACTGAGTGTTTCCAAAGTGCTCTATGAAAAGAAGTGTTAAACACTGTGAGTTCAATGCACACATCCCAAAGCAGTTTCTGAGAATGATTCCGTCTATTTTCTCTACGAAGATATTTCCTTTTCTACCGTTGGCCTCAAAGCGCTTGAAATCTCCACTTGCAAATTCCACAAAAAGAGAGTTTCAAATCTGCTCTGTCTAAAGGAAGGTTCAACTCTGTGAGTTGAATACACACCACAAAAAGAAGTTACTGAGAATTCTTCTGTCTAGCATTATATGAAAAATCCCGTTTCCAACGAAGGCCACAAAGAGGTCCAAATATCCACTTGCAGATTCTGCAAAAAGAGTGTTTCCAAACTGCTCTATGAAAAGAAACGTTAAACTCTGTGAGTTGAACGCAAACATCACAAAGTAGTTTCTGAGAATGACTCCGTCTAGTTTTTATACGAAGATATTTCCTTTCCTACCATTCACTTCAAAGCGCTTGAAGTCTCCCCCTGAAAATTCCACAAAAAGTGTTTCCAATCTGCTCCGCCTAAAGGAAGCTTCAACTCTGTGACTTGAATACCCACAACCCAAAGAAGTTACTGAGAATTCTTCTGTCTAGCATTATATGAAGAAATCCCGTTTCCAACGAAGGCCTCAAATACATCCAAATATCCAGTTGCTGACTTTACAAACTGAGTGTTTCCAAACTGCTCTATGAAAAGAAAGGTTAAACACTGTGAGTTGAACACACACGTACCAAAGTAGTTTCTGAGAATGATTCTGTCTAGTTTGCATACGAAGATATTTCCTTTTCTACCATTGGCCTCAAAGCTCTGAAATCTCCACTTGCAAATTCCACAAAAAGAGAGTTTCAAATCTGCTGTTTCTAAAGGAAAGTTCAACTCTGAGAGTTGAATACACACCAGAAAAAGCAGTTACTGAGAAGTCTTCTGTCTAGCATTATATGAAGAAATCCCATTTCCAACGAAGACTTCAAAGAGGTCCAAATATCCACTTGCAGATTCTGCAAAAAGAGTGTTTCGAAACAACTCTATGAAAAGAAAGGTTAAACACTGTGAGTTGAACGCACACATTGCAAAGCGGTTTCTGAGAATGATTCCGTCTAATTATTATACGAAGGTATTTCCTTTTCTATCATTGGCCTCAAAGCGCTTGATACCTCCACCTGAAAATTCCACAAAAAGAGTGTTTCCAATCTACTCTGTCTAAAGGAACGTTCAACTCTGTGAGTTGAATACACACACACAGAAAGAATTCACTGAGAATTCTTCTGTCTGGCATTACATGAAGAAATCCCGTTTCCAACGAAGGCCTCAAAGAGGTCCAAATATCCACTTGCAGATTCTGCAAAAAGAGTGTTTCAAAACCGCTCCATTAAAAGGAATGTTGAACTCTGTGAGTTGAATGCAAACATCACAACTCAGTTTCTGAGAATGCTTCTGACTAGATTTTATGGTAAGATATTTCCTTTTCTACCGTAGGCTTCAATGCCCTCTAAATACACCCTTGCAAATTCTACAAAGAGACTGTTTCATAACTGCTCTATAGGAAGAAAGGTTCAACTCTGTGAGTTGAATGCAGAGATCACAACGTGGTTTGTGCGAATGATTCTTTGTAGTTTTTACATGAAGATATTTCGTTGTCAACCGTAGGCTTCAAAGCACTCAAAGTATTCACTTGGAACTTTTACAAAAAGAGTGTTAGAAAACTGCTCTTTCCAAAGTAAGGTTCAACTCTGTGAGTTGAATGCACACATAACAATCAAGAAGTTTCTGAGAATTCTTCTGTCCTGGTTTATAGGAAAAAATCCCGTTTCCAACGAAGGCCTCAAAGACGTTTAAATATCCACTTGCAGACTTCACAAACAGAGTGTTTCCAAACTGCTCTATGAAAAGAAAGGTTAAACTCTGTGAGTTGAACGCACACATCACAAAGTAGTTTCTGAGAATGATACTGTCTAGTTTTTATACGGAGATATTTCCTTTCCTTCCATTGGCGTCAAAGCGCTAGAATTCTCCACTTGCAAATTCCACAAAAAGAGTGTTTCCAATCTGCTCTGTCTAAAGGAAGGTTCAACTCTGTGAGTTGAATACACACACACAAAGAAGCTACTGAGAATTCTTTTGTCAAGAATTATAAGAAGAAATCCCGTTTCCAACGAAGGCCTCAAAGAGTTCCAAATATCCACTTGCACACTGTACAAACTAAGTCTTTCCAAACTGCTCTATGCAAAGAAATGTTCAACCCTGTGAGTTTAATGCACACATCAGAAAGCAGTTTCTGAGAATGATTCCCTCTAGTTTTTATATGAAGATATCCTTTTCTACCATTGGTCTCAAGGCTCTTGGAATCTCCACCTGAAAATTCCGCAAAAAGCGTGTTTCCAATGCGCTCTGTCTAAAGGAAGGTTCAACTCTCCGAGTTGAATACATACAT
This sequence comes from Homo sapiens, assembly GCF_000001405.40. Classification (NCBI taxonomy): domain Eukaryota; kingdom Metazoa; phylum Chordata; class Mammalia; order Primates; family Hominidae; genus Homo; species Homo sapiens. The sequence continues at coordinate 92,967,287 of NC_000003.12, read as the reverse complement.
CCCAAAAGAAGTTACTGCGAATTCTTCTGTCTAGCATTATGTGAAGAAATCCCGTTTCCAACGAAAGCCTCAAAGAGGCCCAAATATCCAGTTGCAGCATTTACAAACTGACTGTTTCCAAACTCATCTATGAAAAGAAAGGTTAAACTCTGTGAGTTGAATGCACATATCACAAAGTAGTTCCTGAGAATGATTCTGTCTAGTTTTTATATGAAGATATTTCCTTTTCCACCAATGGCCTCAAAGTGCTTGAAATCTCCCCTTGCAAATTCCACAGACAAGTGTTTCAAATCTGCACTGTCTAAAGGAAGGTTCAACCCTGTGAGTTGAATACACACACACAGAAAAAAATTCACTGAGAATTCTATTGTCTATCATTACACGAAGAAATCCCGTTTACTACGAAGGCCTCAAAGAGGTCCAAATATCCAGCTGCAGACATTACAAACTGAGTGTTTCCAAAGTGCTCTATGAAAAGAAGTGTTAAACACTGTGAGTTCAATGCACACATCCCAAAGCAGTTTCTGAGAATGATTCCGTCTATTTTTTCTACGAAGATATTTCCTTTTCTGCCGTTGGCCTCAAAGCGCTTGAAATCTCCACTTGCAAATTCCACAAAAAGAGAGTTTCAAATCTGCTCTGTCTAAAGGAAGGTTCAACTCTGTGAGTTGAATACACACCACAAAAAGAAGTTACTGAGAATTCTTCTGTCTAGCATTATATGAAAAATCCCGTTTCCAACGAAGGCCACAAAGAGGTCCAAATATCCACTTGCAGATTCTGCAAAAAGAGTGTTTCCAAACTGCTCTATGAAAAGAAACGTTAAACTCTGTGAGTTGAACGCAAACATCACAAAGTAGTTTCTGAGAATGACTCCGTCTAGTTTTTATACGAAGATATTTCCTTTCCTACCATTCACTTCAAAGCGCTTGAAGTCTCCCCCTGAAAATTCCACAAAAAGTGTTTCCAATCTGCTCCGCCTAAAGGAAGCTTCAACTCTGTGACTTGAATACCCACAACCCAAAGAAGTTACTGAGAATTCTTCTGTCTAGCATTATATGAAGAAATCCCGTTTCCAACGAAGGCCTCAAATACATCCAAATATCCAGTTGCTGACTTTACAAACTGAGTGTTTCCAAACTGCTCTATGAAAAGAAAGGTTAAACACTGTGAGTTGAACACACACGTACCAAAGTAGTTTCTGAGAATGATTCTGTCTAGTTTGCATACGAAGATACTTCCTTTTCTACCATTGGCCTCAAAGCTCTGAAATCTCCACTTGCAAATTCCACAAAAAGAGAGTTTCAAATCTGCTGTTTCTAAAGGAAAGTTCAACTCTGAGAGTTGAATACACACCAGAAAAAGCAGTTACTGAGAAGTCTTCTGTCTAGCATTATATGAAGAAATCCCATTTCCAACGAAGACTTCAAAGAGGTCCAAATATCCACTTGCAGATTCTGCAAAAAGAGTGTTTCGAAACAACTGTATGAAAAGAAAGGTTAAACACTGTGAGTTGAACGCACACATTGCAAAGCAGTTTCTGAGAATGATTCCGTCTAATTATTATACGAAGGTATTTCCTTTTCTATCATTGGCCTCAAAGCGCTTGATACCTCCACCTGAAAATTCCACAAAAAGAGTGTTTCCAATCTACTCTGTCTAAAGGAACGTTCAACTCTGTGAGTTGAATACACACACAGAGAAAGAATTCACTGAGAATTCTTCTGTCTGGCATTACATGAAGAAATCCCGTTTCCAACGAAGGCCTCAAAGAGGTCCAAATATCCACTTGCAGATTCTGCAAAAAGAGTGTTTCAAAACCGCTCCATTAAAAGGAATGTTGAACTCTGTGAGTTGAATGGAAACATCACAACTCAGTTGCTGAGAATGCTTCTGACTAGATTTTATGGTAAGATATTTCCTTTTATACCGTAGGCTTCAATGCCCTCTAAATACACCCTTGCAAATTCTACAAAGAGACTGTTTCATAACTGCTCTATAGGAAGAAAGGTTCAACTCTGTGAGTTGAATGCAGAGATCACAACGTGGTTTCTGCGAATGATTCTTTGTAGTTTTTACAGGAAGATATTTCGTTGTCAACCGTAGGCTTCAAAGCACTCAAAGTATTCACTTGGAACTTTTACAAAAAGAGTGTTAGAAAACTGCTCTTTCCAAAGTAAGGTTCAACTCTGTGAGTTGAATGCACACATAACAATCAAGAAGTTTCTGAGAATTCTTCTGTCCTGGTTTATATGAAAAAATCCCGTTTCCAACGAAGGCCTCAAAGACGTTTATATATCCACTTGCAGACTTCACAAACAGAGGGTTTCCAAACTGCTCTATGAAAAGAAAGGTTAAACTCTGTGAGTTGAACGCACACATCACAAAGTAGCTTCTGAGAATGATACTGTCTAGTTTTTATACGAAGATATTTCCTTTCTACCATTGGCGTCAAAGCGCTAGAATTCTCCACTTGCAAATTCCACAAAAAGAGTGTTTCCAATCTGCTCTGTCTAAAGGAAGGTTCAACTCTGTGAGTTGAATACACACACACAAAGAAGCTACTGAGAATTCTTTTGTCAAGAATTATAAGAAGAAATCCCGTTTCCAACGAAGGCCTCAAAGAGTTCCAAATATCCACTTGCACACTGCACAAACTAAGTCTTTCCAAACTGCTCTATGCAAAGAAATGTTCAACTCTGTGAGTTTAATACACACATCACAAAGCAGTTTCTGAGAATGATACTGTCTAGTTTTTATACGAAGATATTTCCTTTTGTACCATTGGCCTCATACTGCTAGAATTTTCCACTTGCAAATTCCACAAAAAGAGTGTTTCCAATCCGCTCTGTCTAAAGGAAGGTTCAACTCTCTGATTTGAATACATACATCCCAAAAGAAGTTACTGAGAATTCTTCTGTCTAGCATTATGTGAAGAAATCCCGTTTCCAACGAAAGCCTCAAAGAGGTCCAAATATCCAGTTGCAGAATTTACAAACTGACTGTTTCCAAACTCATCTATGAAAAGAAAGGTTAAACTCTGGGAGTTGAATGCACATATCACAAAGTAGTTCCTGAGAATGATTCTGTCTAGTTTTCATACGAAGATATTTCCTTTTCCACCAATGGCCTCAAAGTGCTTGAAATCTCCCCTTGCAAATTCCACAGACAAGTGTCTCAAATCTGCACTGTCTAAAGGAAGGTTCAACCCTGTGAGTTGAATACACACACACAGAAAAAAATTCACTGAGAATTCTATTGTCTATCATTACACGAAGAAATCCCGTTTACTACGAAGGCCTCAAAGAGGTCCAAATATCCAGCTGCAGACATTACAAACTGAGTGTTTCCAAAGTGCTCTATGAAAAGAAGTGTTAAACACTGTGAGTTCAATGCACACATCCCAAAGCAGTTTCTGAGAATGATTCCGTCTATTTTTTCTACGAAGATATTTCCTTTTCTGCCGTTGGCCTCAAAGCGCTTGAAATCTCCACTTGCAAATTCCACAAAAAGAGAGTTTCAAATCTGCTCTGTCTAAAGGAAGGTTCAACTCTGTGAGTTGAATACACACCACAAAAAGAAGTTACTGAGAATTCTTCTGTCTAGCATTATATGAAAAATCCCGTTTCCAACGACAGGCCACAAAGAGGTCCAAATATCCACTTGCAGATTCTGCAAAAAGAGTGTTTCCAAACTGCTCTATGAAAAGAAACGTTAAACTCTGTGAGTTGAACGCAAACATCACAAAGTAGTTTCTGAGAATGACTCCGTCTAGTTTTTATACGAAGATATTTCCTTTCCTACCATTCACTTCAAAGCGCTTGAAGTCTCCCCCTGAAAATTCCACAAAAAGTGTTTCCAATCTGCTCCGCCTAAAGGAAGCTTCAACTCTGTGAGTTGAATACCCACAACCCAAAGAAGTTACTGAGAATTCTTCTGTCTACAATTACATGAAGAAATCCCGTTGCCAACGAAGGCCTCAAATACATCCAAATATCCAGTTGCTGACTTTACAAACTGAGTGTTTCCAAACTGCTCTATGAAAAGAAAGGTTAAACACTGTGAGTTGAACACACACGTACCAAAGTAGTTTCTGAGAATGATTCTGTCTAGTTTGCATACGAAGATATTTCCTTTTCTACCATTGGCCTCAAAGCTCTGAAATCTCCACTTGCAAATTCCACAAAAAGAGAGTTTCAAATCTGCTGTTTCTAAAGGAAAGTTCAACTCGGAGAGTTGAATACACACCAGAAAAAGCAGTTACTGAGAAGTCTTCTGTCTAGCATTATATGAAGAAATCCCATTTCCAACGAAGACTTCAAAGAGGTCCAAATATCCACTTGCAGATTCTGCAAAAAGAGTGTTTCGAAACAACTGTATGAAAAGAAAGGTTAAACACTGTGAGTTGAACGCACACATTGCAAAGCAGTTTCTGAGAATGATTCCGTCTAATTATTATACGAAGGTATTTCCTTTTCTATCATTGGCCTCAAAGCGCTTGATACCTCCACCTGAAAATTCCACAAAAAGAGTGTTTCCAATCTACTCTGTCTAAAGGAACGTTCAACTCTGTGAGTTGAATACACACACACAGAAAGAATTCACTGGAGAATTCTTCTGTCTGGCATTACATGAAGAAATCCCGTTTCCAACGAAGGCCTCAAAGAGGTCCAAATATCCACTTGCAGATTCTGCAAAAAGAGTGTTTCAAAACCGCTCCATTAAAAGGAATGTTGAACTCTGTGAGTTGAATGCAAACATCACAACTCAGTTTCTGAGAATGCTTCTGACTAGATTTTATGGTAAGATATTTCCTTTTCTACCGTAGGCTTCAATGCCCTCTAAATACACCCTTGCAAATTCTACAAAGAGACTGTTTCATAACTGCTCTACAGGAAGAAAGGTTCAACTCTGTGAGTTGAATGCAGAGATCACAACGTGGTTTCTGCGAATGATTCTTTGTAGTTTTTACATGAAGATATTTCGTTGTCAACCGTAGGCTTCAAAGCACTCAAAGTATTCACTTGGAACTTTTACAAAAAGAGTGTTAGAAAACTGCTCTTTCCAAAGTAAGGTTCAACTCTGTGAGTTGAATGCACACATAACAATCAAGAAGTTTCTGAGAATTCTTCTGTCCTGGTTTATATGAAAAAATCCCGTTTCCAACGAAGGCCTCAAAGCACGTTTAAATATCCACTTGCAGACTTCACAAACAGAGTGTTTCCAAACTGCTCTATGAAAAGAAAGGTTAAACTCTGTGAGTTGAACGCACACATCACAAAGTAGCTTCTGAGAATGATACTGTCTAGTTTTTATACGAAGATATTTCCTTTCTACCATTGGCGTCAAAGCGCTAGAATTCTCCACTTGCAAATTCCACAAAAAGAGTGTTTCCAATCTGCTCTGTCTAAAGGAAGGTTCAACTCTGTGAGTTGAATACACACACACAAAGAAGCTACTGAGAATTCTTTTGTCAAGAATTATAAGAAGAAATCCCGTTTCCAACGAAGGCCTCAAAGAGTTCCAAATATCCACTTGCACACTGCACAAACTAAGTCTTTCCAAACTGCTCTATGCAAAGAAATGTTCAACTCTGTGAGTTTAATACACACATCACAAAGCAGTTTCTGAGAATGATACTGTCTAGTTTTTATACGAAGATATTTCCTTTTGTACCATTGGCCTCATACTGCTAGAATTTTCCACTTGCAAATTCCACAAAAAGAGTGTTTCCAATCCGCTCTGTCTAAAGGAAGGTTCAACTCTCTGATTTGAATACATACATCCCAAAAGAAGTTACTGAGAATTCTTCTGTCTAGCATTATGTGAAGAAATCCCGTTTCCAACGAAAGCCTCAAAGAGGTCCAAATATCCAGTTGCAGAATTTACAAACTGACTGTTTCCAAACTCATCTATGAAAAGAAAGGTTAAACTCTGGGAGTTGAATGCCCATATCACAAAGTAGTTCCTGAGAATGATTCTGTATAGTTTTCATACGAAGATATTTCCTTTTCCACCAATGGCCTCAAAGTGCTTGAAATCTCCCCTTGCAAATTCCACAGACAAGTGTTTCAAATCTGCACTGTCTAAAGGATGGTTCAACCCTGTGAGTTGAATACACACACACAGAAAAAAATTCACTGAGAATTCTATTGTCTATCATTACACGAAGAAATCCCGTTTACTACGAAGGCCTCAAAGAGGTCCAAATATCCAGCTGCAGACATTATAAACTGAGTGTTTCCAAAGTGCTCTATGAAAAGAAGTGTTAAACACTGTGAGTTCAATGCACACATCCCAAAGCAGTTTCTGAGAATGATTCCGTCTATTTTTTCTACGAAGATATTTCCTTTTCTGCCGTTGGCCTCAAAGCGCTTGAAATCTCCACTTGCAAATTCCACAAAAAGAGAGTTTCAAATCTGCTCTGTCTAAAGGAAGGTTCAACTCTGTGAGTTGAATACACACCACAAAAAGAAGTTACTGAGAATTCTTCTGTCTAGCATTATATGAAAAATCCCGTTTCCAACGAAGGCCACAAAGAGGTCCAAATATCCACTTGCAGATTCTGCAAAAAGAGTGTTTCCAAACTGCTCTATGAAAAGAAACGTTAAACTCTGTGAGTTGAACGCACACATCACAAAGTAGTTTCTGAGAATGACTCCGTCTAGTTTTTATACGAAGATATTTCCTTTCCTACCATTCACTTCAAAGCGCTTGAAGTCTCCCCCTGAAAATTCCACAAAAAGTGTTTCCAATCTGCTCCGCCTAAAGGAAGCTTCAACTCTGTGAGTTGAATACCCACAACCCAAAGAAGTTACTGAGAATTCTTCTGTCTAGCATTATATGAAGAAATCCCGTTTCCAACGAAGGCCTCAAATACATCCAAATATCCAGTTGCTGACTTTACAAACTGAGTGTTTCCAAACTGCTCTATGAAAAGAAAGGTTAAACACTTTGAGTTGAACACACACGTACCAAAGTAGTTTCTGAGAATGATTCTGTCTAGTTTGCATACGAAGATATTTCCTTTTCTACCATTGGCCTCAAAGCTCTGAAATCTCCACTTGCAAATTCCACAAAAAGAGAGTTTCAAATCTGCTGTTTCTAAAGGAAAGTTCAACTCTGAGAGTTGAATACACACCAGAAAAAGCAGTTACTGAGAAGTCTTCTGTCTAGCATTATATGAAGAAATCCCATTTCCAACGAAGACTTCAAAGAGGTCCAAATATCCACTTGCAGATTCTGCAAAAAGAGTGTTTCGAAACAACTGTATGAAAAGAAAGGTTAAACACTGTGAGTTGAACGCACACATTGCAAAGCAGTTTCTGAGAATGATTCCGTCTAATTATTATACGAAGGTATTTCCTTTTCTATCATTGGCCTCAAAGCGCTTGATACCTCCACCTGAAAATTCCACAAAAAGAGTGTTTCCAATCTACTCTGTCTAAAGGAACGTTCAACTCTGTGAGTTGAATACACACACACAGAAAGAATTCACTGAGAATTCTTCTGTCTGGCATTACATGAAGAAATCCCGTTTCCAACGAAGGCCTCAAAGAGGTCCAAATATCCACTTGCAGATTCTGCAAAAAGAGTGTTTCAAAACCGCTCCATTAAAAGGAATGTTGAACTCTGTGAGTTGAATGCAAACATCACAACTCAGTTTCTGAGAATGCTTCTGACTAGATTTTATGGTAAGATATTTCCTTTTCTACCGTAGGCTTCAATGCCCTCTAAATACACCCTTGCAAATTCTACAAAGAGACTGTTTCATAACTGCTCTATAGGAAGAAAGGTTGAACTCTGTGAGTTGACTGCAGAGATCACAACGTGGTTTCTGCGAATGATTCTTTGTAGTTTTTACATGAAGATATTTCGTTGTCAACCGTAGGCTTCAAAGCACTCAAAGTATTCACTTGGAACTTTTACAAAAAGAGTGTTAGAAAACTGCTCTTTCCAAAGTAAGGTTCAACTCTGTGAGTTGAATGCACCCATAACAATCAAGAAGTTTCTGAGAATTCTTCTGTCCTGGTTTATATGAAAAAATCCCGTTTCCAACGAAGGCCTCAAAGACGTTTAAATATCCACTTGCAGACTTCACAAACAGAGTGTTTCCAAACTGCTCTATGAAAAGAAAGGTTAAACTCTGTGAGTTGAACGCACACATCACAAAGTAGTTTCTGAGAATGATACTGTCTAGTTTTTATACGAAGATATTTCCTTTCTACCATTGGCGTCAAAGCGCTAGAATTCTCCACTTGCAAATTCCACAAAAAGAGTGTTTCCAATCTGCTCTGTCTCAAGGAAGGTTCAACTCTGTGAGTTGAATACACACACACAAAGAAGCTACTGAGAATTCTTTTGTCAAGAATTATAAGAAGAAATCCCGTTTCCAACGAAGGCCTCAAAGAGTTCCAAATATCCACTTGCACACTGCACAAACTAAGTCTTTCCAAACTGCTCTATGCAAAGAAATGTTCAACTCTGTGAGTTTAATACACACATCACGAAGCAGTTTCTGAGAATGATACTGTCTAGTTTTTATACGAAGATATTTCCTTTTGTACCATTGGCCTCATACTGCTAGAATTTTCCACTTGCAAATTCCACAAAAAGAGTGTTTCCAATCCGCTCTGTCTAAAGGAAGGTTCAACTCTCTGATTTGAATACATACATCCCAAAAGAAGTTACTGAGAATTCTTCTGTCTAGCATTATGTGAAGAAATCCCGTTTCCAACGAAAGCCTCAAAGAGGTCCAAATATCCAGTTGCAGAATTTACAAACTGACTGTTTCCAAACTCATCTATGAAAAGAAAGGTTAAACTCTGTGAGTTGAATGCACATATCACAAAGTAGTTCCTGAGAATGATTCTGTCTAGTTTTCATACGAAGATATTTCCTTTTCCACCAATGGCCTCAAAGTGCTTGAAATCTCCCCTTGCAAATTCCACAGACAAGTGTTTCAAATCTGCACTGTCTAAAGGAAGGTTCAACCCTGTGAGTTGAATACACACACACAGAAAAAAATTCACTGAGAATTCTATTGTCTATCATTACACGAAGAAATCCCGTTTACTACGAAGGCCTCAAAGAGGTCCAAATATCCAGCTGCAGACATTACAACCTGAGTGTTTCCAAAGTGCTCTATGAAAAGAAGTGTTAAACACTGTGAGTTCAATGCACACATCCCAAAGCAGTTTCTGAGAATGATTCCGTCTATTTTTTCTACGAAGATATTTCCTTTTCTGCCGTTGGCCTCAAAGCGCTTGAAATCTCCACTTGCAAATTCCACAAAAAGAGAGTTTCAAATCTGCTCTGTCTAAAGGAAGGTTCAACTCTGTGAGTTGAATACACACCACAAAAAGAAGTTACTGAGAATTCTTCTGTCTAGCATTATATGAAAAATCCCGTTTCCAACGAAGGCCACAAAGAGGTCCAAATATCCACTTGCAGATTCTGCAAAAAGAGTGTTTCCAAACTGCTCTATGAAAAGAAACGTTAAACTCTGTGAGTTGAACGCAAACATCACAAAGTAGTTTCTGAGAATGACTCCGTCTAGTTTTTATACGAAGATATTTCCTTTCCTACCATTCACTTCAAAGCGCTTGAAGTCTCCCCCTGAAAATTCCACAAAAAGTGTTTCCAATCTGCTCCGCCTAAAGGAAGCTTCAACTCTGTGAGTTGAATACCCACAACCCAAAGAAGTTACTGAGAATTCTTCTGTCTAGCATTATATGAAGAAATCCCGTTTCCAACGAAGGCCTCAAATACATCCAAATATCCAGTTGCTGACTTTACAAACTGAGTGTTTCCAAACTGCTCTATGAAAAGAAAGGTTAAACACTGTGAGTTGAACACACACGTACCAAAGTAGTTTCTGAGAATGATTCTGTCTAGTTTGCATACGAAGATATTTCCTTTTCTACCATTGGCCTCAAAGCTCTGAAATCTCCACTTGCAAATTCCACAAAAAGAGAGTTTCAAATCTGCTGTTTCTAAAGGAAAGTTCAACTCTGAGAGTTGAATACACACCAGAAAAAGCAGTTACTGAGAAGTCTTCTGTCTAGCATTATATGAAGAAATCCCATTTCCAACGAAGACTTCAAAGAGGTCCAAATATCCACTTGCAGATTCTGCAAAAAGAGTGTTTCGAAACAACTGTATGAAAAGAAAGGTTAAACACTGTGAGTTGAACGCACACATTGCAAAGCGGTTTCTGAGAATGATTCCGTCTAATTATTATACGAAGGTATTTCCTTTTCTATCATTGGCCTCAAAGCGCTTGATACCTCCACCTGAAAATTCCACAAAAAGAGTGTTTCCAATCTACTCTGTCTAAAGGAACGTTCAACTCTGTGAGTTGAATACACACACACAGAAAGAATTCACTGAGAATTCTTCTGTCTGGCATTACATGAAGAAATCCCGTTTCCAACGAAGGCCTCAAAGAGGTCCAAATATCCACTTGCAGATTCTGCAAAAAGAGTGTTTCAAAACCGCTCCATTAAAAGGAATGTTGAACTCTGTGAGTTGAATGCAAACATCACAACTCAGTTTCTGAGAATGCTTCTGACTAGATTTTATGGTAAGATATTTCCTTTTCTACCGTAGGCTTCAATGCCCTCTAAATACACCCTTGCAAATTCTACAAAGAGACTGTTTCATAACTGCTCTATAGGAAGAAAGGTTGAACGCTGTGAGTTGAATGCAGAGATCACAACGTGGTTTCTGCGAATGATTCTTTGTAGTTTTTACATGAAGATATTTCGTTGTCAACCGTAGGCTTCAAAGCACTCAAAGTATTCACTTGGAACTTTTACAAAACGAGTGTTAGGAAACTGCTCTTTCCAAAGTAAGGTTCAACTCTGTGAGTTGAATGCACACATAACAATCAAGAAGTTTCTGAGAATTCTTCTGTCCTGGTTTATATGAAAAAATCCCGTTTCCAACGAAGGCCTCAAAGACGTTTAAATATCCACTTGCAGACTTCACAAACAGAGGGTTTCCAAACTGCTCTATGAAAAGAAAGGTTAAACTCTGTGAGTTGAACGCACACATCACAAAGTAGCTTCTGAGAATGATACTGTCTAGTTTTTATACGAAGATATTTCCTTTCTACCATTGGCGTCAAAGCGCTAGAATTCTCCACTTGCAAATTCCACAAAAAGAGTGTTTCCAATCTGCTCTGTCTAAAGGAAGGTTCAACTCTGTGAGTTGAATACACACACACAAAGAAGCTACTGAGAATTCTTTTGTCAAGAATTATAAGAAGAAATCCCGTTTCCAACGAAGGCCTCAAAGAGTTCCAAATATCCACTTGCACACTGCACAAACTAAGTCTTTCCAAACTGCTCTATGCAAAGAAATGTTCAACTCTCTGAGTTTAATACACACATCACAAAGCAGTTTCTGAGAATGATACTGTCTAGTTTTTATACGAAGATATTTCCTTTTGTACCATTGGCCTCATACTGCTAGAATTTTCCACTTGCAAATTCCACAAAAAGAGTGTTTCCAATCCGCTCTGTCTAAAGGAAGGTTCAACTCTCTGATTTGAATACATACATCCCAAAAGAAGTTACTGAGAATTCTTCTGTCTAGCATTATGTGAAGAAATCCCGTTTCCAACGAAAGCCTCAAAGAGGTCCAAATATCCAGTTGCAGAATTTACAAACTGACTGTTTCCAAACTCATCTATGAAAAGAAAGGTTAAACTCTGTGAGTTGAATGCACATATCACAAAGTAGTTCCTGAGAATGATTCTGTCTAGTTTTCATACGAAGATATTTCCTTTTCCACCAATGGCCTCAAAGTGCTTGAAATCTCCCCTTGCAAATTCCACAGACAAGTGTCTCAAATCTGCACTGTCTAAAGGAAGGTTCAACCCTGTGAGTTGAATACACACACACAGAAAAAAATTCACTGAGAATTCTATTGTCTATCATTACACGAAGAAATCCCGTTTACTACGAAGGCCTCAAAGAGGTCCAAATATCCAGCTGCAGACATTACAACCTGAGTGTTTCCAAAGTGCTCTATGAAAAGAAGTGTTAAACACTGTGAGTTCAATGCACACATCCCAAAGCAGTTTCTGAGAATGATTCCGTCTATTTTTTCTACGAAGATATTTCCTTTTCTGCCGTTGGCCTCAAAGCGCTTGAAATCTCCACTTGCAAATTCCACAAAGAGAGAGTTTCAAATCTGCTCTGTCTAAAGGAAGGTTCAACTCTGTGAGTTGAATACACACCACAAAAAGAAGTTACTGAGAATTCTTCTGTCTAGCATTATATGAAAAATCCCGTTTCCAACGAAGGCCACAAAGAGGTCCAAATATCCACTTGCAGATTCTGCAAAAAGAGTGTTTCCAAACTGCTCTATGAAAAGAAACGTTAAACTCTGTGAGTTGAACGCAAACATCACAAAGTAGTTTCTGAGAATGACTCCGTCTAGTTTTTATACGAAGATATTTCCTTTCCTACCATTCACTTCAAAGCGCTTGAAGTCTCCCCCTGAAAATTCCACAAAAAGTGTTTCCAATCTGCTCCGCCTAAAGGAAGCTTCAACTCTGTGACTTGAATACCCACAACCCAAAGAAGTTACTGAGAATTCTTCTGTCTAGCATTATATGAAGAAATCCCGTTTCCAACGAAGGCCTCAAATACATCCAAATATCCAGTTGCTGACTTTACAAACTGAGTGTTTCCAAACTGCTCTATGAAAAGAAAGGTTAAACACTGTGAGTTGAACACACACGTACCAAAGTAGTTTCTGAGAATGATTCTGTCTAGTTTGCATACGAAGATATTTCCTTTTCTACCATTGGCCTCAAAGCTCTGAAATCTCCACTTGCAAATTCCACAAAAAGAGAGTTTCAAATCTGCTGTTTCTAAAGGAAAGTTCAACTCTGAGAGTTGAATACACACCAGAAAAAGCAGTTACTGAGAAGTCTTCTGTCTAGCATTATATGAAGAAATCCCATTTCCAACGAAGACTTCAAAGAGGTCCAAATATCCACTTGCAGATTCTGCAAAAAGAGTGTTTCGAAACAACTGTATGAAAAGAAAGGTTAAACACTGTGAGTTGAACGCACACATTGCAAAGCGGTTTCTGAGAATGATTCCGTCTAATTATTATACGAAGGTATTTCCTTTTCTATCATTGGCCTCAAAGCGCTTGATACCTCCACCTGAAAATTCCACAAAAAGAGTGTTTCCAATCTACTCTGTCTAAAGGAACGTTCAACTCTGTGAGTTGAATACACACACACAGAAAGAATTCACTGAGAATTCTTCTGTCTGGCATTACATGAAGAAATCCCGTTTCCAACGAAGGCCTCAAAGAGGTCCAAATATCCACTTGCAGATTCTGCAAAAAGAGTGTTTCAAAACCGCTCCATTAAAAGGAATGTTGAACTCTGTGAGTTGAATGCAAACATCACAACTCAGTTGCTGAGAATGCTTCTGACTAGATTTTATGGTAAGATATTTCCTTTTCTACCGTAGGCTTCAATGCCCTCTAAATACACCCTTGCAAATTCTACAAAGAGACTGTTTCATAACTGCTCTATAGGAAGAAAGGTTCAACTCTGTGAGTTGAATGCAGAGATCACAACGTGGTTTCTGCGAATGATTCTTTGTAGTTTTTACATGAAGATATTTCGTTGTCAACCGTAGGCTTCAAAGCACTCAAAGTATTCACTTGGAACTTTTACAAAAAGAGTGTTAGAAAACTGCTCTTTCCAAAGTAAGGTTCAACTCTGTGAGTTGAATGCACACATAACAATCAAGAAGTTTCTGAGAATTCTTCTGTCCTGGTTTATATGAAAAAATCCCGTTTCCAACGAAGGCCTCAAAGACGTTTAAATATCCACTTGCAGACTTCACAAACAGATTGTTTCCAAACTGCTCTATGAAAAGAAAGGTTAAACTCTGTGAGTTGAATGCACACATCACAAAGTAGCTTCTGAGAATGATACTGTCTAGTTTTTATACGAAGATATTTCCTTTCTACCATTGGCGTCAAAGCGCTAGAATTCTCCACTTGCAAATTCCACAAAAAGAGTGTTTCCAATCTGCTCTGTCTAAAGGAAGGTTCAACTCTGTGAGTTGAATACACACACACAAAGAAGCTACTGAGAATTGCTTTTGTCAAGAATTATAAGAAGAAATCCCGTTTCCAACGAAGGCCTCAAAGATTTCCAAATATCCACTTGCACACTGCACAAACTAAGTCTTTCCAAACTGCTCTATGCAAAGAAATGTTCAACTCTGTGAGTTTAATACACACATCACAAAGCAGTTTCTGAGAATGATACTGTCTAGTTTTTATACGAAGATATTTCCTTTTGTACCATTGGCCTCATACTGCTAGAATTTTCCACTTGCAAATTCCACAAAAAGAGTGTTTCCAATCCGCTCTGTCTAAAGGAAGGTTCAACTCTGTGAGTTGAATACACACACACAAAGAAGCTACTGAGAATTCTTTTGTCAAGAATTATAAGAAGAAATCCCGTTTCCAACGAAGGCCTCAAAGAGTTCCAAATATCCACTTGCACACTGCACAAACTAAGTCTTTCCAAACTGCTCTATGCAAAGAAATGTTCAACTCTGTGAGTTTAATACACACATCACAAAGCAGTTTCTGAGAATGATACTGTCTAGTTTTTATACGAAGATATTTCCTTTTGTACCATTGGCCTCATACTGCTAGAATTTTCCACTTGCAAATTCCACAAAAAGAGTGTTTCCAATCCGCTCTGTCTAAAGGAAGGTTCAACTCTCTGATTTGAATACATACATCCCAAAAGAAGTTACTGAGAATTCTTCTGTCTAGCATTATGTGAAGAAATCCCGTTTCCAACGAAAGCCTCAAAGAGGCCCAAATATCCAGTTGCAGCATTTACAAACTGACTGTTTCCAAACTCATCTATGAAAAGAAAGGTTAAACTCTGTGAGTTGAATGCACATATCACAAAGTAGTTCCTGAGAATGATTCTGTCTAGTTTTTATACGAAGATATTTCCTTTTCCACCAATGGCCTCAAAGTGCTTGAAATCTCCCCTTGCAAATTCCACAGACAAGTGTCTCAAATCTGCACTGTCTAAAGGAAGGTTCAACCCTGTGAGTTGAATACACACACACAGAAAAAAATTCACTGAGAATTCTATTGTCTATCATTACACGAAGAAATCCCGTTTACTACGAAGGCCTCAAAGAGGTCCAAATATCCAGCTGCAGACATTACAAACTGAGTGTTTCCAAAGTGCTCTATGAAAAGAAGTGTTAAACACTGTGAGTTCAATGCACACATCCCAAAGCAGTTTCTGAGACTGATTCCGTCTATTTTTTCTACGAAGATATTTCCTTTTCTACCGTTGGCCTCAAAGCGCTTGAAATCTCCACTTGCAAATTCCACAAAAAGAGAGTTTCAAATCTGCTCTGTCTAAAGGAAGGTTCAACTCTGTGAGTTGAATACACACCACAAAAAGAAGTTACTGAGAATTCTTCTGTCTAGCATTATATGAAAAATCCCGTTTCCAACGAAGGCCACAAAGAGGTCCAAATATCCACTTGCAGATTCTGCAAAAAGAGTGTTTCCAAACTGCTCTATGAAAAGAAACGTTAAACTCTGTGAGTTGAACGCAAACATCACAAAGTAGTTTCTGAGAATGACTCCGTCTAGTTTTTATACGAAGATATTTCCTTTCCTACCATTCACTTCAAAGCGCTTGAAGTCTCCCCCTGAAAATTCCACAAAAAGTGTTTCCAATCTGCTCCGCTAAAGGAAGCTTCAACTCTGTGAGTTGAATACCCACAACCCAAAGAAGTTACTGAGAATTCTTCTGTCTAGCATTATATGAAGAAATCCCGTTTCCAACGAAGGCCTCAAATACATCCAAATATCCAGTTGCTGACTTTACAAACTGAGTGTTTCCAAACTGCTCTATGAAAAGAAAGGTTAAACACTGTGAGTTGAACACACACGTACCAAAGTAGTTTCTGAGAATGATTCTGTCTAGTTTGCATACGAAGATATTTCCTTTTCTACCATTGGCCTCAAAGCTCTGAAATCTCCACTTGCAAATTCCACAAAAAGAGAGTTTCAAATCTGCTGTTTCTAAAGGAAAGTTCAACTCTGAGAGTTGAATACACACCAGAAAAAGCAGTTACTGAGAAGTCTTCTGTCTAGCATTATATGAAGAAATCCCATTTCCAACGAAGACTTCAAAGAGGTCCAAATATCCACTTGCAGATTCTGCAAAAAGAGTGTTTCGAAACAACTGTATGAAAAGAAAGGTTAAACACTGTGAGTTGAACGCACACATTGCAAAGCAGTTTCTGAGAATGATTCCGTCTAATTATTATACGAAGGTATTTCCTTTTCTATCATTGGCCTCAAAGCGCTTGATACCTCCACCTGAAAATTCCACAAAAAGAGTGTTTCCAATCTACTCTGTCTAAAGGAACGTTCAACTCTGTGAGTTGAATACACACACACAGAAAGAATTCACTGAGAATTCTTCTGTCTGGCATTACATGAAGAAATCCCGTTTCCAACGAAGACCTCAAAGAGGTCCAAATATCCACTTGCAGATTCTGCACAAAGAGTGTTTCAAAACCGCTCCATTAAAAGGAATGTTGAACTCTGTGAGTTGAATGCAAACATCACAACTCAGTTTCTGAGAATGCTTCTGACTAGATTTTATGGTAAGATATTTCCTTTTCTACCGTAGGCTTCAATGCCCTCTAAATACACCCTTGCAAATTCTACAAAGAGACTGTTTCATAACTGCTCTATAGGAAGAAAGGTTCAACACTGTGAGTTGAATGCAGAGATCACAACGTGGTTTCTGCGAATGATTCTTTGTAGTTTTTACATGAAGATATTTCGTTGTCAACCGTAGGCTTCAAAGCACTCAAAGTATTCACTTGGAACTTTTACAAAAAGAGTGTTAGAAAACTGCTCTTTCCAAAGTAAGGTTCAACTCTGTGAGTTGAATGCACACATAACAATCAAGAAGTTTCTGAGAATTCTTCTGTCCTGGTTTATATGAAAAAATCCCGTTTCCAACGAAGGCCTCAAAGACGTTTAAATATCCACTTGCAGACTTCACAAACAGAGGGTTTCCAAACTGCTCTATGAAAAGAAAGGTTAAACTCTGTGAGTTTAATACACACATCACAAAGCAGTTTCTGAGAATGATACTGTCTAGTTTTTATACGAAGATATTTCCTTTTGTACCATTGGCCTCATACTGCTAGAATTTTCCACTTGCAAATTCCACAAAAAGAGTGTTTCCAATCCGCTCTGTCTAAAGGAAGGTTCAACTCTCTGATTTGAATACATACATCCCAAAAGAAGTTACTGAGAATTCTTCTGTCTAGCATTATGTGAAGAAATCCCGTTTCCAACGAAAGCCTCAAAGAGGTCCAAATATCCAGTTGCAGAATTTACAAACTGACTGTTTCCAAACTCATCTATGAAAAGAAAGGTTAAACTCTGTGAGTTGAATGCACATATCACAAAGTAGTTCCTGAGAATGATTCTGTATAGTTTTCATACGAAGATATTTCCTTTTCCACCAATGGCCTCAAAGTGCTTGAAATCTCCCCTTGCAAATTCCACAGACAAGTGTTTCAAATCTGCACTGTCTAAAGGATGGTTCAACCCTGTGAGTTGAATACACACACACAGAAAAAAATTCACTGAGAATTCTATTGTCTATCATTACACGAAGAAATCCCGTTTACTACGAAGGCCTCAAAGAGGTCCAAATATCCAGCTGCAGACATTACAACCTGAGTGTTTCCAAAGTGCTCTATGAAAAGAAGTGTTAAACACTGTGAGTTCAATGCACACATCCCAAAGCAGTTTCTGAGAATGATTCCGTCTATTTTTTCTACGAAGATATTTCCTTTTCTGCCGTTGGCCTCAAAGCGCTTGAAATCTCCACTTGCAAATTCCACAAAGAGAGAGTTTCAAATCTGCTCTGTCTAAAGGAAGGTTCAACTCTGTGAGTTGAATACACACCACAAAAAGAAGTTACTGAGAATTCTTCCTGTCTAGCATTATATGAAAAATCCCGTTTCCAACGAAGGCCACAAAGAGGTCCAAATATCCACTTGCAGATTCTGCAAAAAGAGTGTTTCCAAACTGCTCTATGAAAAGAAACGTTAAACTCTGTGAGTTGAACGCAAACATCACAAAGTAGTTTCTGAGAATGACTCCGTCTAGTTTTTATACGAAGATATTTCCTTTCCTACCATTCACTTCAAAGCGCTTGAAGTCTCCCCCTGAAAATTCCACAAAAAGTGTTTCCAATCTGCTCCGCCTAAAGGAAGCTTCAACTCTGTGACTTGAATACCCACAACCCAAAGAAGTTACTGAGAATTCTTCTGTCTAGCATTATATGAAGAAATCCCGTTTCCAACGAAGCCTCAAATACATCCAAATATCCAGTTGCTGACTTTACAAACTGAGTGTTTCCAAACTGCTCTATGAAAAGAAAGGTTAAACACTGTGAGTTGAACACACACGTACCAAAGTAGTTTCTGAGAATGATTCTGTCTAGTTTGCATACGAAGATATTTCCTTTTCTACCATTGGCCTCAAAGCTCTGAAATCTCCACTTGCAAATTCCACAAAAAGAGAGTTTCAAATCTGCTGTTTCTAAAGGAAAGTTCAACTCTGAGAGTTGAATACACACCAGAAAAAGCAGTTACTGAGAAGTCTTCTGTCTAGCATTATATGAAGAAATCCCATTTCCAACGAAGACTTCAAAGAGGTCCAAATATCCACTTGCAGATTCTGCAAAAAGAGTGTTTCGAAACAACTGTATGAAAAGAAAGGTTAAACACTGTGAGTTGAACGCACACATTGCAAAGCAGTTTCTGAGAATGATTCCGTCTAATTATTATACGAAGGTATTTCCTTTTCTATCATTGGCCTCAAAGCGCTTGATACCTCCACCTGAAAATTCCACAAAAAGAGTGTTTCCAATCTACTCTGTCTAAAGGAACGTTCAACTCTGTGAGTTGAATACACACACACAGAAAGAATTCACTGAGAATTCTTCTGTCTGGCATTACATGAAGAAATCCCGTTTCCAACGAAGGCCTCAAAGAGGTCCAAATATCCACTTGCAGATTCTGCAAAAAGAGTGTTTCAAAACCGCTCCATTAAAAGGAATGTTGAACTCTGTGAGTTGAATGGAAACATCACAACTCAGTTGCTGAGAATGCTTCTGACTAGATTTTATGGTAAGATATTTCCTTTTCTACCGTAGGCTTCAATGCCCTCTAAATACACCCTTGCAAATTCTACAAAGAGACTGTTTCATAACTGCTCTATAGGAAGAAAGGTTGAACTCTGTGAGTTGAATGCAGAGATCACAACGTGGTTTCTGCGAATGATTCTTTGCAGTTTTTACATGAAGCTATTTCGTTGTCTACCGTAGGCTTCAAAAGCACTCAAAGTATTCACTTGGAACTTTTACAAAAAGAGTGTTAGAAAACTGCTCTTTCCGAAGTAAGGTTCAACTCTGTGAGTTGAATGCACACATAACAAACAAGAAGTTTCTGAGAATTCTTCTGTCCTGGTTTATATGAACAAATCCCGTTTCCAACGAAGGCCTCAAAGACGTTTAAATATCCACTTGCAGACTTCACAAACAGAGTGTTTCCAAACTGCTCTATGAAAAGAAAGGTTAAACTCTGTGAGTTGAATGCACACATCACAAAGTAGTTTCTGAGAATCATACTGTCTAGTTTTTATACGAAGATATTTCCTTTCTACCATTGGCGTCAAAGCGCTAGAATTCTCCACTTGCAAATTCCACAAAAAGAGTGTTTCCAATCTGCTCTGTCTAAAGGAAGGTTCAACTCTGTGAGTTGAATACACACACACAAAGAAGCTACTGAGAATTCTTTTGTCAAGAATTATAAGAAGAAATCCCGTTTCCAACGAAGGCCTCAAAGAGTTCCAAATATCCACTTGCACACTGCACAAACTAAGTCTTTCCAAACTGCTCTATGCAAAGAAATGTTCAACTCTGTGAGTTTAATACACACATCACAAAGCAGTTTCTGAGAATGATACTGTCTAGTTTTTATACGAAGATATTTCCTTTTGTACCATTGGCCTCATACTGCTAGAATTTTCCACTTGCAAATTCCACAAAAAGAGTGTTTCCAATCCGCTCTGTCTAAAGGAAGGTTCAACTCTCTGATTTGAATACATACATCCCAAAAGAAGTTACTGAGAATTCTTCTGTCTAGCATTATGTGAAGAAATCCCGTTTCCAACGAAAGCCTCAAAGAGGTCCAAATATCCAGTTGCAGAATTTACAAACTGACTGTTTCCAAACTCATCTATGAAAAGAAAGGTTAAACTCTGGGAGTTGAATGCCCATATCACAAAGTAGTTCCTGAGAATGATTCTGTATAGTTTTCATACGAAGATATTTCCTTTTCCACCAATGGCCTCAAAGTGCTTGAAATCTCCCCTTGCAAATTCCACAGACAAGTGTTTCAAATCTGCACTGTCTAAAGGATGGTTCAACCCTGTGAGTTGAATACACACACACAGAAAAAAATTCACTGAGAATTCTATTGTCTATCATTACACGAAGAAATCCCGTTTACTACGAAGGCCTCAAAGAGGTCCAAATATCCAGCTGCAGACATTTCAAACTGAGTGTTTCCAAAGTGCTCTATGAAAAGAAGTGTTAAACACTGTGAGTTCAATGCACACATCCCAAAGCAGTTTCTGAGAATGATTCCGTCTATTTTTTCTACGAAGATATTTCCTTTTCTGCCGTTGGCCTCAAAGCGCTTGAAATCTCCACTTGCAAATTCCACAAAAAGAGAGTTTCAAATCTGCTCTGTCTAAAGGAAGGTTCAACTCTGTGAGTTGAATACACACCACAAAAAGAAGTTACTGAGAATTCTTCTGTCTAGCATTATATGAAAAATCCCGTTTCCAACGAAGGCCACAAAGAGGTCCAAATATCCACTTGCAGATTCTGCAAAAAGAGTGTTTCCAAACTGCTCTATGAAAAGAAACGTTAAACTCTGTGAGTTGAACGCAAACATCACAAAGTAGTTTCTGAGAATGACTCCGTCTAGTTTTTATACGAAGATATTTCCTTTCCTACCATTCACTTCAAAGCGCTTGAAGTCTCCCCCTGAAAATTCCACAAAAAGTGTTTCCAATCTGCTCCGCCTAAAGGAAGCTTCAACTCTGTGACTTGAATACCCACAACCCAAAGAAGTTACTGAGAATTCTTCTGTCTAGCATTATATGAAGAAATCCCGTTTCCAACGAAGGCCTCAAATACATCCAAATATCCAGTTGCTGACTTTACAAACTGAGTGTTTCCAAACTGCTCTATGAAAAGAAAGGTTAAACACTGTGAGTTGAACACACACGTACCAAAGTAGTTTCTGAGAATGATTCTGTGTAGTTTGCATACGAAGATGTTTCCTTTTCTACCATTGGCCTCAAAGCTCTGAAATCTCCACTTGCAAATTCCACAAAAAGAGAGTTTCAAATCTGCTGTTTCTCAAGGAAAGTTCAACTCTGAGAGTTGAATACACACCAGAAAAAGCAGTTACTGAGAAGTCTTCTGTCTAGCATTATATGAAGAAATCCCATTTCCAACGAAGACTTCAAAGAGGTCCAAATATCCACTTGCAGATTCTGCAAAAAGAGTGTTTCGAAACAACTGTATGAAAAGAAAGGTTAAACACTGTGAGTTGAACGCACACATTGCAAAGCAGTTTCTGAGAATGATTCCGTCTAATTATTATACGAAGGTATTTCCTTTTCTATCATTGGCCTCAAAGCGCTTGATACCTCCACCTGAAAATTCCACAAAAAGAGTGTTTCCAATCTACTCTGTCTAAAGGAACGTTCAACTCTGTGAGTTGAATACACACACACAGAAAGAATTCACTGAGAATTCTTCTGTCTGGCATTACATGAAGAAATCCCGTTTCCAACGAAGGCCTCAAAGAGGTCCAAATATCCACTTGCAGATTCTGCAAAAAGAGTGTTTCAAAACCGCTCCATTAAAAGGAATGTTGAACTCTGTGAGTTGAATGCAAACATCACAACTCAGTTGCTGAGAATGCTTCTGACTAGATTTTATGGTAAGATATTTCCTTTTCTACCGTAGGCTTCAATGCCCTCTAAATACACCCTTGCAAATTCTACAAAGAGACTGTTTCATAACTGCTCTATAGGAAGAAAGGTTCAACACTGTGAGTTGAATGCAGAGATCACAACGTGGTTTCTGCGAATGATTCTTTGTAGTTTTTACATGAAGATATTTCGTTGTCAACCGTAGGCTTCAAAGCACTCAAAGTATTCACTTGGAACTTTTACAAAAAGAGTGTTAGAAAACTGCTCTTTCCAAAGTAAGGTTCAACTCTGTGAGTTGAATGCACACATAACAATCAAGAAGTTTCTGAGAATTCTTCTGTCCTGGTTTATATGAAAAAATCCCGTTTCCAACGAAGGCCTCAAAGACGTTTAAATATCCACTTGCAGACTTCACAAACAGAGGGTTTCCAAACTGCTCTATGAAAAGAAAGGTTAAACTCTGTGAGTTTAATACACACATCACAAAGCAGTTTCTGAGAATGATACTGTCTAGTTTTTATACGAAGATATTTCCTTTTGTACCATTGGCGTCAAAGCGCTAGAATTCTCCACTTGCAAATTCCACAAAAAGAGTGTTTCCAATCTGCTCTGTCTAAAGGAAGGTTCAACTCTGTGAGTTGAATACACACACACAAAGAAGCTACTGAGAATTCTTTTGTCAAGAATTATAAGAAGAAATCCCGTTTCCAACGAAGGCCTCAAAGAGTTCCAAATATCCACTTGCACACTGCAAAAACTAAGTCTTTCCAAACTGCTCTATGCAAAGAAATGTTCAACTCTGTGAGTTTAATACACACATCACAAAGCAGTTTCTGAGAATGATACTGTCTAGTTTTTATACGAAGATATTTCCTTTTGTACCATTGGCCTCATACTGCTAGAATTTTCCACTTGCAAATTCCACAAAAAGAGTGTTTCCAATCCGCTCTGTCTAAAGGAAGGTTCAACTCTCTGATTTGAATACATACATCCCAAAAGAAGTTACTGAGAATTCTTCTGTCTAGCATTATGTGAAGAAATCCCGTTTCCAACGAAAGCCTCCAAGAGGTCCAAATATCCAGTTGCAGAATTTACAAACTGACTGTTTCCAAACTCATCTATGAAAAGAAAGGTTAAACTCTGTGAGTTGAATGCACATATCACAAAGTAGTTCCTGAGAATGATTCTGTCTAGTTTTTATACGAAGATATTTCCTTTTCCACCAATGGCCTCAAAGTGCTTGAAATCTCCCCTTGCAAATTCCACAGAAAAGTGTTTCAAATCTGCACTGTCTGAAGGAAGGTTCAACCCTGTGAGTTGAATACACATACACAGAAAAAAATTCACTGAGAATTCTATTGTCTATCATTACACGAAGAAATCCCGTTTACTACGAAGGCCTCAAAGAGGTCCAAATATCCAGCTGCAGACATTACAAACTGAGTGTTTCCAAAGTGCTCTATGAAAAGAAGTGTTAAACACTGTGAGTTCAATGCACACATCCCAAAGCAGTTTCTGAGAATGATTCCGTCTATTTTTTCTACGAAGATATTTCCTTTTCTACCGTTGGCCTCAAAGCGCTTGAAATCTCCACTTGCAAATTCCACAAAAAGAGAGTTTCAAATCTGCTCTGTCTAAAGGAAGGTTCAACTCTTGTGAGTTGAATACACACCACAAAAAGAAGTTACTGAGAATTCTTCTGTCTAGCATTATATGAAAAATCCCGTTTCTAACGAAGGCCACAAAGAGGTCCAAATATCCACTTGCAGATTCTGCAAAAAGAGTGTTTCCAAACTGCTCTATGAAAAGAAACGTTAAACTCTGTGAGTTGAACGCAAACATCACAAAGTAGTTTCTGAGAATGACTCCGTCTAGTTTTTATACGAAGATATTTCCTTTCCTACCATTCACTTCAAAGCGCTTGAAGTCTCCCCCTGAAAATTCCACAAAAAGTGTTTCCAATCTGCTCCGCCTAAAGGAAGCTTCAACTCTGTGACTTGAATACCCACAACCCAAAGAAGTTACTGAGAATTCTTCTGTCTAGCACTATATGAAGAAATCCCGTTTCCAACGAAGGCCTCAAATACATCCAAATATCCAGTTGCTGACTTTACAAACTGAGTGTTTCCAAACTGCTCTATGAAAAGAAAGGTTAAACACTGTGAGTTGAACACACACGTACCAAAGTAGTTTCTGAGAATGATTCTGTCTAGTTTGCATACGAAGATATTTCCTTTTCTACCATTGGCCTCAAAGCTTTGAAATCTCCACTTGCAAATTCCACAAAAAGAGAGTTTCAACTCTGCTGTTTCTAAAGGAAAGTTCAACTCTGAGAGTTGAATACACACCAGAAAAAGCAGTTACTGAGAAGTCTTCTGTCTAGCATTATATGAAGAAATCCCATTTCCAACGAAGACTTCAAAGAGGTCCAAATATCCACTTGCAGATTCTGCAAAAAGAGTGTTTCGAAACAACTGTATGAAAAGAAAGGTTAAACACTGTGAGTTGAACGCACACATTGCAAAGCAGTTTCTGAGAATGATTCCGTCTAATTATTATACGAAGGTATTTCCTTTTCTATCATTGGCCTCAAAGCGCTTGATACCTCCACCTGAAAATTCCACAAAAAGAGTGTTTCCAATCTACTCTGTCTAAAGGAACGTTCAACTCTGTGAGTTGAATACACACACACAGAAAGAATTCACTGAGAATTCTTCTGTCTGGCATTACATGAAGAAATCCCGTTTCCAACGAAGGCCTCAAAGAGGTCCAAATATCCACTTGCAGATTCTGCAAAAAGAGTGTTTCAAAACCGCTCCATTAAAAGGAATGTTGAACTCTGTGAGTTGAATGCAAACATCACAACTCAGTTGCTGAGAATGCTTCTGACTAGATTTTATGGTAAGATATTTCCTTTTCTACCGTAGGCTTCAATGCCCTCTAAATACACCCTTGCAAATTCTACAAAGAGACTGTTTCATAACTGCTCTATAGGAAGAAAGGTTGAACTCTGTGAGTTGAATGCAGAGATCACAACGTGGTTTCTGCGAATGATTCTTTGTAGTTTTTACATGAAGATATTTCGTTGTCAACCGTAGGCTTCAAAGCACTCAAAGTATTCACTTGGAACTTTTACAAAACGAGTGTTAGGAAACTGCTCTTTCCAAAGTAAGGTTCAACTCTGTGAGTTGAATGCACACATAACAATCAAGAAGTTTCTGAGAATTCTTCTGTCCTGGTTTATATGAAAAAATCCCGTTTCCAACGAAGGCCTCAAAGACGTTTAAATATCCACTTGCAGACTTCACAAACAGAGGGTTTCCAAACTGCTCTATGAAAAGAAAGGTTAAACTCTGTGAGTTGAACGCACACATCACAAAGTAGCTTCTGAGAATGATACTGTCTAGTTTTTATACGAAGATATTTCCTTTCTACAATTGGCGTCAAAGCGCTAGAATTCTCCACTTGCAAATTCCACAAAAAGAGTGTTTCCAATCTGCTCTGTCTAAAGGAAGGTTCAACTCTGTGAGTTGAATACACACACACAAAGAAGCTACTGAGAATTCTTTTGTCAAGAATTATAAGAAGAAATCCCGTTTCCAACGAAGGCCTCAAAGAGTTCCAAATATCCACTTGCACACTGCACAAACTAAGTCTTTCCAAACTTCTCTATGCAAAGAAATGTTCAACTCTGTGAGTTTAATACACACATCACAAAGCAGTTTCTGAGAATGATTACTGTCTAGTTTTTATACGAAGATATTTCCTTTTGTACCATTGGCCTCATACTGCTAGAATTTTCCACTTGCAAATTCCACAAAAAGAGTGTTTCCAATCCGCTCTGTCTAAAGGAAGGTTCAACTCTCTGATTTGAATACATACATCCCAAAAGAAGTTCCTGAGAATTCTTCTGTCTAGCATTATGTGAAGAAATCCCGTTTCCAACGAAAGCCTCAAAGAGGTCCAAATATCCAGTTGCAGAATTTACAAACTGACTGTTTCCAAACTCATCTATGAAAAGAAAGGTTAAACTCTGTGAGTTGAATGCACATATCACAAAGTAGTTCCTGAGAATGATTCTGTCTAGTTTTCATACGAAGATATTTCCTTTTCCACCAATGGCCTCAAAGTGCTTGAAATCTCCCCTTGCAAATTCCACAGACAAGTGTTTCAAATCTGCACTGTCTAAAGGAAGGTTCAACCCTGTGAGTTGAATACACACACACAGAAAAAAATTCACTGAGAATTCTATTGTCTATCATTACACGAAGAAATCCCGTTTACCACGAAGGCCTCAAAGAGGTCCAAATATCCAGCTGCAGACATTACAAACTGAGTGTTTCCAAAGTGCTCTATGAAAAGAAGTGTTAAACACTGTGAGTTCAATGCACACATCCCAAAGCAGTTTCTGAGAATGATTCCGTCTATTTTTTCTACGAAGATATTTCCTTTTCTGCCGTTGGCCTCAAAGCGCTTGAAATCTCCACTTGCAAATTCCACAAAAAGAGAGTTTCAAATCTGCTCTGTCTAAAGGAAGGTTCAACTCTGTGAGTTGAATACACACCACAAAAAGAAGTTACTGAGAATTCTTCTGTCTAGCATTATATGAAAAATCCCGTTTCCAACGAAGGCCACAAAGAGGTCCAAATATCCACTTGCAGATTCTGCAAAAAGAGTGTTTCCAAACTGCTCTATGAAAAGAAACGTTAAACTCTGTGAGTTGAACGCAAACATCACAAAGTAGTTTCTGAGAATGACTCCGTCTAGTTTTTATACGAAGATATTTCCTTTCCTACCATTCACTTCAAAGCGCTTGAAGTCTCCCCCTGAAAATTCCACAAAAAGTGTTTCCAATCTGCTCCGCCTAAAGGAAGCTTCAACTCTGTGACTTGAATACCCACAACCCAAAGAAGTTACTGAGAATTCTTCTGTCTAGCATTATATGAAGAAATCCCGTTTCCAACGAAGCCTCAAATACATCCA
Organism: Homo sapiens; assembly: GCF_000001405.40. NCBI lineage: Eukaryota > Metazoa > Chordata > Mammalia > Primates > Hominidae > Homo > Homo sapiens. The sequence continues at coordinate 92,940,161 of NC_000003.12, read as the reverse complement.
AATATCCAGTTGCTGACTTTACAAACTGAGTGTTTCCAAACTGCTCTATGAAAAGAAAGGTTAAACACTGTGAGTTGAACACACACGTACCAAAGTAGTTTCTGAGAATGATTCTGTCTAGTTTGCATACGAAGATATTTCCTTTTCTACCATTGGCCTCAAAGCTCTGAAATCTCCACTTGCAAATTCCACAAAAAGAGAGTTTCAAATCTGCTGTTTCTAAAGGAAAGTTCAACTCTGAGAGTTGAATACACACCAGAGAAAGCAGTTACTGAGAAGTCTTCTGTCTAGCATTATATGAAGAAATCCCATTTCCAACGAAGACTTCAAAGAGGTCCAAATATCCACTTGCAGATTCTGCAAAAAGAGTGTTTCGAAACAACTGTATGAAAAGAAAGGTTAAACACTGTGAGTTGAACGCACACATTGCAAAGCAGTTTCTGAGAATGATTCCGTCTAATTATTATACGAAGGTATTTCCTTTTCTATCATTGGCCTCAAAGCGCTTGATACCTCCACCTGAAAATTCCACAAAAAGAGTGTTTCCAATCTACTCTGTCTAAAGGAACGTTCAACTCCGTGAGTTGAATACACACACACAGAAAGAATTCACTGAGAATTCTTCTGTCTGGCATTACATGAAGAAATCCCGTTTCCAACGAAGGCCTCAAAGAGGTCCAAATATCCACTTGCAGATTCTGCAAAAAGAGTGTTTCAAAACCGCTCCATTAAAAGGAATGTTGAACTCTGTGAGTTGAATGCAAACATCACAACTCAGTTGCTGAGAATGCTTCTGACTAGATTTTATAGTAAGATATTTCCTTTTCTACCGTAGGCTTCAATGCCCTCTAAATACACCCTTGCAATTTCTACAAAGAGACTGTTTCATAACTGCTCTATAGGAAGAAAGGTTCAACTCTGTGAGTTGAATGCAGAGATCACAACGTGGTTTCTGCGAATGATTCTTTGTAGTTTTTACATGAAGATATTTCGTTGTCAACCGTAGGCTTCAAAGCACTCAAAGTATTCACTTGGAACTTTTACAAAAAGAGTGTTAGAAAACTGCTCTTTCCAAAGTAAGGTTCAACTCTGTGAGTTGAATGCACACATAACAATCAAGAAGTTTCTGAGAATTCTTCTGTCCTGGTTTATATGAACAAATCCCGTTTCCAACGAAGGCCTCAAAGACGTTTAAATATCCACTTGCAGACTTCACAAACAGAGGGTTTCCAAACTGCTCTATGAAAAGAAAGGTTAAACTCTGTGAGTTGAACGCACACATCACAAAGTAGCTTCTGAGAATGATACTGTCTAGTTTTTATACGAAGATATTTCCTTTCTACCATTGGCGTCAAAGTGCTAGAATTCTCCACTTGCAAATTCCACAAAAAGAGTGTTTCCAATCTGCTCTGTCTAAAGGAAGGTTCAACTCTGTGAGTTGAATACACACACACAAAGAAGCTACTGAGAATTCTTTTGTCAAGAATTATAAGAAGAAATCCCGTTTCCAACGAAGGCCTCAAAGAGTTCCAAATATCCACTTGCACACTGCACAAACTAAGTCTTTCCAAACTGCTCTATGCAAAGAAATGTTCAACTCTGTGAGTTTAATACACACATCACAAAGCAGTTTCTGAGAATGATTACTGTCTAGTTTTTATACGAAAGATATTTCCTTTTGTACCATTGGCCTCATACTGCTAGAATTTTCCACTTGCAAATTCCACAAAAAGAGTGTTTCCAATCCGCTCTGTCTAAAGGAAGGTTCAACTCTCTGATTTGAATACATACATCCCAAAAGAAGTTCCTGAGAATTCTTCTGTCTAGCATTATGTGAAGAAATCCCGTTTCCAACGAAAGCCTCAAAGAGGTCCAAATATCCAGTTGCAGAATTTACAAACTGACTGTTTCCAAACTCATCTATGAAAAGAAAGGTTAAACTCTGGGAGTTGAATGCACATATCACAAAGTAGTTCCTGAGAATGATTCTGTCTAGTTTTCATACGAAGATATTTCCTTTTCCACCAATGGCCTCAAAGTGCTTGAAATCTCCCCTTGCAAATTCCACAGACAAGTGTTTGAAATCTGCACTGTCTAAAGGAAGGTTCAACCCTGTGAGTTGAATACACACACACAGAAAAAAATTCACTGAGAATTCTATTGTCTATCATTACACGAAGAAATCCCGTTTACTACGAAGGCCTCAAAGAGGTCCAAATATCCAGCTGCAGACATTACAAACTGAGTGTTTCCAAAGTGCTCTATGAAAAGAAGTGTTAAACACTGTGAGTTCAATGCACACATCCCAAAGCAGTTTCTGAGAATGATTCCGTCTATTTTTTCTACGAAGATATTTCCTTTTCTGCCGTTGGCCTCAAAGCGCTTGAAATCTCCACTTGCAAATTCCACAAAAAGAGAGTTTCAAATCTGCTCTGTCTAAAGGAAGGTTCAACTCTGTGAGTTGAATACACACCACAAAAAGAAGTTACTGAGAATTCTTCTGTCTAGCATTATATGAAAAATCCCGTTTCCAACGAAGGCCACAAAGAGGTCCAAATATCCACTTGCAGATTCTGCAAAAAGAGTGTTTCCAAACTGCTCTATGAAAAGAAACGTTAAACTCTGTGAGTTGAACGCAAACATCACAAAGTAGTTTCTGAGAATGACTCCGTCTAGTTTTTATACGAAGATATTTCCTTTCCTACCATTCACTTCAAAGCGCTTGAAGTCTCCCCCTGAAAATTCCACAAAAAGTGTTTCCAATCTGCTCCGCCTAAAGGAAGCTTCAACTCTGTGACTTGAATACCCACAACCCAAAGAAGTTACTGAGAATTCTTCTGTCTAGCATTATATGAAGAAATCCCGTTTCCAACGAAGGCCTCAAATACATCCAAATATCCAGTTGCTGACTTTACAAACTGAGTGTTTCCAAACTGCTCTATGAAAAGAAAGGTTAAACACTGTGAGTTGAACACACACGTACCAAAGTAGTTTCTGAGAATGATTCTGTCTAGTTTGCATACGAAGATATTTCCTTTTCTACCATTGGCCTCAAAGCTCTGAAATCTCCACTTGCAAATTCCACAAAAAGAGAGTTTCAAATCTGCTGTTTCTAAAGGAAAGTTCAACTCTGAGAGTTGAATACACACCAGAAAAAGCAGTTACTGAGAAGTCTTCTGTCTAGCATTATATGAAGAAATCCCATTTCCAACGAAGACTTCAAAGAGGTCCAAATATCCACTTGCAGATTCTGCAAAAAGAGTGTTTCGAAACAACTGTATGAAAAGAAAGGTTAAACACTGTGAGTTGAACGCACACATTGCAAAGCAGTTTCTGAGAATGATTCCGTCTAATTATTATACGAAGGTATTTCCTTTTCTATCATTGGCCTCAAAGCGCTTGATACCTCCACCTGAAAATTCCACAAAAAGAGTGTTTCCAATCTACTCTGTCTAAAGGAACGTTCAACTCTGTGAGTTGAATACACACACACAGAAAGAATTCACTGAGAATTCTTCTGTCTGGCATTACATGAAGAAATCCCGTTTCCAACGAAGGCCTCAAAGAGGTCCAAATATCCACTTGCAGATTCTGCAAAAAGAGTGTTTCAAAACCGCTCCATTAAAAGGAATGTTGAACTCTGTGAGTTGAATGCAAACATCACAACTCAGTTGCTGAGAATGCTTCTGACTAGATTTTATGGTAAGATATTTCCTTTTCTACCGTAGGCTTCAATGCCCTCTAAATACACCCTTGCAAATTCTACAAAGAGACTGTTTCATAACTGCTCTATAGGAAGAAAGGTTGAACTCTGTGAGTTGAATGCAGAGATCACAACGTGGTTTCTGCGAATGATTCTTTGTAGTTTTTACATGAAGATATTTCGTTGTCAACCGTAGGCTTCAAAGCACTCAAAGTATTCACTTGGAACTTTTACAAAACGAGTGTTAGGAAACTGCTCTTTCCAAAGTAAGGTTCAACTCTGTGAGTTGAATGCACACATAACAATCAAGAAGTTTCTGAGAATTCTTCTGTCCTGGTTTATATGAAAAAATCCCGTTTCCAACGAAGGCCTCAAAGACGTTTAAATATCCACTTGCAGACTTCACAAACAGAGGGTTTCCAAACTGCTCTATGAAAAGAAAGGTTAAACTCTGTGAGTTGAACGCACACATCACAAAGTAGCTTCTGAGAATGATACTGTCTAGTTTTTATACGAAGATATTTCCTTTCTACCATTGGCGTCAAAGCGCTAGAATTCTCCCCTTGCAAATTCCACAAAAAGAGTGTTTCCAATCTGCTCTGTCTAAAGGAAGGTTCAACTCTGTGAGTTGAATACACACACACAAAGAAGCTACTGAGAATTCTTTTGTCAAGAATTATAAGAAGAAATCCCGTTTCCAACGAAGGCCTCAAAGAGTTCCAAATATCCACTTGCACACTGCACAAACTAAGTCTTTCCAAACTGCTCTATGCAAAGAAATGTTCAACTCTGTGAGTTTAATACACACATCACAAAGCAGTTTCTGAGAATGATACTGTCTAGTTTTTATACGAAGATATTTCCTTTTGTACCATTGGCCTCATACTGCTAGAATTTTCCACTTGCAAATTCCACAAAGAGAGTGTTTCCAATCCGCTCTGTCTAAAGGAAGGTTCAACTCTCTGATTTGAATACATACATCCCAAAAGAAGTTACTGAGAATTCTTCTGTCTAGCATTATGTGAAGAAATCCCGTTTCCAACGAAAGCCTCAAAGAGGTCCAAATATCCAGTTGCAGAATTTACAAACTGACTGTTTCCAAACTCATCTATGAAAAGAAAGGTTAAACTCTGTGAGTTGAATGCACATATCACAAAGTAGTTCCTGAGAATGATTCTGTCTAGTTTTTATACGAAGATATTTCCTTTTCCACCAATGGCCTCAAAGTGCTTGAAATCTCCCCTTGCAAATTCCACAGACAAGTGTTTCAAATCTGCACTGTCTAAAGGAAGGTTCAACCCTGTGAGTTGAATACACACACACAGAAACAAATTCACTGAGAATTCTACTGTCTATCATTACACGAAGAAATCCCGTTTACTACGAAGGCCTCAAAGAGGTCCAAATATCCAGCTGCAGACATTACAAACTGAGTGTTTCCAAAGTGCTCTATGAAAAGAAGTGTTAAACACTGTGAGTTCAATGCACACATCCCAAAGCAGTTTCTGAGAATGATTCCGTCTATTTTTTCTACGAAGATATTTCCTTTTCTGCCGTTGGCCTCAAAGCGCTTGAAATCTCCACTTGCAAATTCCACAAAAAGAGAGTTTCAAATCTGCTCTGTCTAAAGGAAGGTTCAACTCTGTGAGTTGAATACACACCACAAAAAGAAGTTACTGAGAATTCTTCTGTCTAGCATTATATGAAAAATCCCGTTTCCAACGAAGGCCACAAAGAGGTCCAAATATCCACTTGCAGATTCTGCAAAAAGAGTGTTTCCAAACTGCTCTATGAAAAGAAACGTTAAACTCTGTGAGTTGAACACAAACATCACAAAGTAGTTTCTGAGAATGACTCCGTCTAGTTTTTATACGAAGATATTTCCTTTCCTACCATTCACTTCAAAGCGCTTGAAGTCTCCCCCTGAAAATTCCACAAAAAGTGTTTCCAATCTGCTCCGCCTAAAGGAAGCTTCAACTCTGTGAGTTGAATACCCACAACCCAAAGAAGTTACTGAGAATTCTTCTGTCTAGCATTATATGAAGAAATCCCGTTTCCAACGAAGGCCTCAAATACATCCAGATATCCAGTTGCTGACTTTACAAACTGAGTGTTTCCAAACTGCTCTATGAAAGGAAAGGTTGAACACTGTGAGTTGAACACACACGTACCAAAGTAGTTTCTGAGAATGATTCTGTCTAGTTTGCATACGAAGATATTTCCTTTTCTACCATTGGCCTCAAAGCTCTGAAATCTCCACTTGCAAATTCCACAAAAAGAGAGTTTCAAATCTGCTGTTTCTAAAGGAAAGTTCAACTCTGAGAGTTGAATACACACCAGAAAAAGCAGTTACTGAGAAGTCTTCTGTCTAGCATTATATGAAGAAATCCCATTTCCAACGAAGACTTCAAAGAGGTCCAAATATCCACTTGCAGATTCTGCAAAAAGAGTGTTTCGAAACAACTGTATGAAAAGAAAGGTTAAACACTGTGAGTTGAACGCACACATTGCAAAGCAGTTTCTGAGAATGATTCCGTCTAATTATTATACGAAGGTATTTCCTTTTCTATCATTGGCCTCAAAGCGCTTGATACATCCACCTGAAAATTCCACAAAAAGAGTGTTTCCAATCTACTCTGTCTAAAGGAACGTTCAACTCTGTGAGTTGAATACACACACACAGAAAGAATTCACTGAGAATTCTTCTGTCTGGCATTACATGAAGAAATCCCGTTTCCAACGAAGGCCTCAAAGAGGTCCAAATATCCACTTGCAGATTCTGCAAAAAGAGTGTTTCAAAACCGCTCCATTAAAAGGAATGTTGAACTCTGTGAGTTGAATGCAAACATCACAACTCAGTTTCTGAGAATGCTTCTGACTAGATTTTATGGTAAGATATTTCCTTTTCTACCGTAGGCTTCAATGCCCTCTAAATACACCCTTGCAAATTCTACAAAGAGACTGTTTCATAACTGCTCTATAGGAAGAAAGGTTCAACTCTGTGAGTTGAATGCAGAGATCACAACGTGGTTTCTGCGAATGATTCTTTGTAGTTTTTACATGAAGATATTTCGTTGTCAACCGTAGGCTTCAAAGCACTCAAAGTATTCACTTGGAACTTTTACAAAAAGAGTGTTAGAAAACCGCTCTTTCCAAAGTAAGGTTCAACTCTGTGAGTTGAATGCACACATAACAATCAAGAAGTTTCTGAGAATTCTTCTGTCCTGGTTTATATGAAAAAATCCCGTTTCCAACGAAGGCCTCAAAGACGTTTAAATATCCACTTGCAGACTTCACAAACAGAGGGTTTCCAAACTGCTCTATGAAAAGAAAGGTTAAACTCTGTGAGTTGAACGCACACATCACAAAGTAGCTTCTGAGAATGATACTGTCTAGTTTTTATACGAAGATATTTCCTTTCTACCATTGGCGTCAAAGCGCTAGAATTCTCCACTTGCAAATTCCACAAAAAGAGTGTTTCCAATCTGCTCTGTCTAAAGGAAGGTTCAACTCTGTGAGTTGAATACACACACACAAAGAAGCTACTGAGAATTCTTTTGTCAAGAATTATAAGAAGAAATCCCGTTTCCAATGAAGGCCTCAAAGAGTTCCAAATATCCACTTGCACACTGCACAAACTAAGTCTTTCCAAACTGCTCTATGCAAAGAAATGTTCAACTCTGTGAGTTTAATACACACATCACAAAGCAGTTTCTGAGAATGATACTGTCTAGTTTTTATACGAAGATATTTCCTTTTGTACCATTGGCCTCATACTGCTAGAATTTTCCACTTGCAAATTCCACAAAAAGAGTGTTTCCAATCCGCTCTGTCTAAAGGAAGGTTCAACTCTCTGATTTGAATACATACATCCCAAAAGAAGTTACTGAGAATTCTTCTGTCTAGCATTATGTGAAGAAATCCCGTTTCCAACGAAAGCCTCAAAGAGGTCCAAATATCCAGTTGCAGAATTTACAAACTGACTGTTTCCAAACTCATCAATGAAAAGAAAGGTTAAACTCTGTGAGTTGAATGCACATATCACAAAGTAGTTCCTGAGAATGATTCTGTCTAGTTTTTATACGAAGATATTCCCTTTTCCACCAATGGCCTCAAAGTGCTTGAAATCTCCCCTTGCAAATTCCACAGAAAATTGTTTCAAACCTGCACTGTCTGAAGGAAGGTTCAAACCTGTGAGTTGAATACACACACACAGAAAAAAATTCACTGAGAATTCTATTGTCTATCATTACACGAAGAAATCCCGTTTACTACGAAGGCCTCAAAGAGGTCCAAATATCCAGCTGCAGACATTACAAACTCAGTGTTTCCAAAGTGCTCTATGAAAAGAAGTGTTAAACACTGTGAGTTCAATGCACACATCCCAAAGTAGTTTCTGAGAATGATTCCGTCTATTTTTTCTACGAAGATATTTCCTTTTCTGCCGTTGGCCTCAAAGCGCTTGAAATCTCCACTTGCAAATTCCACAAAAAGAGAGTTTCAAATCTGCTCTGTCTAAAGGAAGGTTCAACTCTGTGAGTTGAATACACACCACAAAAAGAAGTTACTGAGAATTCTTCTGTCTAGCATTATATGAAAAATCCCGTTTCCAACGAAGGCCACAAAGAGGTCCAAATATCCACTTGCAGATTCTGCAAAATGAGTGTTTCCAAACTGCTCTATGAAAAGAAACGTTAAACTCTGTGAGTTGAACGCAAACATCACAAAGTAGTTTCTGAGAATGACTCCGTCTAGTTTTTATACGAAGAATATTACCTTTCCTAACATTCACTTCAAAGCGCTTGAAGTCTCCCCCTGAAAATTCCACAAAAAGTGTTTCCAATCTGCTCCGCCTAAAGGAAGCTTCAACTCTGTGAGTTGAATACCCACAACCCAAAGAAGTTACTGAGAATTCTTCTGTCTAGCATTATATGAAGAAATCCCGTTTCCAACGAAGGCCTCAAAGAGGTCCAAATATCCACTTGCAGATTCTGCAAAAAGAGTGTTTCAAAACCTCTCCATTAAAAGGAATGTTGAACTCTGTGAGTTGAATGCAAACATCACAACTCAGTTTCTGAGAATGCTTCTGTCTAGTTTGCATACAAAGATATTTCCTTTTCTACCACTGGCCTCAAAGCTTTGAAATCTCCACTTGCAAATTCCACAAAAAGAGAGTTTCAAATCTGCTGTTTCTAAAGGAAAGTTCAACTCTGAGAGTTGAATACACACCAGAAAAAGCAGTTACTGAGAAGTCTTCTGTCTAGCATTATATGAAGAAATCCCATTTCCAACGAAGACTTCAAAGAGGTCCAAATATCCACTTGCAGATTCTGCAAAAAGAGTGTTTCGAAACAATTGTATGAAAAGAAAGGTTAAACACTGTGAGTTGAACGCACACATTGCAAAGCAGTTTCTGAGAATGATTCCGTCTAATTATTATACGAAGGTATTTCCTTTTCTATCATTGGCCTCAAAGCGCTTGATACCTCCACCTGAAAATTCCACAAAAAGAGTGTTTCCAATCTACTCTGTCTAAAGGAACGTTCAACTCTGTGAGTTGAATACACACACACAGAAAGAATTCACTGAGAATTCTTCTGTCTGGCATTACATGAAGAAATCCCGTTTCCAACGAAGGCCTCAAAGAGGTCCAAATATCCACTTGCAGATTCTGCAAAAAGAGTGTTTCAAAACCGCTCCATTAAAAGGAATGTTGAACTCTGTGAGTTGAATGCAAACATCACAACTCAGTTTCTGAGAATGCTTCTGACTAGATTTTATGGTAAGATATTTCCTTTTCTACCGTAGGCTTCAATGCCCTCTAAATACACCCTTGCAAATTCTACAAAGAGACTGTTTCATAACTGCTCTATAGGAAGAAAGGTTGAACTCTGTGAGTTGAATGCAGAGATCACAACGTGGTTTCTGCGAATGATTCTTTGTAGTTTTTACATGAAGATATTTCGTTGTCAACCGTAGGCTTCAAAGCACTCAAAGTATTCACTTGGAACTTTTACAAAAAGAGTGTTAGAAAACTGCTCTTTCCAAAGTAAGGTTCAACTCTGTGAGTTGAATGCACACATAACAATCAAGAAGTTTCTGAGAATTCTTCTGTCCTGGTTTATATGAACAAATCCCGTTTCCAACGAAGGCCTCAAAGACGTTTAAATATCCACTTGCAGACTTCACAAACAGAGTGTTTCCAAACTGCTCTATGAAAAGAAAGGTTAAACTCTGTGAGTTGAACGCGCACATCACAAAGTAGTTTCTGAGAATGATACTGTCTAGTTTTTATACGAAGATATTTCCTTTCTACCATTGGCGTCAAAGCGCTAGAATTCTCCACTTGCAAATTCCACAAAAAGAGTGTTTCCAATCTGCTCTGTCTAAAGGAAGGTTCAACTCTGTGAGTTGAATACACACACACAAAGAAGCTACTGAGAATTCTTTTGTCAAGAATTATAAGAAGAAATCCCGTTTCCAACGAAGGCCTCAAAGTAGTTCCAAATATCCACTTGCACACTGCACAAACTAAGTCTTTCCAAACTGCTCTATGCAAAGAAATGTTCAACTCTGTGAGTTTAATACACACATCGCAAAGCAGTTTCTGAGAATGATACTGTCTAGTTTTTATACGAAGATATTTCCTTTTGTACCATTGGCCTCATACTGCTAGAATTTTCCACTTGCAAATTCCACAAAAAGAGTGTTTCCAATCCGCTCTGTCTAAAGGAAGGTTCAACTCTCTGATTTGAATACATACATCCCAAAAGAAGTTACTGAGAATTCTTCTGTCTAGCATTATGTGAAGAAATCCCGTTTCCAACGAAAGCCTCGAAGAGGTCCAAATATCCAGTTGCAGAATTTACAAACTGACTGTTTCCAAACTCATCTATGAAAAGAAAGGTTAAACTCTGTGAGTTGAATGCCCATATCACAAAGTAGTTCCTGAGAATGATTCTGTCTAGTTTTCATACGAAGATATTTCCTTTTCCACCAATGGCCTCAAAGTGCTTGAAATCTCCCCTTGCAAATTCCACAGACAAGTGTTTCAAATCTGCACTGTCTAAAGGATGGTTCAACCCTGTGAGTTGAATACACACACACAGAAAAAAATTCACTGAGAATTCTATTGTCTATCATTACACGAAGAAATCCCGTTTACTACGAAGGCCTCAAAGAGGTCCAAATATCCAGCTGCAGACATTATAAACTGAGTGTTTCCAAAGTGCTCTATGAAAAGAAGTGTTAAACACTGTGAGTTCAATGCACACATCCCAAAGCAGTTTCTGAGAATGATTCCGTCTATTTTTTCTACGAAGATATTTCCTTTTCTGCCGTTGGCCTCAAAGCGCTTGAAATCTCCACTTGCAAATTCCACAAAAAGAGAGTTTCAAATCTGCTCTGTCTAAAGGAAGGTTCAACTCTGTGAGTTGAATACACACCACAAAAAGAAGTTACTGAGAATTCTTCTGTCTAGCATTATATGAAAAATCCCGTTTCCAACGAAGGCCACAAAAAGGTCCAAATATCCACTTGCAGATTCTGCAAAAAGAGTGTTTCCAAACTGCTCTATGAAAAGAAACGTTAAACTCTGTGAGTTGAACGCAAACATCACAAAGTAGTTTCTGAGAATGACTCCGTCTAGTTTTTATACGAAGATATTTCCTTTCCTACCATTCACTTCAAAGCGCTTGAAGTCTCCCCCTGAAAATTCCACAAAAAGTGTTTCCAATCTGCTCCGCCTAAAGGAAGCTTCAACTCTGTGAGTTGAATACCCACAACCCAAAGAAGTTACTGAGAATTCTTCTGTCTAGCATTATATGAAGAAATCCCGTTTCCAACGACGGCCTCAAATACATCCAAATATCCAGTTGCTGACTTTACAAACTGAGTGTTTCCAAACTGCTCTATGAAAAGAAAGGTTAAACACTGTGAGTTGAACACACACGTACCAAAGTAGTTTCTGAGAATGATTCTGTCTAGTTTGCATACGAAGATATTTCCTTTTCTACCATTGGCCTCAAAGCTCTGAAATCTCCACTTGCAAATTCCACAAAAAGAGAGTTTCAAATCTGCTGTTTCTAAAGGAAAGTTCAACTCTGAGAGTTGAATACACACCAGAAAAAGCAGTTACTGAGAAGTCTTCTGTCTAGCATTATATGAAGAAATCCCATTTCCAACGAAGACTTCAAAGAGGTCCAAATATCCACTTGCAGATTCTGCAAAAAGAGTGTTTCGAAACAATTGTATGAAAAGAAAGGTTAAACACTGTGAGTTGAACGCACACATTGCAAAGCAGTTTCTGAGAATGATTCCGTCTAATTATTATACGAAGGTATTTCCTTTTCTATCATTGGCCTCAAAGCGCTTGACACCTCCACCTGAAAATTCCACAAAAAGAGTGTTTCCAATCTACTCTGTCTAAAGGAACGTTCAACTCTGTGAGTTGAATACACACACACAGAAAGAATTCACTGAGAATTCTTCTGTCTGGCATTACATGAAGAAATCCCGTTTCCAACGAAGGCCTCAAAGAGGTCCAAATATCCACTTGCAGATTCTGCAAAAAGAGTGTTTCAAAACCGCTCCATTAAAAGGAATGTTGAACTCTGTGAGTTGAATGCAAACATCACAACTCAGTTTCTGAGAATGCTTCTGACTAGATTTTATGGTCAGATATTTCCTTTTCTACCGTAGGCTTCTATGCCCTCTAAATACACCCTTGCAAATTCTACAAAGAGACTGTTTAATAACTGCTCTATAGGAAGAAAGGTTGAACTCTGTGAGTTGAATGCAGAGATCACAACGTGGTTTCGGCGAATGATTCTTCGCAGTTTTTACATGAAGATATTTCGTTGTCTACCGTAGGCTTCAAAGCACTCAAAGTATTCACTTGGAACTTTTACAAAAAGAGTGTTAGAAAACTGCTCTTTCCAAAGTAAGGTTCAACTCTGTGAGTTGAATGCACACATAACAAAGAAGAAGTTTCTGAGAATTCTTCTGTCCTGGTTTATAGGAAAAAATCCCGTTTCCAACGAAGGCCTCAAAGACGTTTAAATATCCACTTGCAGACTTCACAAACAGAGTGTTTCCAAACTGCTCTATGAAAAGAAAGGTTAAACTCTGTGAGTTGAACGCACACATCACAAAGTAGTTTCTGAGAATGATACTGTCTAGTTTTTATACGAAGATATTTCCTTTTGTACCATTGGCCTCATACTGCTAGAATTTTCCACTTGCAAATTCCACAAAAAGAGTGTTTCCAATCTGCTCTGTCTAAAGGAAGGTTCAACTCTGTGAGTTGAGTACACACACACACAAAGAAGCTACTGAGAATTCTTTTGTCAAGAATTATAAGAAGAAATCCCGTTTCCAACCAAGGCCCTCAAAGAGTTCCAAATATCCACTTGCACACTGCACAAACTAAGTCTTTCCATACTGCTCTATGCAAAGAAATGTTCAAATCTGTGAGTTTAATACACACATCACAAAGCAGTTTCTGAGAATGATACTGTCTAGTTTTTATACGAAGATATTTCCTTTTGTACCATTGGCCTCATACTGCTAGAATTTTCCACTTGCAAATTCCACAAAAAGAGTGTTTCCAATCCGCTCTGTCTAAAGGAAGGTTCAACTCTCTGATTTGAATACATACATCCCAAAAGAAGTTACTGAGAATTCTTCTGTCTAGCATTATGTGAAGAAATCCCGTTTCCAACGAAAGCCTCAAAGAGGTCCAAATATCCAGTTGCAGAATTTACAAACTGACTGTTTCCAAACTCATCTATGAAAAGAAAGGTTAAACTCTGTGAGTTGAATGCACATATCACAAAGTAGTTTCCTGAGAATGATTCTGTCTAGTTTTTATATGAAGATATTTCCTTTTCCACCAATGGCCTCAAAGTGCTTGAAATCTCCCCTTGCAAATTCCACAGAAAAGTGTTTCATATCTGCACTGTCTGAAGGAAGGTTCAACCCTGTGAGTTGAATACACACACACAGAAAAAAATTCACTGAGAATTCTATTGTCTATCATTACACGAAGAAATCCCGTTTACTACGAAGGCCTCAAAGAGGTCCAAATATCCAGCTGCAGACATTACAAACTGAGTGTTTCCAAAGTGCTCTATGAAAAGAAGTGTTAAACACTGTGAGTTCAATGCACACATCCCAAAGCAGTTTCTGAGAATGATGCCGTCTATTTTTTCTACGAAGATATTTCCTTTTCTGCCGTTGGCCTCAAAGCGCTTGAAATCTCCACTTGCAAATTCCACAAAAAGAGAGTTTCAAATCTGCTCTGTCTAAAGGAAGGTTCAACTCTGTGAGTTGAATACACACCACAAAAAGAAGTTACTGAGAATTCTTCTGTCTAGCATTATATGAAAAATCCCGTTTCCAACGAAGGCCACAAAGAGGTCCAAATATCCACTTGCAGATTCTGCAAAAAGAGTGTTTCCAAACTGCTCTATGAAAAGAAACGTTAAACTCTGTGAGTTGAACGCAAACATCACAAAGTAGTTTCTGAGAATGACTCCGTCTAGTTTTTATACGAAGATATTTCCTTTCCTACCATTCACTTCAAAGCGCTTGAAGTCTCCCCCTGAAAATTCCACAAAAAGTGTTTCCAATCTGCTCCGCCTAAAGGAAGCTTCAACTCTGTGACTTGGATACCCACAACCCAAAGAAGTTACTGAGAATTCTTCTGTCTAGCATTATATGAAGAAATCCCGTTTCCAACGAAGGCCTCAAATACATCCAAATATCCAGTTGCTGACTTTACAAACTGAGTGTTTCCAAACTGCTCTATGAAAAGAAAGGTTAAACACTGTGAGTTGAACACACACGTACCAAAGTAGTTTCTGAGAATGATTCTGTCTAGTTTGCATACGAAGATATTTCCTTTTCTACCATTGGCCTCAAAGCTCTGAAATCTCCACTTGCAAATTCCACAAAAAGAGAGTTTCAAATCTGCTGTTTCTAAAGGAAAGTTCAACTCTGAGAGTTGAATACACACCAGAAAAAGCAGTTACTGAGAAGTCTTCTGTCTAGCATTATATGAAGAAATCCCATTTCCAACGAAGACTTCAAAGAGGTCCAAATATCCACTTGCAGATTCTGCAAAAAGAGTGTTTCGAAACAACTGTATGAAAAGAAAGGTTAAACACTGTGAGTTGAACGCACACATTGCAAAGCGGTTTCTGAGAATGATTCCGTCTAATTATTATACGAAGGTATTTCCTTTTCTATCATTGGCCTCAAAGCGCTTGATACCTCCACCTGAAAATTCCACAAAAAGAGTGTTTCCAATCTACTCTGTCTAAAGGAACGTTCAACTCTGTGAGTTGAATACACACACACAGAAAGAATTCACTGAGAATTCTTCTGTCTGGCATTACATGAAGAAATCCCGTTTCCAACGAAGGCCTCAAAGAGGTCCAAATATCCACTTGCAGATTCTGCAAAAAGAGTGTTTCAAAACCGCTCCATTAAAAGGAATGTTGAACTCTGTGAGTTGAATGCAAACATCACAACTCAGTTTCTGAGAATGCTTCTGACTAGATTTTATGGTAAGATATTGCCTTTTCTACCCTAGGCTTCAAGGCCCTCTAAATACACCCTTGCAAATTCTACAAAGAGACTGTTTAATAACTGCTCTATAGGAAGAAAGGTTCAACTCTGTGAGTTGAATGCAGAGATCACAACGTGGTTTCTGTGAATGATTCTTTGTAGTTTTTACATGAAGATATTTCGTTGTCTACCGTAGGCTTCAAAGCACTCAAAGTATTCACTTGGAACTTTTACAAAAAGAGTGTTAGAAAACTGCTCTTTCCAAAGTAAGGTTCAACTCTGTGAGTTGAATGCACACATAACAAACAAGAAGTTTCTGAGAATTCTTCTGTCCTGGTTTATATAAAGAAATCCCGTTTCCAACGAAGGCCTCAAAGACGTTTAAATATCCACTTGCAGACTTCACAAACAGAGTGTTTCCAAACTGCTCTATGAAAAGAAAGGGTAAACACTGTGAGTTGAACGCACACATCACAAAGTAGTTTCTGAGAATGATACTGTCTAGTTTTTATACGAAGATATTTCCTTTTGTACCATTGGCCTCAAATCGCTAGAATTCTCCACTTGCAAATTCCACAAAAAGAGTGTTTCCAATCTGCTCTGTCTAAAGGAAGGTTCAACTCTGTGAGTTGAATACACACACACACAAAGAAGCTACTGAGAATTCTTTTGTCAAGAATTATAAGAAGAAATCCCGTTTCCAACGAAGGCCTCAAAGAGTTCCAAATATGCACTTGCACACTGCACAAACTAAGTCTTTCCAAACTGCTCTATGCAAAGAAATGTTCAACTCTGTGAGTTTAATACACACATCACAAAGCAGTTTCTGAGAATGATACTGTCTAGTTTTTATACGAAGATATTTCCTTTTGTACCATTGGCCTCATACTGCTAGAATTTTCCACTTGCAAATTCCACAAAAAGAGTGTTTCCAATCCGCTCTGTCTAAAGGAAGGTTCAACTCTCTGATTTGAATACATACATCCCAAAAGAAGTTACTGAGAATTCTTCTGTCTAGCATTATGTGAAGAAATCCCGTTTCCAACGAAAGCCTCAAAGAGGTCCAAATATCCAGTTGCAGAATTTACAAACTGACTGTTTCCAAACTCATCTATGAAAAGAAAGGTTAAACTCTGGGAGTTGAATGCACATATCACAAAGTAGTTCCTGAGAATGATCTGTCTAGTTTTTATACGAAGATATTTCCTTTTCCACCAATGGCCTCAAAGTGCTTGAAATCTCCCCTTGCAAATTCCACAGACAAGTGTTTCAAATCTGCACTGTCTAAAGGAAGGTTCAACCCTGTGAGTTGAATACACACACACAGAAAAAAATTCACTGAGAATTCTATCTATTGTCTATCATTACACGAAGAAATCCCGTTTACTACGAAGGCCTCAAAGAGGTCCAAATATCCAGCTGCAGACATTACAAACTGAGTGTTTCCAAAGTGCTCTATGAAAAGAAGTGTTAAACACTGTGAGTTCAATGCACACATCCCAAAGCAGTTTCTGAGAATGATTCCGTCTATTTTTTCTACGAAGATATTTCCTTTTCTGCCGTTGGCCTCAAAGCGCTTGAAATCTCCACTTGCAAATTCCACAAAAAGAGAGTTTCAAATCTGCTCTGTCTAAAGGAAGGTTCAACTCTGTGAGTTGAATACACACCACAAAAAGAAGTTACTGAGAATTCTTCTGTCTAGCATTATATGAAAAATCCCGTTTCCAACGAAGGCCACAAAGAGGTCCAAATATCCACTTGCAGATTCTGCAAAAAGAGTGTTTCCAAACTGCTCTATGAAAAGAAACGTTAAACTCTGTGAGTTGAACGCAAACATCACAAAGTAGTTTCTGAGAATGACTCCGTCTAGTTTTTATACGAAGATATTTCCTTTCCTACCATTCACTTCAAAGCGCTTGAAGTCTCCCCCTGAAAATTCCACAAAAAGTGTTTCCAATCTGCTCCGCCTAAAGGAAGCTTCAACTCTGTGACTTGAATACCCACAACCCAAAGAAGTTACTGAGAATTCTTCTGTCTAGCATTATATGAAGAAATCCCGTTTCCAACGAAGGCCTCAAATACATCCAAATATCCAGTTGCTGACTTTACAAACTGAGTGTTTCCAAACTGCTCTATGAAAAGAAAGGTTAAACACTGTGAGTTGAACACACACGTACCAAAGTAGTTTCTGAGAATGATTCTGTCTAGTTTGCATACGAAGATATTTCCTTTTCTACCATTGGCCTCAAAGCTCTGAAATCTCCACTTGCAAATTCCACAAAAAGAGAGTTTCAAATCTGCTGTTTCTAAAGGAAAGTTCAACTCTGAGAGTTGAATACACACCAGAAAAAGCAGTTACTGAGAAGTCTTCTGTCTAGCATTATATGAAGAAATCCCATTTCCAACGAAGACTTCAAAGAGGTCCAAATATCCACTTGCAGATTCTGCAAAAAGAGTGTTTCGAAACAACTGTATGAAAAGAAAGGTTAAACACTGTGAGTTGAACGCACACATTGCAAAGCGGTTTCTGAGAATGATTCCGTCTAATTATTATACGAAGGTATTTCCTTTTCTATCATTGGCCTCAAAGCGCTTGATACCTCCACCTGAAAATTCCACAAAAAGAGTGTTTCCAATCTACTCTGTCTAAAGGAACGTTCAACTCTGTGAGTTGAATACACACACACAGAAAGAATTCACTGAGAATTCTTCTGTCTGGCATTACATGAAGAAATCCCGTTTCCAACGAAGGCCTCAAAGAGGTCCAAATATCCACTTGCAGATTCTGCAAAAAGACTGTTTCAAAACCGCTCCATTAAAAGGAATGTTGAACTCTGTGAGTTGAATGCAAACATCACAACTCAGTTTCTGAGAATGCTTCTGACTAGATTTTATGGTAAGATATTTCCTTTTCTACCGTAGGCTTCAATGCCCTCTAAATACACCCTTGCAAATTCTACAAAGAGACTGTTTCATAACTGCTCTATAGGAAGAAAGGTTCAACACTGTGAGTTGAATGCAGAGATCACAACGTGGTTTCTGCGAATGATTCTTTGTAGTTTTTACATGAAGATATTTCGTTGTCAACCGTAGGCTTCAAAGCACTCAAAGTATTCACTTGGAACTTTTACAAAAAGAGTGTTAGAAAACTGCTCTTTCCAAAGTAAGGTTCAACTCTGTGAGTTGAATGCACACATAACAATCAAGAAGTTTCTGAGAATTCTTCTGTCCTGGTTTATATGAAAAAATCCCGTTTCCAACGAAGGCCTCAAAGACGTTTAAATATCCACTTGCAGACTTCACAAACAGAGGGTTTCCAAACTGCTCTATGAAAAGAAAGGTTAAACTCTGTGAGTTTAATACACACATCACAAAGCAGTTTCTGAGAATGATACTGTCTAGTTTTTATACGAAGATATTTCCTTTTGTACCATTGGCCTCATACTGCTAGAATTTTCCACTTGCAAATTCCACAAAAAGAGTGTTTCCAATCCGCTCTGTCTAAAGGAAGGTTCAACTCTCTGATTTGAATACATACATCCCAAAAGAAGTTACTGAGAATTCTTCTGTCTAGCATTATGTGAAGAAATCCCGTTTCCAACGAAAGCCTCAAAGAGGTCCAAATATCCAGTTGCAGAATTTACAAACTGACTGTTTCCAAACTCATCTATGAAAAGAAAGGTTAAACTCTGTGAGTTGAATGCACATATCACAAAGTAGTTCCTGAGAATGATTCTGTCTAGTTTTTATACGAAGATATTTCCTTTTCCACCAATGGCCTCAAAGTGCTTGAAATCTCCCCTTGCAAATTCCACAGACAAGTGTTTCAAATCTGCACTGTCTAAAGGAAGGTTCAACCCTGTGAGTTGAATACACACACACAGAAAAAAATTCACTGAGAATTCTATTGTCTATCATTACACGAAGAAATCCCGTTTACTACGAAGGCCTCAAAGGTGTCTAAATATCCAGCTGCAGACATTACAAACTGAGTGTTTCCAAAGTGCTCTATGAAAAGAAGTGTTAAACACTGTGAGTTCAATGCACACATCCCAAAGCAGTTTCTGAGAATGATTCCGTCTATTTTTTCTACGAAGATAATTCCTTTTCTGTCGTTGGCCTCAAAGCGCTTGAAATCTCCACTTGCAAATTCCACAAAAAGAGAGTTTCAAATCTGCTCTGTCTAAAGGAAGGTTCAACTCTGTGAGTTGAATACACACCACAAAAAGAAGTTACTGAGAATTCTTCTGTCTAGCATTATATGAAAAATCCCGTTTCCAACGAAGGCCACAAAGAGGTCCAAATATCCATTTGCAGATTCTGCAAAAAGAGTGTTTCCAAACTGCTCTATGAAAAGAAACGTTAAACTCTGTGAGTTGAACGCAAACATCACAAAGTAGTTTCTGAGAATGACTCCGTCTAGTTTTTATACGAAGATATTTCCTTTCCTACCATTCACTTCAAAGCGCTTGAAGTCTCCCACTGAAAATTCCACAAAAAGTGTTTCCAATCTGCTCCGCCTAAAGGAAGCTTCAACTCTGTGACTTGAATACCCACAACCCAAAGAAGTTACTGAGAATTCTTCTGTCTAGCATTATATGAAGAAATCCCGTTTCCAACGAAGGCCTCAAATACATCCAAATATCCAGTTGCTGACTTTACAAACTGAGTGTTTCCAAACTGCTCTATGAAAAGAAAGGTTAAACACTGTGAGTTGAACACACACGTACCAAAGTAGTTTCTGAGAATGATTCTGTCTAGTTTGCATACGAAGAATATTTCCTTTTCTACCATTGGCCTCAAAGCTCCGAAATCTCCACTTGCAAATTCCACAAAAAGAGAGTTTCAAATCTGCTGTTTCTAAAGGAAAGTTCAACTCTGAGAGTTGAATACACACCAGAAAAAGCAGTTACTGAGAAGTCTTCTGTCTAGCATTATATGAAGAAATCCCATTTCCAACGAAGACTTCAAAGAGGTCCAAATATCCACTTGCAGATTCTGCAAAAAGAGTGTTTCGAAACAACTGTATGAAAAGAAAGGTTAAACACTGTGAGTTGAACGCACACATTGCAAAGCGGTTTCTGAGAATGATTCCGTCTAATTATTATACGAAGGTATTTCCTTTTCTATCATTGGCCTCAAAGCGCTTGATACCTCCACCTGAAAATTCCACAAAAAGAGTGTTTCCAATCTACTCTGTCTAAAGGAACGTTCAACTCTGTGAGTTGAATACACACACACAGAAAGAATTCACTGAGAATTCTTCTGTCTGGCATTACATGAAGAAATCCCGTTTCCAACGAAGGCCTCAAAGAGGTCCAAATATCCACTTGCAGATTCTGCAAAAAGAGTGTTTCAAAACCGCTCCATTAAAAGGAATGTTGAACTCTGTGAGTTGAATGCAAACATCACAACTCAGTTTCTGAGAATGCTTCTGACTAGATTTTATGGTAAGATATTTCCTTTTCTACCGTAGGCTTCAATGCCCTCTAAATACACCCTTGCAAATTCTACAAAGAGACTGTTTCATAACTGCTCTATAGGAAGAAAGGTTGAACTCTGTGAGTTGACTGCAGAGATCACAACGTGGTTTCTGCGAATGATTCTTTGTAGTTTTTACATGAAGATATTTCGTTGTCAACCGTAGGCTTCAAAGCACTCAAAGTATTCACTTGGAACTTTTACAAAAAGAGTGTTAGAAAACTGCTCTTTCCAAAGTAAGGTTCAACTCTGTGAGTTGAATGCACACATAACAATCAAGAAGTTTCTGAGAATTCTTCTGTCCTGGTTTATATGAAAAAATCCCGTTTCCAACGAAGGCCTCAAAGACGTTTAAATATCCACTTGCAGACTTCACAAACAGAGGGTTTCCAAACTGCATTATGAAAAGAAAGGTTAAACTCTGTGAGTTGAACACACACATCACAAAGTAGCTTCTGAGAATGATACTGTCTAGTTTTTATACGGAGATATTTCCTTTCCTTCCATTGGCGTCAAAGCGCTAGAATTCTCCACTTGCAAATTCCACAAAAAGAGTGTTTCCAATCTGCTCTGTCTAAAGGAAGGTTCAACTCTGTGAGTTGAATACACACACACAAAGAAGCTACTGAGAATTCTTTTGTCAAGAATTATAAGAAGAAATCCCGTTTCCAACGAAGGCCTCAAAGAGTTCCAAATATCCACTTGCACACTGCACAAACTAAGTCTTTCCAAACTGCTCTATGCAAAGAAATGTTCAACTCTGTGAGTTTAATACGCACATCACAAAGCAGTTTCTGAGAATGATACTGTCTAGTTTTTATACGAAGATATTTCCTTTTGTACCATTGGCCTCATACTGCTAGAATTTTCCACTTGCAAATTCCACAAAAAGAGTGTTTCCAATCCGCTCTGTCTAAAGGAAGGTTCAACTCTCTGATTTGAATACATACATCCCAAAAGAAGTTACTGAGAATTCTTCTGTCTAGCATTATGTGAAGAAATCCCGTTTCCAACGAAAGCCTCAAAGAGGTCCAAATATCCAGTTGCAGAATTTACAAACTGACTGTTTCCAAACTCATCTATGAAAAGAAAGGTTAAACTCTGGGAGTTGAATGCACATATCACAAAGTAGTTCCTGAGAATGATTCTGTCTAGTTTTCATACGAAGATATTTCCTTTTCCACCAATGGCCTCAAAGTGCTTGAAATCTCCCCTTGCAAATTCCACAGACAAGTGTTTCAAATCTGCACTGTCTAAAGGAAGGTTCAACCCTGTGAGTTGAATACACACACACAGAAAAAAATTCACTGAGAATTCTATTGTCTATCATTACACGAAGAAATCCCGTTTACCACGAAGGCCTCAAAGAGGTCCAAATATCCAGCTGCAGACATTACAAACTGAGTGTTTCCAAAGTGCTCTATGAAAAGAAGTGTTAAACACTGTGAGTTCAATGCACACATCCCAAAGCAGTTTCTGAGAATGATTCCGTCTATTTTTTCTACGAAGATATTTCCTTTTCTGCCGTTGGCCTCAAAGCGCTTGAAATCTCCACTTGCAAATTCCACAAAAAGAGAGTTTCAAATCTGCTCTGTCTAAAGGAAGGTTCAACTCTGTGAGTTGAATACACACCACAAAAAGAAGTTACTGAGAATTCTTCTGTCTAGCATTATATGAAAAATCCCGTTTCCAACGAAGGCCACAAAGAGGTCCAAATATCCACTTGCAGATTCTGCAAATAGAGTGTTTCCAAACTGCTCTATGAAAAGAAACGTTAAACTCTGTGAGTTGAACGCAAACATCACAAAGTAGTTTCTGAGAATGACTCCGTCTAGTTTTTATACGAAGATATTTCCTTTCCTACCATTCACTTCAAAGCGCTTGAAGTCTCCCCCTGAAAATTCCACAAAAAGTGTTTCCAATCTGCTCCGCCTAAAGGAAGCTTCAACTCTGTGAGTTGAATACCCACAACCCAAAGAAGTTACTGAGAATTCTTCTGTCTAGCATTATATGAAGAAATCCCGTTTCCAACGAAGGCCTCAAATACATCCAAATATCCAGTTGCTGACTTTACAAACTGAGTGTTTCCAAACTGCTCTATGACAAGAAAGGTTAAACACTGTGAGTTGAACACACACGTACCAAAGTAGTTTCTGAGAATGATTCTGTCTAGTTTGCATACGAAGATATTTCCTTTTCTACCATTGGCCTCAAAGCTTTGAAATCTCCACTTGCAAATTCCACAAAAAGAGAGTTTCAACTCTGCTGTTTCTAAAGGAAAGTTCAACTCTGAGAGTTGAATACACACCAGAAAAAGCAGTTACTGAGAAGTCTTCTGTCTAGCATTATATGAAGAAATCCCATTTCCAACGAAGACTTCAAAGAGGTCCAAATATCCACTTGCAGATTCTGCAAAAAGAGTGTTTCGAAACAACTGTATGAAAAGAAAGGTTAAACACTGTGAGTTGAACGCACACATTGCAGAGCAGTTTCTGAGAATGATTCCGTCTAATTATTATACGAAGGTATTTCCTTTTCTATCATTGGCCTCAAAGCGCTTGATACCTCCACCTGAAAATTCCACAAAAAGAGTGTTTCCAATCTACTCTGTCTAAAGGAACGTTCAACTCCGTGAGTTGAATACACACACACAGAAAGAATTCACTGAGAATTCTTCTGTCTGGCATTACATGAAGAAATCCCGTTTCCAACGAAGGCCTCAAAGAGGTCCAAATATCCACCTGCAGATTCTGCAAAAAGAGTGTTTCAAAACCGCTCCATTAAAAGGAATGTTGAACTCTGTGAGTTGAATGCAAACATCACAACTCAGTTTCTGAGAATGCTTCTGACTAGATTTTATGGTAAGATATTTCCTTTTCTACCGTAGGCTTCAATGCCCTGTAAATACACCCTTGCAAATTCTACAAAGAGACTGTTTCATAACTGCTCTATAGGAGGAAAGGTTCAACTCTGTGAGTTGAATGCAGAGATCACAGCGTGGTTTCTGCGAATGATTATTTGTAGTTTTTACATGAAGATATTTCGTTGTCTACCGTAGGCTTCAAAGCACTCAAAGTATTCACTTGGAACTTTTACAAAAAGAGTGTTAGAAAACTGCTCTTTCCAAAGTAAGGTTCAACTCTGTGAGTTGAATGCACACATAACAAACAAGAAGTTTCTGAGAATTCTTCTGTCCTGGTTTATATGAAGAAATCCCGTTTCCAACGAAGGCCTCAAAGACGTTTAAATATCCACTTGCAGACTTCACAAACAGAGTGTTTCCAAACTGCTCTATGAAAAGAAAGGGTAAACACTGTGAGTTGAACGCACACATCACAAAGTAGTTTCTGAGAATGATACTGTCTAGTTTTTATACGAAGATATTTCCTTTTGTACCATTGGCCTCATACTGCTAGAATTTTCCACTTGCAAATTCCACAAAAAGAGTGTTTCCAATCTGCTCTGTCTAAAGGAAGGTTCAACTCTGTGAGTTGAGTACACACACACAAAGAAGCTACTGAGAATTCTTTTGTCAAGAATTATAAGAAGAAATCCCGTTTCCAACCAAGGCCTCAAAGAGTTCCAAATATCCACTTGCACACTGCACAAACTAAGTCTTTCCATACTGCTCTATGCAAAGAAATGTTCAAATGCTGTGAGTTTAATACACACATCACAAAGCAGTTTCTGAGAATGATACTGTCTAGTTTTTATACGAAGGATATTTCCTTTTGTACCATTGGTCTCATACTGCTAGAATTTTCCACATGCAAATTCCACAAAAAGAGTGTTTCCAATCCGCTCTGTCTAAAGGAAGGTTCAACTCTCTGATTTGAATACATACATCCCAAAAGAAGTTACTGAGAATTCTTCTGTCTAGCATTATGTGAAGAAATCCCGTTTCCAACGAAAGCCTCAAAGAGGTCCAAATATCCAGTTGCAGAATTTACAAACTGACTGTTTCCAAACTCATCTATGAAAAGAAAGGTTAAACTCTGGGAGTTGAATGCACATATCACAAAGTAGTTCCTGAGAATGATTCTGTCTAGTTTTTATACGAAGATATTTCCTTTTCCACCAATGGCCTCAAAGTGCTTGAAATCTCCCCTTGCAAATTCCACAGACAAGTGTTTCAAATCTGCACTGTCTAAAGGAAGGTTCAACCCTGTGAGTTGAATACACACACACAGAAACAAATTCACTGAGAATTCTATTGTCTATCATTACACGAAGAAATCCCGTTTACTACGAAGGCCTCAAAGAGGTCCAAATATCCAGCTGCAGACATTACAAACTGAGTGTTTCCAAAGTGCTCTATGAAAAGAAGTGTTAAACACTGTGAGTTCAATGCACACATCCCAAAGCAGTTTCTGAGAATGATTCCGTCTATTTTTTCTACGAAGATATTTCCTTTTCTGCCGTTGGCCTCAAAGCGCTTGAAATCTCCACTTGCAAATTCCACAAAAAGAGAGTTTCAAATCTGCTCTGTCTAAAGGAAGGTTCAACTCTGTGAGTTGAATACACACCACAAAAAGAAGTTACTGAGAATTCTTCTGTCTAGCATTATATGAAAAATCCCGTTTCCAACGAAGGCCACAAAGAGGTTCAAATATCCACTTGCAGATTCTGCAAAAAGAGTGTTTCCAAACTGCTCTATGAAAAGAAACGTTAAACTCTGTGAGTTGAACGCAAACATCACAAAGTAGTTTCTGAGAATGACTCCGTCTAGTTTTTATACGAAGATATTTCCTTTCCTACCATTCACTTCAAAGCGCTTGAAGTCTCCCCCTGAAAATTCCACAAAAAGTGTTTCCAATCTGCTCCGCCTAAAGGAAGCTTCAACTCTGTGACTTGAATACCCACAACCCAAAGAAGTTACTGAGAATTCTTCTGTCTCGCATTATAGGAAGAAATCCCGTTTCCAACGAAGGCCTCAAATACATCCACATATCCAGTTGCTGACTTTACAAACTGAGTGTTTCCAAACTGCTCTATGAAAAGAAAGGTTAAACACTGTGAGTTGAACACACACGTACCAAAGTAGTTTCTGAGAATTATTCTGTCTAGTTTGCATACGAAGAATATTTCCTTTTCTACCATTGGCCTCAAAGCTCCGAAATCTCCACTTGCAAATTCCACAAAAAGAGAGTTTCAAATCTGCTGTTTCTAAAGGAAAGTTCAACTCTGAGAGTTGAATACACACCAGAAAAAGCAGTTACTGAGAAGTCTTCTGTCTAGCATTATATGAAGAAATCCCATTTCCAACGAAGACTTCAAAGAGGTCCAAATATCCACTTGCAGATTCTGCAAAAAGAGTGTTTCGAAACAACTGTATGAAAAGAAAGGTTAAACACTGTGAGTTGAACGCACACATTGCAAAGCGGTTTCTGAGAATGATTCCGTCTAACTATTATACGAAGGTATTTCCTTTTCTATCATTGGCCTCAAAGCGCTTGATACCTCCACCTGAAAATTCCACAAAAAGAGTGTTTCCAATCTACTCTGTCTAAAGGAACGTTCAACTCTGTGAGTTGAATACACACACACAGAAAGAATTCACTGAGAATTCTTCTGTCTGGCATTACATGAAGAAATCCCGTTTCCAACGAAGGCCTCAAAGAGGTCCAAATATCCACTTGCAGATTCTGCAAAAAGAGTGTTTCAAAACCGCTCCATTAAAAGGAATGTTGAACTCTGTGAGTTGAATGCAAACATCACAACTCAGTTTCTGAGAATGCTTCTGACTAGATTTTATGGTAAGATATTTCCTTTTCTACCGTAGGCTTCAATGCCCTCTAAATACACCCTTGCAAATTCTACAAAGAGACTGTTTCATAACTGCTCTATAGGAAGAAAGGTTGAACTCTGTGAGTTGAATGCAGAGATCACAACGTGGTTTCTGCGAATGATTCTTTGTAGTTTTTACATGAAGATATTTCGTTGTCAACCGTAGGCTTCAAAGCACTCAAAGTATTCACTTGGAACTTTTACAAAAAGAGTGTTAGAAAACTGCTCTTTCCAAAGTAAGGTTCAACTCTGTGAGTTGAATGCACACATAACAATCAAGAAGTTTCTGAGAATTCTTCTGTCCTGGTTTATATGAAAAAATCCCGTTTCCAACGAAGGCCTCAAAGACGTTTAAATATCCACTTGCAGACTTCACAAACAGAGGGTTTCCAAACTGCTCTATGAAAACAAAGGTTAAACTCTGTGAGTTGAACGCACACATCACAAAGTAGCTTCCTGAGAATGATACTGTCTAGTTTTTATACGAAGATATTTCCTTTCTACCATTGGCGTCAAAGCGTTAGAATTCTCCACTTGCAAATTCCACAAAAAGAGTGTTTCCAATCTGCTCTGTCTAAAGGAAGGTTCAACTCTGTGAGTTGAATACACACACACAAAGAAGCTACTGAGAATTCTTTTGTCAAGAATTATAAGAAGAAATCCCGTTTCCAACGAAGGCCTCAAAGAGTTCCAAATATCCACTTGCACACTGCAAAAACTAAGTCTTTCCAAACTGCTCTATGCAAAGAAATGTTCAACTCTGTGAGTTTAATTCACACATCACAAAGCAGTTTCTGAGAATGATACTGTCTAGTTTTTATACGAAGATATTTCCTTTTGTACCATTGGCCTCATACTGCTAGAATTTTCCACTTGCAAATTCCACAAAAAGAGTGTTTCCAATCCGCTCTGTCTAAAGGAAGGTTCAACTCTCTGATTTGAATACATACATCCCAAAAGAAGTTACTGAGGATTCCTTCTGTCTAGCATTATGTGAAGAAATCCCATTTCCAACGAAAGCCTCAAAGAGGTCCAAATATCCAGTTGCAGAATTTACAAACTGACTGTTTCCAAACTCATCTATGAAAAGAAAGGTTAAACTCTGTGAGTTGAATGCACATATCACAAAGTAGTTCCTGAGAATGATTCTGTCTAGTTTTTATACGAAGATATTTCCTTTTCCACCAATGGCCTCAAAGTGCTTGAAATCTCCCCTTGCAAATTCCACAGACAAGTGTTTCAAATCTGCACTGTCTAAAGGAAGGTTCAACACTGTGAGTTGAATACACACACACAGAAACAAATTCACTGAGAATTCTATTGTCTATCATTACACGAAGAAATCCCGTTTACTACGAAGGCCTCAAAGAGGTCCAAATATCCAGCTGCAGACATTACAAACTGAGTGTTTCCAAAGTGCTCTATGAAAAGAAGTGTTAAACACTGTGAGTTCAATGCACACATCCCAAAGCAGTTTCTGAGAATGATTCCGTCTATTTTTTCTACGAAGATATTTCCTTTTCTGCCGTTGGCCTCAAAGCGCTTGAAATCTCCACTTGCAAATTCCACAAAAAGAGAGTTTCAAATCTGCTCTGTCTAAAGGAAGGTTCAACTCTGTGAGTTGAATACACACCACAAAAAGAAGTTACTGAGAATTCTTCTGTCTAGCATTATATGAAAAATCCCGTTTCCAACGAAGGCCACAAAGAGGTCCAAATATCCACTTGCAGATTCTGCAAAAAGAGTGTTTCCAAACTGCTCTATGAAAAGAAACGTTAAACTCTGTGAGTTGAACGCAAACATCACAAAGTAGTTTCTGAGAATGACTCCGTCTAGTTTTTATACGAAGATATTTCCTTTCCTACCATTCACTTCAAAGCGCTTGAAGTCTCCCCCTGAAAATTCCACAAAAAGTGTTTCCAATCTGCTCCGCCTAAAGGAAGCTTCAACTCTGTGACTTGAATATCCACAACCCAAAGAAGTTACTGAGAATTCTTCTGTCTAGCATTATATGAAGAAATCCCGTTTCCAACGAAGGCCTCAAATACATCCAAATATCCAGTTGCTGACTTTACAAACTGAGTGTTTCCAAACTGCTCTATGAAAAGAAAGGTTAAACACTGTGAGTTGAACACACACGTACCAAAGTAGTTTCTGAGAATGATTCTGTCTAGTTTGCATACGAAGATATTTCCTTTTCTACCATTGGCCTCAAAGCTCTGAAATCTCCACTTGCAAATTCCACAAAAAGAGAGTTTCAACTCTGCTGTTTCTAAAGGAAAGTTCAACTCTGAGAGTTGAATACACACCAGAAAAAGCAGTTACTGAGAAGTCTTCTGTCTAGCATTATATGAAGAAATCCCATTTCCAACGAAGACTTCAAAGAGGTCCAAATATCCACTTGCAGATTCTGCAAAAAGAGTGTTTCGAAACAACTGTATGAAAAGAAAGGTTAAACACTGTGAGTTGAACGCACACATTGCAAAGCAGTTTCTGAGAATGATTCCGTCTAATTATTATACGAAGGTATTTCCTTTTCTATCATTGGCCTCAAAGCGCTTGATACCTCCACCTGAAAATTCCACAAAAAGAGTGTTTCCAATCTACTCTGTCTAAAGGAACGTTCAACTCTGTGAGTTGAATACACACACACAGAAAGAATTCACTGAGAATTCTTCTGTCTGGCATTACATGAAGAAATCCCGTTTCCAACGAAGGCCTCAAAGAGGTCCAAATATCCACTTGCAGATTCTGCAAAAAGAGTGTTTCAAAACCGCTCCATTAAAAGGAATGTTGAACTCTGTGAGTTGAATGCAAACATCACAACTCAGTTTCTGAGAATGCTTCTGACTAGATTTTATGGTAAGATATTTCCTTTTCTACCGTAGGCTTCAATGCCCTCTAAATACACCCTTGCAAATTCTACAAAGAGACTGTTTCATAACTGCTCTATAGGAAGAAAGGTTGAACTCTGTGAGTTGACTGCAGAGATCACAACGTGGTTTCTGCGAATGATTCTTTGTAGTTTTTACATGAAGATATTTCGTTGTCAACCGTAGGCTTCAAAGCACTCAAAGTATTCACTTGGAACTTTTACAAAAAGAGTGTTAGAAAACTGCTCTTTCCAAAGTAAGGTTCAACTCTGTGAGTTGAATGCACACATAACAATCAAGAAGTTTCTGAGAATTCTTCTGTCCTGGTTTATATGAAAAAATCCCGTTTCCAACAAAGGTCTCAAAGACGTTTAAATATCCACTTGCAGACTTCACAAACAGAGTGTTTCCAAACTGCTCTATGAAAAGAAAGGTTAAACTCTGTGAGTTGAACGCACACATCACAAAGTAGTTTCTGAGAATGATACTGTCTAGTTTTTATACGAAGATATTTCCTTTCTACCATTGGCGTCAAAGCGCTAGAATTCTCCACTTGCAAATTCCACAAAAAGAGTGTTTCCAATCTGCTCTGTCTAAAGGAAGGTTCAACTCTGTGAGTTGAATACACACACACAAAGAAGCTACTGAGAATTCTTTTGTCAAGGAATTATAAGAAGAAATCCCGTTTCCAACGAAGGCCTCAAAGAGTTCCAAATATCCACTTGCACACTGCACAAACTAAGTCTTTCCAAACTGCTCTATGCAAAGAAATGTTCAACTCTGTGAGTTTAATACACACATCACAAAGCAGTTTCTGAGAATGATTACTGTCTAGTTTTTATACGAAGAATATTTCCTTTTGTACCATTGGCCTCATACTGCTAGAATTTTCCACTTGCAAATTCCACAAAAAGAGTGTTTCCAATCCGCTCTGTCTAAAGGAAGGTTCAACTCTCTGATTTGAATACATACATCCCAAAAGAAGTTACTGAGAATTCTTCTGTCTAGCATTATGTGAAGAAATCCCGTTTCCATCGAAAGCCTCAAAGAGGTCCAAATATCCAGTTGCAGAAATTACAAACTGACTGTTTCCAAACTCATCTATGAAAAGAAAGGTTAAACTCTGGGAGTTGAATGCACATATCACAAAGTAGTTCCTGAGAATGATTCTGTCTAGTTTTTATACGAAGATATTTCCTTTTCCACCAATGGCCTCAAAGTGCTTGAAATCTCCCCTTGCAAATTCCACAGACAAGTGTTTCAAATCTGCACTGTCTAAAGGAAGGTTCAACCCTGTGAGTTGAATACACACACACAGAAAAAAATTCACTGAGAATTCTATTGTCTATCATTACACGAAGAAATCCCCGTTTACTACGAAGGCCTCAAAGAGGTCCAAATATCCAGCTGCAGACATTACAACCTGAGTGTTTCCAAAGTGCTCTATGAAAAGAAGTGTTAAACACTGTGAGTTCAATGCACACATCCCAAAGCAGTTTCTGAGAATGATTCCGTCTATTTTTTCTACGAAGATATTTCCTTTTCTGCCGTTGGCCTCAAAGCGCTTGAAATCTCCACTTGCAAATTCCACAAAAAGAGAGTTTCAAATCTGCTCTGTCTAAAGGAAGGTTCAACTCTGTGAGTTGAATACACACCACAAAAAGAAGTTACTGAGAATTCTTCTGTCTAGCATTATATGAAAAATCCCGTTTCCAACGAAGGCCACAAAGAGGTCCAAATATCCACTTGCAGATTCTGCAAAAAGAGTGTTTCCAAACTGCTCTATGAAAAGAAACGTTAAACTCTGTGAGTTGAACGCAAACATCACAAAGTAGTTTCTGAGAATGACTCCGTCTAGTTTTTATACGAAGATATTTCCTTTCCTACCATTCACTTCAAAGCGCTTGAAGTCTCCCCCTGAAAATTCCACAAAAAGTGTTTCCAATCTGCTCCGCCTAAAGGAAGCTTCAACTCTGTGACTTGAATACCCACAACCCAAAGAAGTTACTGAGAATTCTTCTGTCTAGCATTATATGAAGAAATCCCGTTTCCAACGAAGGCCTCAAATACATCCAAATATCCAGTTGCTGACTTTACAAACTGAGTGTTTCCAAACTGCTCTATGAAAAGAAAGGTTAAACACTGTGAGTTGAACACACACGTACCAAAGTAGTTTCTGAGAATGATTCTGTCTAGTTTGCATACGAAGATATTTCCTTTTCTACCATTGGCCTCAAAGCTCTGAAATCTCCACTTGCAAATTCCACAAAAAGAGAGTTTCAAATCTGCTGTTTCTAAAGGAAAGTTCAACTCT
The DNA here is from genome assembly GCF_000001405.40 of Homo sapiens. NCBI lineage: Eukaryota > Metazoa > Chordata > Mammalia > Primates > Hominidae > Homo > Homo sapiens. The sequence continues at coordinate 92,908,432 of NC_000003.12, read as the reverse complement.
GAGAGTTGAATACACACCAGAAAAAGCAGTTACTGAGAAGTCTTCTGTCTAGCATTATATGAAGAAATCCCATTTCCAACGAAGACTTCAAAGAGGTCCAAATATCCACTTGCAGATTCTGCAAAAAGAGTGTTTCGAAACAACTGTATGAAAAGAAAGGTTAAACACTGTGAGTTGAACGCACACATTGCAAAGCAGTTTCTGAGAATGATTCCGTCTAATTATTATACGAAGGTATTTCCTTTTCTATCATTGGCCCCAAAGCGCATGATACCTCCACCTGAAAATTCCACGAAAAGAGTGTTTCCAATCTACTCTGTCTAAAGGAACGTTCAACTCTGTGAGTTGAATACACACACACAGAAAGAATTCACTGAGAATTCTTCTGTCTGGCATTACATGAAGAAATCCCGTTTCCAACGAAGGCCTCAAAGAGGTCCAAATATCCACTTGCAGATTCTGCAAAAAGAGTGTTTCAAAACCGCTCCATTAAAAGGAATGTTGAACTCTGTGAGTTGAATGCAAACATCACAACTCAGTTTCTGAGAATGCTTCTGACTAGATTTTATGGTAAGATATTTCCTTTTCTACCGTAGGCTTCAATGCCCTCTAAATACACCCTTGCAAATTCTACAAAGAGACTGTTTCATAACTGCTCTATAGGAGGAAAGGTTCAACTCTGTGAGTTGAATGCAGAGATCACAACGTGGTTTCTGCGAATGATTTCTTTGTAGTTTTTACATGAAGATATTTCGTTGTCAACCGTAGGCTTCAAAGCACTCAAAGTATTCACTTGGAACTTTTACAAAAAGAGTGTTAGAAAACTGCTCTTTCCAAAGTAAGGTTCAACTCTGTGAGTTGAATGCACACATAACATCAAGAAGTTTCTGAGAATTCTTCTGTCCTGGTTTATATGAAGAAATCCCGTTTCCAACGAAGGCCTCAAAGACGTTTAAATATCCACTTGCAGACTTCACAAACAGAGGGTTTCCAAACTGCTCTATGAAAAGAAAGGGTAAACACTGTGAGTTGAACGCACACATCACAAAGTAGTTTCTGAGAATGATGCTGTCTAGTTTTTATACGAAGATATTTCCTTTCTACCATTGGCGTCAAAACGCTAGAATTCTCCACTTGCAAATTCCACAAAAAGAGTGTTTCCAATCTGCTCTGTCTAAAGGAAGGTTCAACTCTGTGAGTTGAATACACACACACAAAGAAGCTACTGAGAATTCTTTTGTCAAGGATTATAAGAAGAAATCCCGTTTCCAACGAAGGCCTCAAAGAGTTCCAAATATCCACTTGCACACTGCACAAACTAAGTCTTTCCAAACTGCTCTATGCAAAGAAATGTTTAACTCTGTGAGTTTAATACACACATCACAAAGCAGTTTCTGAGAATGATACTGTCTAGTTTTTATACGAAGATATTTCCTTTTGTACCATTGGCCTCATACTGCTAGAATTTTCCACTTGCAAATTCCACAAAAAGAGTGTTTCCAATCCGCTCTGTCTAAAGGAAGGTTCAACTCTCTGATTTGAATACATACATCCCAAAAGAAGTTACTGAGAATTCTTCTGTCTAGCATTATGTGAAGAAATCCCGTTTCCAACGAAAGCCTCAAAGAGGTCCAAATATCCAGTTGCAGAATTTACAAACTGACTGTTTCCAAACTCATCTATGAAAAGAAAGGTTAAACTCTGGGAGTTGAATGCACATATCACAAAGTAGTTCCCTGAGAATGATTCTGTCTAGTTTTTATACGAACATATTTCCTTTTCCACCACTGGCCTCAAGGTGCTTGAAATCTCCCCTTGCAAATTCCACAAAAAGTGTTTCAAATCTGCACTGTCTAAAGGAAAGTTCAACCCTGTGAGTTGAATACACACACAAAAAAAAAATTCACTGAGAATTCTATTGTCTATCATTACACGAAGAAATCCCGTTTACTACGAAGGCCTCAAAGAGGTCCAAATATCCAGCTGCAGACATTACAAACTGAGTGTTTCCAAAGTGCTCTATGAAAAGAAGTGTTAAACACTGTGAGTTCAATGCACACATCCCAAAGCAGTTTCTGAGAATGATTCCGTCTATTTTTTCTACGAAGATATTTCCTTTTCTGCCGTTGGCCTCAAAGCGCTTGAAATCTCCACTTGCAAATTCCACAAAAAGAGAGTTTCAAATCTGCTCTGTCTAAAGGAAGGTTCAACTCTGTGAGTTGAATACACACCACAAAAAGAAGTTACTGAGAATTCTTCTGTCTAGCATTATATGAAAAATCCCGTTTCCAACGAAGGCCACAAAGAGGTCCAAATATCCACTTGCAGATTCTGCAAAAAGAGTGTTTCCAAACTGCTCTATGAAAAGAAACGTTAAACTCTGTGAGTTGAACGCAAACATCACAAAGTAGTTTCTGAGAATGACTCCGTCTAGTTTTTATACGAAGATATTTCCTTTCCTACCATTCACTTCAAAGCGCTTGAAGTCTCCCCCTGAAAATTCCACAAAAAGTGTTTCCAATCTGCTCCGCCTAAAGGAAGCTTCAACTCTGTGACTTGAATACCCACAACCCAAAGAAGTTACTGAGAATTCTTCTGTCTAGCATTATATGAAGAAATCCCGTTTCCAACGAAGGCCTCAAATACATCCAAATATCCAGTTGCTGACTTTACAAACTGAGTGTTTCCAAACTGCTCTATGAAAAGAAAGGTTAAACACTGTGAGTTGAACACACACGTACCAAAGTAGTTTCTGAGAATGATTCTGTCTAGTTTGCATACGAAGATATTTCCTTTTCTACCATTGGCCTCAAAGCTCTGAAATCTCCACTTGCAAATTCCACAAAAAGAGAGTTTCAACTCTGCTGTTTCTAAAGGAAAGTTCAACTCTGAGAGTTGAATACACACCAGAAAAAGCAGTTACTGAGAAGTCTTCTGTCTAGCATTATATGAAGAAATCCCATTTCCAACGAAGACTTCAAAGAGGTCCAAATATCCACTTGCAGATTCTGCAAAAAGAGTGTTTCGAAACAACTGTATGAAAAGAAAGGTTAAACACTGTGAGTTGAACGCACACATTGCAAAGCGGTTTCTGAGAATGATTCCGTCTAATTATTATACGAAGGTATTTCCTTTTCTATCATTGGCCTCAAAGCGCTTGATACCTCCACCTGAAAATTCCACAAAAAGAGTGTTTCCAATCTACTCTGTCTAAAGGAACGTTCAACTCTGTGAGTTGAATACACACACACAGAAAGAATTCACTGAGAATTCTTCTGTCTGGCATTACATGAAGAAATCCCGTTTCCAACGAAGGCCTCAAAGAGGTCCAAATATCCACTTGCAGATTCTGCAAAAAGAGTGTTTCAAAACCGCTCCATTAAAAGGAATGTTGAACTCTGTGAGTTGAATGGAAACATCACAACTCAGTTTCTGAGAATGCTTCTGACTAGATTTTATGGTAAGATATTTCCTTTTCTACCGTAGGCTTCAATGCCCTCTAAATACACCCTTGCAAATTCTACAAAGAGACTGTTTCATAACTGCTCTATAGGAAGAAAGGTTGAACTCTGTGAGTTGAATGCAGAGATCACAACGTGGTTTCTGCGAATGATTCTTTGTAGATTTTACATGAAGATATTTCGTTGTCAATCGTAGGCTTCAAAGCACTCAAAGTACTCACTTGGAACTTTTACAAAAAGAGTGTTAGAAAACTGCTCTTTCCAAAGTAAGGTTCAACTCTGTGAGTTGAATGCACACATAACAATCAAGAAGTTTCTGAGAATTCTTCTGTCCTGGTTTATATGAAAAAATCCCGTTTCCAACAAAGGCCTCAAAGACGTTTAAATATCCACTTGCAGACTTCACAAACAGAGTGTTTCCAAACTGCTCTATGAAAAGAAAGGTTAAACTCTGTGAGTTGAACGCACACATCACAAAGTAGCTTCTGAGAATGATACTGTCTAGTTTTTATACGAAGATATTTCCTTTCTACCATTGGCGTCAAAGCGCTAGAATTCTCCACTTGCAAATTCCACAAAAAGAGTGTTTCCAATCTGCTCTGTCTAAAGGAAGGTTCAACTCTGTGAGTTGAATACACACACACAAAGAAGCTACTGAGAATTCTTTTGTCAAGAATTATAAGAAGAAATCCCGTTTCCAACGAAGGCCTCAAAGAGTTCCAAATATCCACTTGCACACTGCAAAAACTAAGTCTTTCCAAACTGCTCTATGCAAAGAAATGTTCAACTCTGTGAGTTTAATTCACACATCACAAAGCAGTTTCTGAGAATGATACTGTCTAGTTTTTATACGAAGATATTTCCTTTTGTACCATTGGCCTCATACTGCTAGAATTTTCCACTTGCAAATTCCACAAAAAGAGTGTTTCCAATCCGCTCTGTCTAAAGGAAGGTTCAACTCTCTGATTTGAATACATACATCCCAAAAGAAGTTACTGAGAATTCTTCTGTCTAGCATTATGTGAAGAAATCCCGTTTCCAACGAAAGCCTCAAAGAGGTCCAAATATCCAGTTGCAGAATTTACAAACTGACTGTTTCCAAACTCATCTATGAAAAGAAAGGTTAAACTCTGTGAGTTGAATGCACATATCACAAAGTAGTTCCTGAGAATGATTCTGTCTAGTTTTCATACGAAGTATATTTCCTTTTCCACCAATGGCCTCAAAGTGCTTGAAATCTCCCCTTGCAAATTCCACAGACAAGTGTTTCAAATCTGCACTGTCTAAAGGATGGTTCAACCCTGTGAGTTGAATACACACACACAGAAAAAAATTCACTGAGAATTCTATTGTCTATCATTACACGAAGAAATCCCGTTTACTACGAAGGCCTCAAAGAGGTCCAAATATCCAGCTGCAGACATTACAAACTGAGTGTTTCCAAAGTGCTCTATGAAAAGAAGTGTTAAACACTGTGAGTTCAATGCACACATCCCAAAGCAGTTTCTGAGAATGATTCCGTCTATTTTTTCTACGAAGATATTTCCTTTTCTGCCGTTGGCCTCAAAGCGCTTGAAATCTCCACTTGCAAATTCCACAAAAAGAGAGTTTCAAATCTGCTCTGTCTAAAGGAAGGTTCAACTCTGTGAGTTGAATACACACCACAAAAAGAAGTTACTGAGAATTCTTCTGTCTAGCATTATATGAAAAATCCCGTTTCCAACGAAGGCCACAAAGAGGTCCAAATATCCACTTGCAGATTCTGCAAAAAGAGTGTTTCCAAACTGCTCTATGAAAAGAAACGTTAAACTCTGTGAGTTGAACGCAAACATCACAAAGTAGTTTCTGAGAATGACTCCGTCTAGTTTTTATACGAAGATATTTCCTTTCCTACCATTCACTTCAAAGCGCTTGAAGTCTCCCCCTGAAAATTCCACAAAAAGTGTTTCCAATCTGCTCCGCCTAAAGGAAGCTTCAACTCTGTGAGTTGAATACCCACAACCCAAAGAAGTTACTGAAAATTCTTCTGTCTAGCATTATATGAAGAAATCCCGTTTCCAACGAAGGCCTCAAATACATCCAAATATCCAGTTGCTGACTTTACAAACTGAGTGTTTCCAAACTGCTCTATGAAAAGAAAGGTTAAACACGGTGAGTTGAACACACACGTACCAAAGTAGTTTCTGAGAATGATTCTGTCTAGTTTGCATACGAAGATATTTCCTTTTCTACCATTGGCCTCAAAGCTCTGAAATCTCCACTTGCAAATTCCACAAAAAGAGAGTTTCAAATCTGCTGTTTCTAAAGGAAAGTTCAACTCTGAGAGTTGAATACACACCAGAAAAAGCAGTTACTGAGAAGTCTTCTGTCTAGCATTATATGAAGAAATCCCATTTCCAACGAAGACTTCAAAGAGGTCCAAATATCCACTTGCAGATTCTGCAAAAAGAGTGTTTCGAAACAACTGTATGAAAAGAAAGGTTAAACACTGTGAGTTGAACGCACACATTGCAAAGCGGTTTCTGAGAATGATTCCGTCTAATTATTATACGAAGGTATTTCCTTTTCTATCATTGGCCTCAAAGCGCTTGATACCTCCACCTGAAAATTCCACAAAAAGAGTGTTTCCAATCTACTCTGTCTAAAGGAACGTTCAACTCTGTGAGTTGAATACACACACACAGAAAGAATTCACTGAGAATTCTTCTGTCTGGCATTACATGAAGAAATCCCGTTTCCAACGAAGGCCTCAAAGAGGTCCAAATATCCACTTGCAGATTCTGCAAAAAGAGTGTTTCAAAACCGCTCCATTAAAAGGAATGTTGAACTCTGTGAGTTGAATGCAAACATCACAACTCAGTTTCTGAGAATGCTTCTGACTAGATTTTATGGTAAGATATTTCCTTTTCTACCGTAGGCTTCAATGCCCTGTAAATACACCCTTGCAAATTCTACAAAGAGACTGTTTCATAACTGCTCTATAGGAGGAAAGGTTCAACTCTGTGAGTTGAATGCAGAGATCACAACGTGGTTTCTGCGAATGATTCTTTGTAGTTTTTACATGAAGATATTTCGTTGTCTACCGTAGGCTTCAAAGCACTCAAAGTATTCACTTGGAACTTTTACAAAAAGAGTGTTAGAAAACTGCTCTTTCCAAAGTAAGGTTCAACTCTGTGAGTTGAATGCACACATAACAAACAAGAAGTTTCTGAGAATTCTTCTGTCCTGGTTTATATGAAGAAATCCCGTTTCCAACGAAGGCCTCAAAGACGTTTAAATATCCACTTGCAGACTTCACAAACAGAGTGTTTCCAAACTGCTCTATGAAAAGAAAGGGTAAACACTGTGAGTTGAACGCACACCTCACAAAGTAGTTTCTGAGAATGATACTGTCTAGTTTTTATACGAAGATATTTCCTTTTGTACCACTGGCCTCATACTGCTAGAATTTTCCACTTGCAAATTCCACAAAAAGAGTGTTTCCAATCTGCTCTGTCTAAAGGAAGGTTCAACTCTGTGAGTTGAGTACACACACACAAAGAAGCTACTGAGAATTCTTTTGTCAAGAATTATAAGAAGAAATCCCGTTTCCAACCAAGGCCTCAAAGAGTTCCAAATATCCACTTGCACACTGCACAAACTAAGTCTTTCCATACTGCTCTATGCAAAGAAATGTTCAACTCTGTGAGTTTAATACACACATCACAAAGCAGTTTCTGAGAATGATACTGTCTAGTTTTTATACGAAGATATTTCCTTTTGTACCATTGGCCTCATACTGCTAGAATTTTCCACTTGCAAATTCCACAAAAAGAGTGTTTCCAATCCACTCTGTCTAAAGGAAGGTTCAACTCTCTGATTTGAATACATACATCCCAAAAGAAGTTACTGAGAATTCTTCTGTCTAGCATTATGTGAAGAAATCCCGTTTCCAACGAAAGCCTCAAAGAGGCCCAAATATCCAGTTGCAGCATTTACAAACTGACTGTTTCCAAACTCATCTATGAAAAGAAAGGTTAAACTCTGTGAGTTGAATGCACATATCACAAAGTAGTTCCTGAGAATGATTCTGTCTAGTTTTTATACGAAGATATTTCCTTTTCCACCAATGGCCTCAAAGTGCTTGAAATCTCCCCTTGCAAATTCCACAGACAAGTGTCTCAAATCTGCACTGTCTAAAGGAAGGTTCAACCCTGTGAGTTGAATACACACACACAGAAAAAAATTCACTGAGAATTCTATTGTCTATCATTACACGAAGAAATCCCGTTTACTACGAAGGCCTCAAAGAGGTCCAAATATCCAGCTGCAGACATTACAAACTGAGTGTTTCCAAAGTGCTCTATGAAAAGAAGTGTTAAACACTGTGAGTTCAATGCACACATCCCAAAGCAGTTTCTGAGAATGATTCCGTCTATTTTTTCTACGAAGATATTTCCTTTTCTACCGTTGGCCTCAAAGCGCTTGAAATCTCCACTTGCAAATTCCACGAAAAGAGAGTTTCAAATCTGCTCTGTCTAAAGGAAGGTTCAACTCTGTGAGTTGAATACACACCACAAAAAGAAGTTACTGAGAATTTTTCTGTCTAGCATTATATGAAAAATCCCGTTTCCAACGAAGGCCAGAAAGAGGTCCAAATATCCACTTGCAGATTCTGTAAAAAGAGTGTTTCCAAACTGCTCTATGAAAAGAAACGTTAAACTCTGTGAGTTGAACGCAAACATCACAAAGTAGTTTCTGAGAATGACTCCGTCTAGTTTTTATACGAAGATATTTCCTTTTCTACCGTTGGCCTCAAAGCGCTTGAAGTCTCCCCCTGAAAATTCCACAAAAAGTGTTTCCAATCTGCTCCGCCTAAAGGAAGCTTCAGCTCTGTGAGTTGAATACCCACAACCCAAAGAAGTTACTGAGAATTCTTCTGTCTAGCATTACATGAAGAAATCCCGTTTCCAACGAAGGCCTCAAATACATCCAGATATCCAGTTGCTGACTTTACAAACTGAGTGTTTCCAAACTGCTCTATGAAAGGAAAGGTTAAACACTGTGAGTTGAACACACACGTACCAAAGTAGTTTCTGAGAATGATTCTGTCTAGTTTGCATACGAAGATATTTCCTTTTCTACCATTGGCCTCAAAGCTTTGAAATCTCCACTTGCAAATTCCACAAAAAGAGAGTTTCAAATCTGCTGTTTCTAAAGGAAAGTTCAACTCTGAGAGTTGAATACACACCAGAAAAAGCAGTTACTGAGAAGTCTTCTGTCTAGCATTATATGAAGAAATCCCATTTCCAACGAAGACTTCAAAGAGGTCCAAATATCCACTTGCAGATTCTGCAAAAAGAGTGTTTCGAAACAACTGTATGAAAAGAAAGGTTAAACGCTGTGAGTTGAAGGCACACATTGCAAAGCAGTTTCTGAGAATGATTCCGTCTAATTATTATACGAAGGTATTTCCTTTTCTATCATGGGCCTCAAAGCGCTTGATACCTCCACCTGAAAATTCCACAAAAAGAGTGTTTCCAATCTACTCTGTCTAAAGGAACGTTCAACTCTGTGAGTTGAATACACACACACAGAAAGAATTCACTGAGAGTTCTTCTGTCTGGCATTACATGAAGAAATCCCGTTTCCAACGAAGGCCTCAAAGAGGTCCAAATATCCACTTGCAGATTCTGCAAAAAGAGTGTTTCAAAACCGCTCCATGAAAAGGAATGTTGAACTCTGTGAGTTGAATGCAAACATCACAACTCAGTTTCTGAGAATGCTTCTGACTAGATTTTATTGTCAGATATTTCCTTTTCTACTGTAGGCTTCAATGCCCTCTAAATACACCCTTGCAAATTCTACAAAGAGACTGTTTAATAACTGCTCTATAGGAAGAAAGGTTGAACTCTGTGAGTTGAATGCAGAGATCACAACGTGGTTTCGGCGAATGATTCTTCGCAGTTTTTACATGAAGATATTTCGTTCTCTACCGTAGGCTTGAAAGCACTCAAAGTATTCACTTGGAACTTTTACAAAAAGAGTGTTAGAAAACTGCTCTTTCCAAAGTAACGTTCAACTCTGTGAGTTGAATGCACACATAACAAACAAGAAGTTTCTGAGAATTCTTCTGTCCTGGTTTATATGAAAAAATCCCGTTTCCAACGAAGGCCTCAAAGACGTTTAAATATCCACTTGCAGACTTCACAAACAGAGTGTTTCCAAACTGCTCTATGAAAAGAAAGGTTAAACTCTGTGAGTTGAACGCACACATCACAAAGTAGTTTCTGAGAATGATACTGTCTAGTTTTTATACGGAGATATTTCCTTTCCTTCCATTGGCGTCAAAGCGCTAGAATTCTCCACTTGCAAATTCCACAAAAAGAGTGTTTCCAATCTGCTCTGTCTAAAGGAAGGTTCAACTCTGTGAGTTGAATACACACACACAAAGAAGCTACTGAGAATTCTTTTGTCAAGAATTATAAGAAGAAATCCCGTTTCCAACGAAGGCCTCAAAGAGTTCCAAATATCCACTTGCACACTGTACAAACTAAGTCTTTCCAAACTGCTCTATGCAAAGAAATGTTCAACTCTGTGAGTTTAATGCACACATCACAAAGCAGTTTCTGAGAATGATTCCGTCTAGTTTTTATACGAAGTTAGCCTTTTCTACCATTGGCCTCAAGGCTCTTGAAATCTCCACCTGAAAATTCCGCAAAAAGCGTGTTTCCAATCCGCTCTGTCTAAAGGAAGGTTCAACTCTCTGAGTTGAATACATACATCCCAAAAGAAGTTACTGCGAATTCTTCTGTCTAGCATTATGTGAAGAAATCCCGTTTCCAACGAAAGCCTCAAAGAGGTCCAAATATCCAGTTGCAGAATTTACAAACTGACTGTTTCCAAACTCATCTATGAAAAGAAAGGTTAAACTCTGTGAGTTGAATGCACATATCACAAAGTAGTTCCTGAGAATGATTCTGTCTAGTTTTTATACGAAGATATTTCTTTTTCCACCAATGGCCTCAAAGTGCTTGAAATCTCCCCTTGCAAATTCCACAGACAAGTGTTTCAAATCTGCACTGTCTAAAGGAAGGTTCAACCCTGTGAGTTGAATACACACACACAGAAAAAAATTCACTGAGAATTCTATTGTCTATCATTACACGAAGAAATCCCGTTTACTACGAAGGCCTCAAAGAGGTCCAAATATCCAGCTGCAGACATTACAAACTGAGTGTTTCCAAAGTGCTCTATGAAAAGAAGTGTTAAACACTGTGAGTTCAATGCACACATCCCAAAGCAGTTTCTGAGAATGATTCCGTCTATTTTTTCTACGAAGATATTTCCTTTTCTACCGTTGGCCTCAAAGCGCTTGAAATCTCCACTTGCAAATTCCACAAAAAGAGAGTTTCAAATCTGCTCTTTCTAAAGGAAGGTTCAACTCTGTGAGTTGAATACACACCACAAAAAGAAGTTACTGAGAATTCTTCTGTCTAGCATTATATGAAAAATCCCGTTTCCAACGAAGGCCACAAAGAGGTCCAAATATCCACTTGCAGATTCTGCAAAAAGAGTGTTTCCAAACTGCTCTATGAAAAGAAACGTTAAACTCTGTGAGTTGAACGCAAACATCACAAAGTAGTTTCTGAGAATGACTCCGTCTAGTTTTTATACGAAGATATTTCCTTTCCTACCATTCACTTCAAAGCGCTTGAAGTCTCCCCCTGAAAATTCCACAAAAAGTGTTTCCAATCTGCTCCGCCTAAAGGAAGCTTCAACTCTGTGACTTGAATACCCACAACCCAAAGAAGTTACTGAGAATTCTTCTGTCTAGCATTATATGAAGAAATCCCGTTTCCAACGAAGGCCTCAAATACATCCAAATATCCAGTTGCTGACTTTACAAACTGAGTGTTTCCAAACTGCTCTATGAAAAGAAAGGTTAAACACTGTGAGTTGAACACACACGTACCAAAGTAGTTTCTGAGAATGATTCTGTCTAGTTTGCATACGAAGATATTTCCTTTTCTACCATTGGCCTCAAAGCTTTGAAATCTCCACTTGCAAATTCCACAAAAAGAGAGTTTCAACTCTGCTGTTTCTAAAGGAAAGTTCAACTCTGAGAGTTGAATACACACCAGAAAAAGCAGTTACTGAGAAGTCTTCTGTCTAGCATTATATGAAGAAATCCCATTTCCAACGAAGACTTCAAAGAGGTCCAAATATCCACTTGCAGATTCTGCAAAAAGAGTGTTTCGAAACAACTGTATGAAAAGAAAGGTTAAACACTGTGAGTTGAACGCACACATTGCAAAGCAGTTTCTGAGAATGATTCCGTCTAATTATTATACGAAGGTATTTCCTTTTCTATCATTGGCCTCAAAGCGCTTGATACCTCCACCTGAAAATTCCACAAAAACAGTGTTTCCAATCTACTCTGTCTAAAGGAACGTTCAACTCTGTGAGTTGAATACACACACACAGAAAGAATTCACTGAGAATTCTTCTGTCTGGCATTACATGAAGAAATCCCGTTTCCAACGAAGGCCTCAAAGAGGTCCAAATATCCACTTGCAGATTCTGCAAAAAGAGTGTTTCAAAACCGCTCCATTAAAAGGAATGTTGAACTCTGTGAGTTGAATGCAAACATCACAACTCAGTTTCTGAGAATGCTTCTGACTAGATTTTATGGTAAGATATTTCCTTTTCTACCGTAGGCTTCAATGCCCTCTAAATACACCCTTGCAAATTCTACAAAGAGACTGTTTCATAACTGCTCTATAGGAAGAAAGGTTCAACTCTGTGAGTTGAATGCAGAGATCACAACGTGGTTTCTGCGAATGATTCTTTGTAGTTTTTACATGAAGATATTTCGTTGTCAACCGTAGGCTTCAAAGCACTCAAAGTATTCACTTGGAACTTTTACAAAAAGAGTGTTAGAAAACTGCTCTTTCCAAAGTAAGGTTCAACTCTGTGAGTTGAATGCACACATAACAATCAAGAAGTTTCTGAGAATTCTTCTGTCCTGGTTTATATGAAAAAATCCCGTTTCCAACGAAGGCCTCAAAGACGTTTAAATATCCACTTGCAGACTTCACAGAGTGTTTCCAAACTGCTCTATGAAAAGAAAGGTTAAACTCTGTGAGTTGAACGCACACATCACAAAGTAGTTTCTGAGAATGATACTGTCTAGTTTTTATACGAAGATATTTCCTTTCTACCATTGGCGTCAAAGCGCTAGAATTCTCCACTTGCAAATTCCACAAAAAGAGTGTTTCCAATCTGCTCTGTCTAAAGGAAGGTTCAACTCTGTGAGTTGAATACACACACACAAAGAAGCTACTGAGAATTCTTTTGTCAAGAATTATAAGAAGAAATCCCGTTTCCAACGAAGGCCTCAAAGTAGTTCCAAATATCCACTTGCACACTGCACAAACTAAGTCTTTCCAAACTGCTCTATGCAAAGAAATGTTCAACTCTGTGAGTTTAATACACACATCGCAAAGCAGTTTCTGAGAATGATACTGTCTAGTTTTTATACGAAGATATTTCCTTTTGTACCATTGGCCTCATACTGCTAGAATTTTCCACTTGCAAATTCCACAAAAAGAGTGTTTCCAATCCGCTCTGTCTAAAGGAAGGTTCAACTCTCTGATTTGAATACATACATCCCAAAAGAAGTTACTGAGAATTCTTCTGTCTAGCATTATGTGAAGAAATCCCGTTTCCAACGAAAGCCTCAAAGAGGTCCAAATATCCAGTTGCAGAATTTACAAACTGACTGTTTCCAAACTCATCTATGAAAAGAAAGGTTAAACTCTGTGAGTTGAATGCACATATCACAAAGTAGTTCCTGAGAATGATTCTGTCTAGTTTTCATACGAAGATATTTCCTTTTCCACCAATGGCCTCAAAGTGCTTGAAATCTCCCCTTGCAAATTCCACAGACAAGTGTTTCAAATCTGCACTGTCTAAAGGAAGGTTCAACCCTGTGAGTTGAATACACACACACAGAAAAAAATTCACTGAGAATTCTATTGTCTATCATTACACGAAGAAATCCCGTTTACTACGAAGGCCTCAAAGAGGTCCAAATATCCAGCTGCAGACATTACAAACTGAGTGTTTCCAAAGTGCTCTATGAAAAGAAGTGTTAAACACTGTGAGTTCAATGCACACATCCCAAAGCAGTTTCTGAGAATGATTCCGTCTATTTTTTCTACGAAGATATTTCCTTTTCTGCCGTTGGCCTCAAAGCGCTTGAAATCTCCACTTGCAAATTCCACAAAAAGAGAGTTTCAAATCTGCTCTGTCTAAAGGAAGGTTCAACTCTGTGAGTTGAATACACACCACAAAAAGAAGTTACTGAGAATTCTTCTGTCTAGCATTATATGAAAAATCCCGTTTCCAACGAAGGCCACAAAGAGGTCCAAATATCCACTTGCAGATTCTGCAAAAAGAGTGTTTCCAAACTGCTCTATGAAAAGAAACGTTAAACTCTGTGAGTTGAACGCAAACATCACAAAGTAGTTTCTGAGAATGACTCCGTCTAGTTTTTATACGAAGATATTTCCTTTCCTACCATTCACTTCAAAGCGCTTGAAGTCTCCCCCTGAAAATTCCACAAAAAGTGTTTCCAATCTGCTCCGCCTAAAGGAAGCTTCAACTCTGTGACTTGAATACCCACAACCCAAAGAAGTTACTGAGAATTCTTCTGTCTAGCATTATATGAAGAAATCCCGTTTCCAACGAAGGCCTCAAATACATCCAAATATCCAGTTGCTGACTTTACAAACTGAGTGTTTCCAAACTGCTCTATGAAAAGAAAGGTTAAACACTGTGAGTTGAACACACACGTACCAAAGTAGTTTCTGAGAATGATTCTGTCTAGTTTGCATACGAAGATATTTCCTTTTCTACCATTGGCCTCAAAGCTCTGAAATCTCCACTTGCAAATTCCACAAAAAGAGAGTTTCAAATCTGCTGTTTCTAAAGGAAAGTTCAACTCTGAGAGTTGAATACACACCAGAAAAAGCAGTTACTGAGAAGTCTTCTGTCTAGCATTATATGAAGAAATCCCATTTCCAACGAAGACTTCAAAGCGGTCCAAATATCCACTTGCAGATTCTGCAAAAAGAGTGTTTCGAAACAACTGTATGAAAAGAAAGGTTAAACACTGTGAGTTGAACGCACACATTGCAAAGCGGTTTCTGAGAATGATTCCGTCTAATTATTATACGAAGGTATTTCCTTTTCTATCATTGGCCTCAAAGCGCTTGATACCTCCACCTGAAAATTCCACAAAAAGAGTGTTTCCAATCTACTCTGTCTAAAGGAACGTTCAACTCTGTGAGTTGAATACACACACACAGAAAGAATTCACTGAGAATTCTTCTGTCTGGCATTACATGAAGAAATCCCGTTTCCAACGAAGGCCTCAAAGAGGTCCAAATATCCACTTGCAGATTCTGCAAAAAGAGTGTTTCAAAACCGCTCCATTAAAAGGAATGTTGAACTCTTTGAGTTGAATGCAAACATCACAACTCAGTTTCTGAGAATGCTTCTGACTAGATTTTATGGTAAGATATTTCCTTTTCTACCGTAGGCTTCAATGCCCTCTAAATACACCCTTGCAAATTCTACAAAGAGACTGTTTCATAACTGCTCTATAGGAAGAAAGGTTGAACTCTGTGAGTTGACTGCAGAGATCACAACGTGGTTTCTGCGAATGATTCTTTGTAGTTTTTACATGAAGATATTTCGTTGTCAACCGTAGGCTTCAAAGCACTCAAAGTATTCACTTGGAACTTTTACAAAAAGAGTGTTAGAAAACTGCTCTTTCCAAAGTAAGGTTCAACTCTGTGAGTTGAATGCACACATAACAATCAAGAAGTTTCTGAGAATTCTTCTGTCCTGGTTTATATGAAAAAATCCCGTTTCCAACGAAGGCCTCAAAGACGTTTAAATATCCACTTGCAGACTTCACAAACAGAGGGTTTCCAAACTGCTCTATGAAAAGAAAGGTTAAACTCTGTGAGTTGAACGCACACATCACAAAGTAGCTTCTGAGAATGATACTGTCTAGTTTTTATACGAAGATATTTCCTTTCTACCATTGGCGTCAAAGCGCTAGAATTCTCCACTTGCAAATTCCACAAAAAGAGTGTTTCCAATCTGCTCTGTCTAAAGGAAGGTTCAACTCTGTGAGTTGAATACACACACACAAAGAAGCTACTGAGAATTCTTTTGTCAAGAATTATAAGAAGAAATCCCGTTTCCAACGAAGGCCTCAAAGAGTTCCAAATATCCACTTGCACACTGCACAAACTAAGTCTTTCCAAACTGCTCTATGCAAAGAAATGTTCAACTCTGTGAGTTTAATACACACATCACAAAGCAGTTTCTGAGAATGATACTGTCTAGTTTTTATACGAAGATATTTCCTTTTGTACCATTGGCCTCATACTGCTAGAATTTTCCACTTGCAAATTCCACAAAAAGAGTGTTTCCAATCCGCTCTGTCTAAAGGAAGGTTCAACTCTCTGATTTGAATACATACATCCCAAAAGAAGTTACTGAGAATTCTTCTGTCTAGCATTATGTGAAGAAATCCCGTTTCCAACGAAAGCCTCAAAGAGGTCCAAATATCCAGTTGCAGAATTTACAAACTGACTGTTTCTAAACTCATCTATGAAAAGAAAGGTTAAACTGTGAGTTGAATGCACGTATCACAAAGTAGTTCCTGAGAATGATTCTGTCTAGTTTTTATACGAAGATATTTCCTTTTCCACCACTGCCCTCAAGGTGCTTGAAATCTCCCCTTGCAAATTCCACAAAAGTGTTTCAAATCTGCACTGTCTAAGGGAAGGTTCAACCCTGTGAGTTGAATACACACACAAAAAAAAAATTCACTGAGAATACTACTGTCTATCATTACACGAAGAAATCCCGTTTACCACAAATGCATCAAAGAGGTCCAAATATCCAGTTGCAGACAATACAAACTGAGTGTTTCCAAAGTGCTCTATGAAAAGAAGTGTTAAACACTGTGAGTTCAATGCACACATCACAAAGCAGTTTCTGAGAATGATTCCATCTATTTTTTCTACGAAGATATTCCCTTTTCTACCGTTGGCCTCAAAGCACTTGAATTCTCCACTTGCAAATACCACAAAAAGAGAGTTTCAAATCTGCTCTGTCTAAAGGAAGGTTCAACTCTGTGAGTTGAATACAAACCAGAAAAAGCAGTTACTGAGAATTCTTCTGTCCAGCATTATATGAAGAAATCCCGTTTCCAACGAAGACTTCAAAGAAGTCCAAAAAAATATCCACTTGAAGATTCTGCAAAAAGAGTGTTTCGAAACAACTGTATGAAAAGAAAGTTAAACTCTGTGAGTTCAACGCACACATTGCAAAGCAGTTTCTGAGAATGATTCCGTCTAATTATTATACGAAGGTATTTCCTTTTCTATCATTGGCCTCAAAGCGCTTGATATCTCCACCTGAAAATTCCACAAAAAGAGTGTTTCCAATCTACTCTGTCTAAAGGAACGTTCAACTCGGTGAGTTGAATACACACACACAGAAAGAATTCACTGAGAATTCTTCTGTCTGGCATTTACATGAAGAAATCCCGTTTCCAACGAAGGCCTCAAAGAGGTCCAAATGTCCACTTGCAGATTCTGCAAATAGAGTGTTTCAAAACCGCTCTATTAAAAGGAATGTTGAACTCTGTGAGTTGAACGCAAACATCACAACTCAGTTTCTGAGAATGCTTCTGTCTAGTTTTTATGGTCAGATATTTCCTTTTCTATCGTAGGCTTCAGTGCCCTCTAAATACACCCTTGCAAATTCCAAAAAGAGAGTGTTTCATAACTGCTCTATAGAAAGAAAGGTTGAACTCTGTGAGTTGAGTGCACAGATCACAACGTGGTTTCTGCGAATGATTCTTTGTAGTTTTTACATGCAGATATTTCGTTGTCTACCGTAGGCTTCAAAGCACTCAAAGTATGCACTTGGAAGTTTTACAAAAAGAGTGTTAGAAAACTGCTCTTTCCAAAGTAAGGTTCAACTCTGTGAGTTGAATGCACACATAACAAAGAAGAAGTTTCTGAGAATTCTTCTGTCCTGGTTTATATGAAGAAATCCCGTTTCCAACGAAGGCCTCAAAGACGTTCAAATATCCACTTGCAGACTTCATAAACAGAGTGTTTCCAAACTGCTCTATGAAAAGAAAGGTTAAACTCTGAGTTGAACACACACATCACAATATAGTTTCTGAGAATGATACTGTTTAGTTTTTATACGAAGATATTTCCTTTTCTACCATTGACCTCAAATCGTAGAATTCTCCACTTGCAAATTCCACCAAATGGGTGTTTCCAATCTGCTCTGTCTAAAGGAAGGTTCAACTCTGTGAGTTGAATACACACACACAAAGAAGCTACTGAGAATTCTTTTGTCAAGAATTATAAGAAATCCCGTTTCCAACGAAGGCCTCAAAGAGTTCCAAATATCCACTTGCAGACTGTACAAACTAAGTCTTTCCAAACTGCTCTATGAAAAAGAAATGTTCAACTCTGTGAGTTTAATGCACACATCACAAAGCAGTTTCTGAGAATGATACTGTCTAGTTTTTATACGAAGATATTTCCTTTTGTACCATTGGCCTCCTACTGCTAGAATTTTCCACTTGCAAATTCCACAAAAAGAGTGTTTCCAATCCGCTCTGTCTAAAGGAAGGTTCAACTCTCTGATTTGAATACATACATCCCAAAAGAAGTTACTGAGAATTCTTCTGTCTAGCATTATGTGAAGAAATCCCGTTTCCAACGAAAGCCTCAAAGAGGTCCAAATATCCAGTTGCAGAATTTACAAACTGACTGTTTCCAAACTCATCTATGAAAAGAAAGGTTAAACTCTGGGAGTTGAATGCACATATCACAAAGTAGTTCCTGAGAATGATTCTGTCTAGTTTTTATACGAAGATATTTCCTTTTCCACCAATGGCCTCAAAGTGCTTGAAATCTCCCCTTGCAAATTCCACAGACAAGTGTTTCAAATCTGCACTGTCTAAAGGAAGGTTCAACCCTGTGAGTTGAATACACACACACAGAAAAAAATTCACTGAGAATTCTATTGTCTATCATTACACGAAGAAATCCCGTTTACTACGAAGGCCTCAAAGAGGTCCAAATATCCAGCTGCAGACATTACAAACTGAGTGTTTCCAAAGTGCTCTATGAAAAGAAGTGTTAAACACTGTGAGTTCAATGCACACATCCCAAAGCAGTTTCTGAGAATGATTCCGTCTATTTTTTCTACGAAGATATTTCCTTTTCTACCGTTGGCCTCAAAGCGCTTCAAATCTCCACTTGCAAATTCCACAAAAAGAGAGTTTCAAATCTGCTCTGTCTAAAGGAAGGTTCAACTCTGTGAGTTGAATACACACCACAAAAAGAAGTTACTGAGAATTCTTCTGTCTAGCATTATATGAAAAATCCCGTTTCCAACGAAGGCCACAAAGAGGTCCAAATATCCACTTGCAGATTCTGCAAAAAGAGTGTTTCCAAACTGCTCTATGAAAAGAAACGTTAAACTCTGTGAGTTGAACGCAAACATCACAAAGTAGTTTCTGAGAATGACTCCGTCTAGTTTTTATACGAAGATATTTCCTTTCCTACCATTCACTTCAAAGCGCTTGAAGTCTCCCCCTGAAAATTTCACAAAAAGTGTTTCCAATCTGCTCCGCCTAAAGGAAGCTTCAACTCTGTGACTTGAATACCCACAACCCAAAGAAGTTACTGAGAATTCTTCTGTCTAGCACTATATGAAGAAATCCCGTTTCCAACGAAGGCCTCAAATACATCCAAATATCCAGTTGCTGACTTTACAAACTGAGTGTTTCCAAACTGCTCTATGAAAAGAAAGGTTAAACACTGTGAGTTGAACACACACGTACCAAAGTAGTTTCTGAGAATGATTCTGTCTAGTTTGCATACGAAGATATTTCCTTTTCTACCATTGGCCTCAAAGCTCTGAAATCTGCACTTGCAAATTCCACAAAAAGAGAGTTTCAAATCTGCTGTTTCTAAAGGAAAGTTCAACTCTGAGAGTTGAATACACACCAGAAAAAGCAGTTACTGAGAAGTCTTCTGTCTAGCATTATATGAAGAAATCCCATTTCCAACGAAGACTTCAAAGAGGTCCAAATATCCACTTGCAGATTCTGCAAAAAGAGTGTTTCGAAACAACTGTATGAAAAGAAAGGTTAAACACTGTGAGTTGAACGCACACATTGCAAAGCAGTTTCTGAGAATGATTCCGTCTAATTATTATACGAGGTATTTCCTTTTCTATCATTGGCCTCAAAGCGCTTGATACCTCCACCTGAAAATTCCACAAAAAGAGTGTTTCCAATCTACTCTGTCTAAAGGAACGTTCAACTCTGTGAGTTGAATACACACACACAGAAAGAATTCACTGAGAATTCTTCTGTCTGGCATTACATGAAGAAATCCCGTTTCCAACGAAGACCTCAAAGAGGTCCAAATATCCACTTGCAGATTCTGCAAAAAGAGTGTTTCAAAACCGCTCCATTAAAAGGAATGTTGAACTCTGTGAGTTGAATGCAAACATCACAACTCAGTTGCTGAGAATGCTTCTGACTAGATTTTATGGTAAGATATTTCCTTTTATACCGTAGGCTTCAATGCCCTCTAAATACACCCTTGCAAATTCTACAAAGAGACTGTTTCATAACTGCTCTATAGGAAGAAAGGTTCAACTCTGTGAGTTGAATGCAGAGATCACAACGTGGTTTCTGCGAATGATTCTTTGTAGTTTTTACATGAAGATATTTCGTTGTCTACCGTAGGCTTCAAAGCATTCAAAGTATTCACTTGGAACTTTTACAAAAAGAGTGTTAGAAAACTGCTCTTTCCAAAGTAAGGTTCAACTCTGTGAGTTGAATGCACACATAACAAACAAGAAGTTTCTGAGAATTCTTTCTGTCCTGGTTTATATGAAAAAATCCCGTTTCCAACGAAGGCCTCAAAGACGTTTAAATATCCACTTGCAGACTTCACAAACAGAGGGTTTCCAAACTGCTCTATGAAAAGAAAGGTTAAACTCTGTGAGTTGAACGCACACATCACAAAGTAGCTTCTGAGAATGATACTGTCCAATTTTTATACGAAGATATTTCCTTTCCTACCATTGGCGTCAAAGCGCTAGAATTCTCCACTTGCAAATTCCACAAAAAGAGGGTTTCCAATCTGCTCTGCCTGAAGGCAGGTTCAACTCTGTGAGTTGAATACACACACACAAAGAAGCTACTGAGAATTCTTTTGTCAAGAAATTATAAGAAGAAATCCCGTTTCCAACGAAGGCCTCAAAGAGTTCCAAATATCCACTTGCACACTGCACAAACTAAGTCTTTCCAAACTGCTCTATGCAAAGAAATGTTCAACTCTGTGAGTTTAATACACACATCACAAAGCAGTTTCTGAGAATGATACTGTCTAGTTTTTGTACGAAGATATTTCCTTTTGTACCATTGGCCTCATACTGCTAGAATTTTCCACTTGCAAATTCCACAAAAAGAGTGTTTCCAATCCGCTCTGTCTAAAGGAAGGTTCAACTCTCTGATTTGAATACATACATCCCAAAAGAATTTACTGAGAATTCTTCTGTCTAGCATTATGTGAAGAAATCCCGTTTCCAACGAAAGCCTCAAAGAGGTCCAAATATCCAGTTGCAGAATTTACAAACTGACTGTTTCCAAACTCATCTATGAAAAGAAAGGTTAAACTCTGTGAGTTGAATGCACATATCACAAAGTAGTTCCTGAGAATGATTCTGTCTAGTTTTTATACGAAGATATTTCCTTTTCCACCAATGGCCTCAAAGTGCTTGAAATCTCCCCTTGCAAATTCCACAGACAAGTGTTTCAAATCTGCACTGTCTAAAGGAAGGTTCAACCCTGTGAGTTGAATACACACACACAGAAACAAATTCACTGAGAATTCTATTGTCTATCATTACACGAAGAAATCCCGTTTACTACGAAGGCCTCAAAGAGGTCCAAATATCCAGCTGCAGACATTACAAACTGAGTGTTTCCAAAGTGCTCTATGAAAAGAAGTGTTAAACACTGTGAGTTCAATGCACACATCCCAAAGCAGTTTCTGAGAATGATTCCGTCTATTTTTTCTACGAAGATATTTCCTTTTCTGCCGTTGGCCTCAAAGCGCTTGAAATCTCCACTTGCAAATTCCACAAAAAGAGAGTTTCAAATCTGCTCTGTCTAAAGGAAGGTTCAACTCTGTGAGTTGAATACACACCACAAAAAGAAGTTACTGAGAATTCTTCTGTCTAGCATTATATGAAAAATCCCGTTTCCAACGAAGGCCACAAAGAGGTCCAAATATCCACTTGCAGATTCTGCAAAAAGAGTGTTTCCAAACTGCTCTATGAAAAGAAACGTTAAACTCTGTGAGTTGAACGCAAACATCACAAAGTAGTTTCTGAGAATGACTCCGTCTAGTTTTTATACGAAGATATTTCCTTTCCTACCATTCACTTCAAAGCGCTTGAAGTCTCCCCCTGAAAATTCCACAAAAAGTGTTTCCAATCTGCTCCGCCTAAAGGAAGCTTCAACTCTGTGACTTGAATACCCACAACCCAAAGAAGTTACTGAGAATTCTTCTGTCTAGCATTATATGAAGAAATCCCGTTTCCAACGAAGGCCTCAAATACATCCAAATATCCAGTTGCTGACTTTACAAACTGAGTGTTTCCAAACTGCTCTATGAAAAGAAAGGTTAAACACTGTGAGTTGAACACACACGTACCAAAGTAGTTTCTGAGAATGATTCTGTCTAGTTTGCATACGAAGATATTTCCTTTTCTACCATTGGCCTCAAAGCTCTGAAATCTCCACTTGCAAATTCCACAAAAAGAGAGTTTCAAATCTGCTGTTTCTAAAGGAAAGTTCAACTCTGAGAGTTGAATACACACCAGAAAAAGCAGTTACTGAGAAGTCTTCTGTCTAGCATTATATGAAGAAATCCCATTTCCAACGAAGACTTCAAAGAGGTCCAAATATCCACTTGCAGATTCTGCAAAAAGAGTGTTTCGAAACAACTGTATGAAAAGAAAGGTTAAACACTGTGAGTTGAACGCACACATTGCAAAGCGGTTTCTGAGAATGATTCCGTCTAATTATTATACGAAGGTATTTCCTTTTCTATCATTGGCCTCAAAGCGCTTGATACCTCCACCTGAAAATTCCACAAAAAGAGTGTTTCCAATCTACTCTGTCTAAAGGAACGTTCAACTCTGTGAGTTGAATACACACACACAGAAAGAATTCACTGAGAATTCTTCTGTCTGGCATTACGTGAAGAAATCCCGTTTCCAACGAAGGCCTCAAAGAGGTCCAAATATCCACTTGCAGATTCTGCAAAAAGAGTGTTTCAAAACCGCTCCATTAAAAGGAATGTTGAACTCTGTGAGTTGAATGCAAACATCACAACTCAGTTGCTGAGAATGCTTCTGACTAGATTTTATGATAAGATATTTCCTTTTCTACCGTAGGCTTCAATGCCCTCTAAATACACCCTTGCAAATTCTACAAAGAGACTGTTTAATAACTGCTCTATAGGAAGAAAGGTTGAACTCTGTGAGTTGAATGCAGAGATCACAACGTGGTTTCTGTGAATGATTCTTTGTAGTTTTTACATGAAGATATTTCGTTGTCAACCGTAGGCTTCAAAGCACTCAAAGTATTCACTTGGAACTTTTACAAAAAGAGTGTTAGAAAACTGCTCTTTCCAAAGTAAGGTTCAACTCTGTGAGTTGAATGCACACATAACAATCAAGAAGTTTCTGAGAATTCTTCTGTCCTGGTTTATATGAAAAAATCCCGTTTCCAACGAAGGCCTCAAAGACGTTTAAATATCCACTTGCAGACTTCACAAACAGAGGGTTTCCAAACTGCTCTATGAAAAGAAAGGTTAAACTCTGTGAGTTGAACGCACACATCACAAAGTAGCTTCTGAGAATGATACTGTCTAGTTTTTATACGAAGATATTTCCTTTCTACCATTGGCGTCAAAGCGCTAGAATTCTCCACTTGCAAATTCCACAAAAAGAGTGTTTCCAATCTGCTCTGTCTAAAGGAAGGTTCAACTCTGTGAGTTGAATACACACACACAAAGAAGCTACTGAGAATTCTTTTGTCAAGAATTATAAGAAGAAATCCCGTTTCCAACGAAGGCCTCAAAGAGTTCCAAATATCCACTTGCACACTGCACAAACTAAGTCTTTCCAAACTGCTCTATGCAAAGAAATGTTCAACTCTGTGAGTTTAATACACACATCACAAAGCAGTTTCTGAGAATGATACTGTCTAGTTTTTATACGAAGATATTTCCTTTTGTACCATTGGCCTCATACTGCTAGAATTTTCCACTTGCAAATTCCACAAAAAGAGTGTTTCCAATCCGCTCTGTCTAAAGGAAGGTTCAACTCTCTGATTTGAATACATACATCCCAAAAGAAGTTACTGAGAATTCTTCTGTCTAGCATTATGTGAAGAAATCCCGTTTCCAACGAAAGCCTCAAAGAGGTCCAAATATCCAGTTGCAGAATTTACAAACTGACTGTTTCCAAACTCATCTATGAAAAGAAAGGTTAAACTCTGTGAGTTGAATGCACATATCACAAAGTAGTTCCTGAGAATGATTCTGTCTAGTTTTCATACGAAGATATTTCCTTTTCCACCAATGGCCTCAAAGTGCTTGAAATCTCCCCTTGCAAATTCCACAGACAAGTGTTTCAAATCTGCACTGTCTAAAGGAAGGTTCAACCCTGTGAGTTGAATACACACACACAGAAAAAAATTCACTGAGAATTCTATTGTCTATCATTACACGAAGAAATCCCGTTTACTACGAAGGCCTCAAAGAGGTCCAAATATCCAGCTGCAGACATTACAAACTGAGTGTTTCCAAAGTGCTCTATGAAAAGAAGTGTTAAACACTGTGAGTTCAATGCACACATCCCAAAGCAGTTTCTGAGAATGATTCCGTCTATTTTTTCTACGAAGATATTTCCTTTTCTGCCGTTGGCCTCAAAGCGCTTGAAATCTCCACTTGCAAATTCCACAAAAAGAGAGTTTCAAATCTGCTCTGTCTAAAGGAAGGTTCAACTCTGTGAGTTGAATACACACCACAAAAAGAAGTTACTGAGAATTCTTCTGTCTAGCATTATATGAAAAATCCCGTTTCCAACGAAGGCCACAAAGAGGTCCAAATATCCACTTGCAGATTCTGCAAAAAGAGTGTTTCCAAACTGCTCTATGAAAAGAAACGTTAAACTCTGTGAGTTGAACGCAAACATCACAAAGTAGTTTCTGAGAATGACTCCGTCTAGTTTTTATACGAAGATATTTCCTTTCCTACCATTCACTTCAAAGCGCTTGAAGTCTCCCCCTGAAAATTCCACAAAAAGTGTTTCCAATCTGCTCCGCCTAAAGGAAGCTTCAACTCTGTGACTTGAATACCCACAACCCAAAGAAGTTACTGAGAATTCTTCTGTCTAGCATTATATGAAGAAATCCCGTTTCCAACGAAGGCCTCAAATACATCCAAATATCCAGTTGCTGACTTTACAAACTGAGTGTTTCCAAACTGCTCTATGAAAAGAAAGGTTAAACACTGTGAGTTGAACACACACGTACCAAAGTAGTTTCTGAGAATGATTCTGTCTAGTTTGCATACGAAGATATTTCCTTTTCTACCATTGGCCTCAAAGCTCTGAAATCTCCACTTGCAAATTCCACAAAAAGAGAGTTTCAAATCTGCTGTTTCTAAAGGAAAGTTCAACTCTGAGAGTTGAATACACACCAGAAAAAGCAGTTACTGAGAAGTCTTCTGTCTAGCATTATATGAAGAAATCCCATTTCCAACGAAGACTTCAAAGAGGTCCAAATATCCACTTGCAGATTCTGCAAAAAGAGTGTTTCGAAACAACTGTATGAAAAGAAAGGTTAAACACTGTGAGTTGAACGCACACATTGCAAAGCGGTTTCTGAGAATGATTCCGTCTAATTATTATACGAAGGTATTTCCTTTTCTATCATTGGCCTCAAAGCGCTTGATACCTCCACCTGAAAATTCCACAAAAAGAGTGTTTCCAATCTACTCTGTCTAAAGGAACGTTCAACTCTGTGAGTTGAATACACACACACAGAAAGAATTCACTGAGAATTCTTCTGTCTGGCATTACATGAAGAAATCCCGTTTCCAACGAAGACCTCAAAGAGGTCGAAATATCCACTTGCAGATTCTGCAAAAAGAGTGTTTCAAAACCGCTCCATTAAAAGGAATGTTGAACTCTGTGAGTTGAATGCAAACATCACAACTCAGTTGCTGAGAATGCTTCTGACTAGATTTTATGGTAAGATATTTCCTTTTCTACCGTAGGCTTCAATGCCCTCTAAATACACCCTTGCAAATTCTACAAAGAGACTGTTTCATAACTGCTCTATAGGAAGAAAGGTTGAACTCTGTGAGTTGAATGCAGAGATCACAACGTGGTTTCTGCGAATGATTCCTTGTAGTTTTTACATGAAGATATTTCGTTGTCAACCGTAGGCTTCAAAGCACTCAAAGTATTCACTTGGAACTTTTACAAAAAGAGTGTTAGAAAACTGCTCTTTCCAAAGTAAGGTTGAACTCTGTGAGTTGAATGCACACATAACAATCAAGAAGTTTCTGAGAATTCTTCTGTCCTGGTTTATATGAAAAAATCCCGTTTCCAACGAAGGCCTCAAAGACGTTTAAATATCCACTTGCAGACTTCACAAACAGAGGGTTTCCAAACTGCTCTATGAAAAGAAAGGTTAAACTCTGTGAGTTGAACGCACACATCACAAAGTAGCTTCTGAGAATGATACTGTCTAGTTTTTATACGAAGATATTTCCTTTCTACCATTGGCGTCAAAGCGCTAGAATTCTCCACTTGCAAATTCCACAAAAAGAGTGTTTCCAATCTGCTCTGTCTAAAGGAAGGTTCAACTCTGTGAGTTGAATACACACACACAAAGAAGCTACTGAGAATTCTTTTTTCAAGAAATTATAAGAAGAAATCCCGTTTCCAACGAAGGCCTCAAAGAGTTCCAAATATCCACTTGCACACTGCACAAACTAAGTCTTTCCAAACTGCTCTATGCAAAGAAATGTTCAACTCTGTGAGTTTAATACACACATCACAAAGCAGTTTCTGAGAATGATACTGTCTAGTTTTTATACGAAGATATTTCCTTTTGTACCATTGGCCTCATACTGCTAGAATTTTCCACTTGCAAATTCCACAAAAAGAGTGTTTCCAATCCGCTCTGTCTAAAGGAAGGTTCAACTCTCTGATTTGAATACATACATCCCAAAAGAAGTTACTGAGAATTCTTCTGTCTAGCATTATGTGAAGAAATCCCGTTTCCAACGAAAGCCTCAAAGAGGTCCAAATATCCAGTTGCAGAATTTACAAACTGACTGTTTCCAAACTCATCTATGAAAAGAAAGGTTAAACTCTGGGAGTTGAATGCACATATCACAAAGTAGTTCCTGAGAATGATTCTGTCTAGTTTTTATACGAAGATATTTCTTTTTCCACCAATGGCCTCAAAGTGCTTGAAATCTCCCCTTGCAAATTCCACAGACAAGTGTTTCAAAACTACACTGTCTAAAGGAAGGTTCAACCCTGTGAGTTGAATACACACACACAGAAAAAAATTCACTGAGAATTCTATTGTCTATCATTACACGAAGAAATCCCGTTTACTACGAAGGCCTCAAAGAGGTCCAAATATCCAGCTGCAGACATTACAAACTGAGTGTTTCCAAAGTGCTCTATGAAAAGAAGTGTTAAACACTGTGAGTTCAATGCACACATCCCAAAGCAGTTTCTGAGAATGATTCCGTCTATTTTTTCTACGAAGATATTTCCTTTTCTACCGTTGGCCTCAAAGCGCTTGAAATCTCCACTTGCAAATTCCACGAAAAGAGAATTTCAAATCTGCTCTGTCTAAAGGAAGGTTCAACTCTGTGAGTTGAATACACACCACAAAAAGAAGTTACTGAGAATTCTTCTGTCTAGCATTATATGAAAAATCCCGTTTCCAACGAAGGCCACAAAGAGGTCCAAATATCCACTTGCAGATTCTGCAAAAAGAGTGTTTCCAAACTGCTCTATGAAAAGAAACGTTAAACTCTGTGAGTTGAACGCAAACATCACAAAGTAGTTTCTGAGAATGACTCCGTCTAGTTTTTATACGAAGATATTTCCTTTTCTACCATTCACTTCAAAGCACTTGAAGTCTCCCCCTGAAAATTCCACAAAAAGTGTTTCCAATCTGCTCCGCCTAAAGGAAGCTTCAACTCTGTGAGTTGAATACCCACAACCCAAAGAAGATACTGAGAATTCTTCTGTCTAGCATTATATGAAGAAATCCCGTTTCCAACGAAGGCCTCAAATACATCCAAATATCCAGTTGCTGACTTTACAAACTGAGTGTTTCCAAACTGCTCTATGAAAAGAAAGGTTAAACACTGTGAGTTGAACACACACGTACCAAAGTAGTTTCTGAGAATGATTCTGTCTAGTTTGCATACGAAGATATTTCCTTTTCTACCATTGGCCTCAAAGCTCTGAAATCTCCACTTGCAAATTCCACAAAAAGAGAGTTTCAAATCTGCTGTTTCTAAAGGAAAGTTCAACTCTGAGAGTTGAATACACACCAGAAAAAGCAGTTACTGAGAAGTCTTCTGTCTAGCATTATATGAAGAAATCCCATTTCCAACGAAGACTTCAAAGAGGTCCAAATATCCACTTGCAGATTCTGCAAAAAGAGTGTTTCGAAACAACTGTATGAAAAGAAAGGTTAAACACTGTGAGTTGAACGCACACATTGCAAAGCGGTTTCTGAGAATGATTCCGTCTAATTATTATACGAAGGTATTTCCTTTTCTATCATTGGCCTCAAAGCGCTTGATACCTCCACCTGAAAATTCCACAAAAAGAGTGTTTCCAATCTACTCTGTCTAAAGGAACGTTCAACTCTGTGAGTTGAATACACACACACAGAAAGAATTCACTGAGAATTCTTCTGTCTGGCATTACATGAAGAAATCCCGTTTCCAACGAAGGCCTCAAAGAGGTCCAAATATCCACTTGCAGATTCTGCAAAAAGAGTGTTTCAAAACCGCTCCATTAAAAGGAATGTTGAACTCTGTGAGTTGAATGCAAACATCACAACTCAGTTTCTGAGAATGCTTCTGACTAGATTTTATGGTAAGATATTTCCTTTTCTACCGTAGGCTTCAATGCCCTCTAAATACACCCTTGCAAATTCTACAAAGAGACTGTTTCATAACTGCTCTATAGGAAGAAAGGTTCAACACTGTGAGTTGAATGCAGAGATCACAACGTGGTTTCTGCGAATGATTCTTTGTAGTTTTTACATGAAGATATTTCGTTGTCAACCGTAGGCTTCAAAGCACTCAAAGTATTCACTTGGAACTTTTACAAAAAGAGTGTTAGAAAACTGCTCTTTCCAAAGTAAGGTTCAACTCTGTGAGTTGAATGCACACATAACAATCAAGAAGTTTCTGAGAATTCTTCTGTCCTGGTTTATATGAAAAAATCCCGTTTCCAACGAAGGCCTCAAAGACGTTTAAATATCCACTTGCAGACTTCACAAACAGAGTGTTTCCAAACTGCTCTATGAAAAGAAAGGTTAAACTCTGTGAGTTGAACGCACACATCACAAAGTAGCTTCTGAGAATGATACTGTCTAGTTTTTATACGAAGATATTTCCTTTCTACCATTGGCGTCAAAGCGCTAGAATTCTCCACTTGCAAATTCCACAAAAAGAGTGTTTCCAATCTGCTCTGTCTAAAGGAAGGTTCAACTCTGTGAGTTGAATACACATACACAAAGAAGCTACTGAGAATTCTTTTGTCAAGAATTATAAGAAGAAATCCCGTTTCCAACGAAGGCCTCAAAGAGTTCCAAATATCCACTTGCACACTGCACAAACTAAGTCTTTCCAAACTGCTCTATGCAAAGAAATGTTCAACTCTGTGAGTTTAATACACACATCACAAAGCAGTTTCTGAGAACGATACTGTCTAGTTTTTATACGAAGATATTTCCTTTTGTACCATTGGCCTCATACTGCTAGAATTTTCCACTTGCAAATTCCACAAAAAGAGTGTTTCCAATCCGCTCTGTCTAAAGGAAGGTTCAACTCTCTGATTTGAATACATACATCCCAAAAGAAGTTACTGAGAATTCTTCTGTCTAGCATTATGTGAAGAAATCCCGTTTCCAACGAAAGCCTCAAAGAGGTCCAAATATCCAGTTGCAGAATTTACAAACTGACTGTTTCCAAACTCATCTATGAAAAGAAAGGTTAAACTCTGGGAGTTGAATGCCCATATCACAAAGTAGTTCCTGAGAATGATTCTGTATAGTTTTCATACGAAGATATTTCCTTTTCCACCAATGGCCTCAAAGTGCTTGAAATCTCCCCTTGCAAATTCCACAGACAAGTGTTTCAAATCTGCACTGTCTAAAGGATGGTTCAACCCTGTGAGTTGAATACACACACACAGAAAAAAATTCACTGAGAATTCTATTGTCTATCATTACACGAAGAAATCCCGTTTACCACGAAGGCCTCAAAGAGGTCCAAATATCCAGCTGCAGACATTACAAACTGAGTGTTTCCAAAGTGCTCTATGAAAAGAAGTGTTAAACACTGTGAGTTCAATGCACACATCCCAAAGCAGTTTCTGAGAATGATTCCGTCTATTTTTTCTACGAAGATATTTCCTTTTCTGCCGTTGGCCTCAAAGCGCTTGAAATCTCCACTTGCAAATTCCACAAAAAGAGAGTTTCAAATCTGCTCTGTCTAAAGGAAGGTTCAACTCTGTGAGTTGAATACACACCACAAAAAGAAGTTACTGAGAATTCTTCTGTCTAGCATTATATGAAAAATCCCGTTTCCAACGAAGGCCACAAAGAGGTCCAAATATCCACTTGCAGATTCTGCAAAAAGAGTGTTTCCAAACTGCTCTATGAAAAGAAACGTTAAACTCTGTGAGTTGAACGCAAACATCACAAAGTAGTTTCTGAGAATGACTCCGTCTAGTTTTTATACGAAGATATTTCCTTTCCTACCATTCACTTCAAAGCGCTTGAAGTCTCCCCCTGAAAATTCCACAAAAAGTGTTTCCAATCTGCTCCGCCTAAAGGAAGCTTCAACTCTGTGACTTGAATACCCACAACCCAAAGAAGTTACTGAGAATTCTTCTGTCTAGCATTATATGAAGAAATCCCGTTTCCAACGAAGGCCTCAAATACATCCAAATATCCAGTTGCTGACTTTACAAACTGAGTGTTTCCAAACTGCTCTATGAAAAGAAAGGTTAAACACTGTGAGTTGAACACACACGTACCAAAGTAGTTTCTGAGAATGATTCTGTCTAGTTTGCATACGAAGATATTTCCTTTTCTACCATTGGCCTCAAAGCTCTGAAATCTCCACTTGCAAATTCCACAAAAAGAGAGTTTCAAATCTGCTGTTTCTAAAGGAAAGTTCAACTCTGAGAGTTGAATACACACCAGAAAAAGCAGTTACTGAGAAGTCTTCTGTCTAGCATTATATGAAGAAATCCCATTTCCAACGAAGACTTCAAAGAGGTCCAAATATCCACTTGCAGATTCTGCAAAAAGAGTGTTTCGAAACAACTCTATGAAAAGAAAGGTTAAACACTGTGAGTTGAACGCACACATTGCAAAGCAGTTTCTGAGAATGATTCCGTCTAATTATTATACGAAGGTATTTCCTTTTCTATCATTGGCCTCAAAGCGCTTGATACCTCCACCTGAAAATTCCACAAAAAGAGTGTTTCCAATCTACTCTGTCTAAAGGAACGTTCAACTCTGTGAGTTGAATACACACACACAGAAAGAATTCACTGAGAATTCTTCTGTCTGGCATTACATGAAGAAATCCCGTTTCCAACGAAGGCCTCAAAGAGGTCCAAATATCCACTTGCAGATTCTGCAAAAAGAGTGTTTCAAAACCGCTCCATTAAAAGGAATGTTGAACTCTGTGAGTTGAATGCAAACATCACAACTCAGTTTCTGAGAATGCTTCTGACTAGATTTTATGGTAAGATATTTCCTTTTCCACCGTAGGCTTCAATGCCCTGTAAATACACCCTTGCAAATTCTACAAAGAGACTGCTTCATAACTGCTCTATAGGAGGAAAGGTTCAACTCTGTGAGTTGAATGCAGAGATCACAACGTGGTTTCTGCGAATGATTCTTTGTAGTTTTTACATGAAGATATTTCGTTGTCTACCGTAGGCTTCAAAGCACTCAAAGTATTCACTTGGAACTTTTACAAAAAGAGTGTTAGAAAACTGCTCTTTCCAAAGTAAGGTTCAACTCTGTGAGTTGAATGCACACATAACAAACAAGAAGTTTCTGAGAATTCTTCTGTCCTGGTTTATATGAAGAAATCCCGTTTCCAACGAAGGCCTCAAAGACGTTTAAATATCCACTTGCAGACTTCACAAACAGAGTGTTTCCAAACTGCTCTATGAAAAGAAAGGGTAAACACTGTGAGTTGAACGCACACCTCACAAAGTAGTTTCTGAGAATGATACTGTCTAGTTTTTATACGAAGATATTTCCTTTTGTACCATTGGCCTCATACTGCTAGAATTTTCCACTTGCAAATTCCACAAAAAGAGTGTTTCCAATCTGCTCTGTCTAAAGGAAGGTTCAACTCTGTGAGTTGAGTACACACACACAAAGAAGCTACTGAGAATTCTTTTGTCAAGAATTATAAGAAGAAATCCCGTTTCCAACCAAGGCCTCAAAGAGTTCCAAATATCCACTTGCACACTGCACAAACTAAGTCTTTCCATACTGCTCTATGCAAAGAAATGTTCAACTCTGTGAGTTTAATACACACATCACAAAGCAGTTTCTGAGAATGATACTGTCTAGTTTTTATACGAAGATATTTCCTTTTGTACCATTGGCCTCATACTGCTAGAATTTTCCACTTGCAAATTCCACAAAAAGAGTGTTTCCAATCCGCTCTGTCTAAAGGAAGGTTCAACTCTCTGATTTGAATACATACATCCCAAAAAAAGTTACTGAGAATTCTTCTGTCTAGCATTATGTGAAGAAATCCCGTTTCCAACGAAAGCCTCAAAGAGGCCCAAATATCCAGTTGCAGCATTTACAAACTGACTGTTTCCAAACTCATCTATGAAAAGAAAGGTTAAACTCTGTGAGTTGAATGCACATATCACAAAGTAGTTCCTGAGAATGATTCTGTCTAGTTTTTATACGAAGATATTTCCTTTTCCACCAATGGCCTCAAAGTGCTTGAAATCTCCCCTTGCAAATTCCACAGACAAGTGTCTCAAATCTGCACTGTCTAAAGGAAGGTTCAACCCTGTGAGTTGAATACACACACACAGAAAAAAATTCACTGAGAATTCTATTGTCTATCATTACACGAAGAAATCCCGTTTACTACGAAGGCCTCAAAGAGGTCCAAATATCCAGCTGCAGACATTACAAACTGAGTGTTTCCAAAGTGCTCTATGAAAAGAAGTGTTAAACACTGTGAGTTCAATGCACACATCCCAAAGCAGTTTCTGAGAATGATTCCGTCTATTTTTTCTACGAAGATATTTCCTTTTCTACCGTTGGCCTCAAAGTGCTTGAAATCTCCACTTGCAAATTCCACAAAAAGAGAGTTTCAAATCTGCTCTGTCTAAAGGAAGGTTCAACTCTGTGAGTTGAATACACACCACAAAAAGAAGTTACTGAGAATTCTTCTGTCTAGCATTATATGAAAAATCCCGTTTCCAACGAAGGCCACAAAGAGGTCCAAATATCCACTTGCAGATTCTGCAAAAAGAGTGTTTCCAAACTGCTCTATGAAAAGAAACGTTAAACTCTGTGAGTTGAACGCAAACATCACAAAGTAGTTTCTGAGAATGACTCCGTCTAGTTTTTATACGAAGATATTTCCTTTCCTACCATTCACTTCAAAGCGCTTGAAGTCTCCCCCTGAAAATTCCACAAAAAGTGTTTCCAATCTGCTCCGCCTAAAGGAAGTTTCAACTCTGTGACTTGAATACCCACAACCCAAAGAAGTTACTGAGAATTCTTCTGTCTAGCATTATATGAAGAAATCCCGTTTCCAACGAAGGCCTCAAATACATCCAAATATCCAGTTGCTGACTTTACAAACTGAGTGTTTCCAAACTGCTCTATGAAAAGAAAGGTTAAACACTGTGAGTTGAACACACACGTACCAAAGTAGTTTCTGAGAATGATTCTGTCTAGTTTGCATACGAAGATATTTCCTTTTCTACCATTGGCCTCAAAGCTCTGAAATCTCCACTTGCAAATTCCACAAAAAGAGAGTTTCAAATCTGCTGTTTCTAAAGGAAAGTTCAACTCTGAGAGTTGAATACACACCAGAAAAAGCAGTTACTGAGAAGTCTTCTGTCTAGCATTATATGAAGAAATCCCATTTCCAACGAAGACTTCAAAGAGGTCCAAATATCCACTTGCAGATTCTGCAAAAAGAGTGTTTCGAAACAACTGTATGAAAAGAAAGGTTAAACACTGTGAGTTGAACGCACACATTGCAAAGCGGTTTCTGAGAATGATTCCGTCTAATTATTATACGAAGGTATTTCCTTTTCTATCATTGGCCTCAAAGCGCTTGATACCTCCACCTGAAAATTCCACAAAAAGAGTGTTTCCAATCTACTCTGTCTAAAGGAACGTTCAACTCTGTGAGTTGAATACACACACACAGTAAAGAATTCACTGAGAATTCTTCTGTCTGGCATTACATGAAGAAATCCCGTTTCCAACGAAGGCCTCAAAGAGGTCCAAATATCCACTTGCAGATTCTGCAAAAAGAGTGTTTCAAAACCGCTCCATTAAAAGGAATGTTGAACTCTGTGAGTTGAATGCAAACATCACAACTCAGTTGCTGAGAATGCTTCTGACTAGATTTTATGGTAAGATATTTCCTTTTCTACCGTAGGCTTCAATGCCCTCTAAATACACCCTTGCAAATTCTACAAAGAGACTGTTTCATAACTGCTCTACAGGAAGAAAGGTTCAACTCTGTGAGTTGAATGCAGAGATCACAACGTGGTTTCTGCGAATGATTCTTTGTAGTTTTTACATGAAGATATTTCGTTGTCAACCGTAGGCTTCAAAGCACTCAAAGTATTCACTTGGAACTTTTACAAAAAGAGTGTTAGAAAACTGCTCTTTCCAAAGTAAGGTTCAACTCTGTGAGTTGAATGCACACATAACAATCAAGAAGTTTCTGAGAATTCTTCTGTCCTGGTTTATATGAAAAAATCCCGTTTCCAACGAAGGCCTCAAAGACGTTTAAATATCCACTTGCAGACTTCACAAACAGAGTGTTTCCAAACTGCTCTATGAAAAGAAAGGTTAAACTCTGTGAGTTGAACGCACACATCACAAAGTAGTTTTTGAGAATGATACTGTCTAGTTTTTATACGAAGATATTTCCTTTCTACCATTGGCGTCAAAGCGCTAGAATTCTCCACTTGCAAATTCCACAAAAAGAGTGTTTCCAATCTGCTCTGTCTAAAGGAAGGTTCAACTCTGTGAGTTGAATACACACACACAAAGAAGCTACTGAGAATTCTTTTGTCAAGAATTATAAGAAGAAATCCCGTTTCCAACGAAGGCCTCAAAGAGTTCCAAATATCCACTTGCACACTGCACAAACTAAGTCTTTCCAAACTGCTCTATGCAAAGAAATGTTCAACTCTGTGAGTTTAATACACACATCACAAAGCAGTTTCTGAGAATGATACTGTCTAGTTTTTATACGAAGATATTTCCTTTTGTACCATTGGCCTCATACTGCTAGAATTTTCCACTTGCAAATTCCACAAAAAGAGTGTTTCCAATCCGCTCTGTCTAAAGGAAGGTTCAACTCTCTGATTTGAATACATACATCCCAAAAGAAGTTACTGAGAATTCTTCTGTCTAGCATTATGTGAAGAAATCCCGTTTCCAACGAAAGCCTCAAAGAGGTCCAAATATCCAGTTGCAGAATTTACAAACTGACTGTTTCCAAACTCATCTATGAAAAGAAAGGTTAAACTCTGTGAGTTGAATGCACATATCACAAAGTAGTTCCTGAGAATGATTCTGTCTAGTTTTCATACGAAGATATTTCCTTTTCCACCAATGGCCTCAAAGTGCTTGAAATCTCCCCTTGCAAATTCCACAGACAAGTGTTTCAAATCTGCACTGTCTAAAGGAAGGTTCAACCCTGTGAGTTGAATACACACACACAGAAAAAAATTCACTGAGAATTCTATTGTCTATCATTACACGAAGAAATCCCGTTTACCACGAAGGCCTCAAAGAGGTCCAAGTATCCAGCTGCAGACATTACAACCTGAGTGTTTCCAAAGTGCTCTATGAAAAGAAGTGTTAAACACTGTGAGTTCAATGCACACATCCCAAAGCAGTTTCTGAGAATGATTCCGTCTATTTTTTCTACGAAGATATTTCCTTTTCTGCCGTTGGCCTCAAAGCGCTTCAAATCTCCACTTGCAAATTCCACAAAAAGAGAGTTTCAAATCTGCTCTGTCTAAAGGAAGGTTCAACTCTGTGAGTTGAATACACACCACAAAAAGAAGTTACTGAGAATTCTTCTGTCTAGCATTATATGAAAAATCCCGTTTCCAACGAAGGCCACAAAGAGGTCCAAATATCCACTTGCAGATTCTGCAAAAAGAGTGTTTCCAAACTGCTCTATGAAAAGAAACGTTAAACTCTGTGAGTTGAACGCAAACATCACAAAGTAGTTTCTGAGAATGACTCCGTCTAGTTTTTATACGAAGATATTTCCTTTTCTACCGTTGGCCTCAAAGCGCTTGAAGTCTCCCCCTGAAAATTCCACAAAAAGTGTTTCCAATCTGCTCCGCCTAAAGGAAGCTTCAGCTCTGTGAGTTGAATACCCACAACACAAAGAAGTTACTGAGAATTCTTCTGTCTAGCATTATATGAAGAAATCCCGTTTCCAACGAAGACCTCAAATACATCCAAATATCCAGTTGCTGACTTTACAAACTGAGTGTTTCCAAACTGCTCTATGAAAAGAAAGGTTAAACACTGTGAGTTGAACACACACGTACCAAAGTAGTTTCTGAGAATGATTCTGTCTAGTTTGCATACGAAGATATTTCCTTTTCTACCATTGGCCTCAAAGCTCTGAAATCTCCACTTGCAAATTCCACAAAAAGAGAGTTTCAAATCTGCTGTTTCTAAAGGAAAGTTCAACTCTGAGAGTTGAATACACACCAGAAAAAGCAGTTACTGAGAAGTCTTCTGTCTAGCATTATATGAAGAAATCCCATTTCCAACGAAGACTTCAAAGAGGTCCAAATATCCACTTGCAGATTCTGCAAAAAGAGTGTTTCAAAACAACTGTATGAAAAGAAAGGTTAAACACTGTGAGTTGAACGCACACATTGCAAAGCAGTTTCTGAGAATGATTCCGTCTAATTATTATACGAAGGTATTTCCTTTTCTATCATTGGCCTCAAAGCGCTTGATACCTCCACCTGAAAATTCCACAAAAAGAGTGTTTCCAATCTACTCTGTCTAAAGGAACGTTCAACTCTGTGAGTTGAATACACACACACAGAAAGAATTCACTGAGAATTCTTCTGTCTGGCATTACATGAAGAAATCCCGTTTCCAACGAAGGCCTCAAAGAGGTCCAAATATCCACTTGCAGATTCTGCAAAAAGAGTGTTTCAAAACCGCTCCATTAAAAGGAATGTTGAACTCTGTGAGTTGAATGCAAACATCACAACTCAGTTGCTGAGAATGCTTCTGACTAGATTTTATGGTAAGATATTTCCTTTTCTACCGTAGGCTTCAATGCCCTCTAAATACACCCTTGCAAATTCTACAAAGAGACTGTTTCATAACTGCTCTATAGGAAGAAAGGTTGAACTCTGTGAGTTGACTGCAGAGATCACAACGTGGTTTCTGCGAATGATTCCTTGTAGTTTTTACATGAAGATATTTCGTTGTCAACCGTAGGCTTCAAAGCACTCAAAGTATTCACTTGGAACTTTTACAAAAAGAGTGTTAGAAAACTGCTCTTTCCAAAGTAAGGTTCAACTCTGTGAGTTGAATGCACCCATAACAATCAAGAAGTTTCTGAGAATTCTTCTGTCCTGGTTTATATGAAGAAATCCCGTTTCCAACGAAGGCCTCAAAGACGTTTAAATATCCACCTGCAGACTTCACAAACAGAGTGTTTCCAAACTGCTCTATGAAAAGAAAGGTTAAACTCTGTGAGTTGAACGCACACATCACAAAGTAGTTTCTGAGAATGATACTATCTAGTTTTTATACGAAGATATTTCCTTTCTACCATTGGCGTCAAAGCGCTAGAATTCTCCACTTGCAAATTCCACAAAAAGAGTGTTTCCAATCTGCTCTGTCTCAAGGAAGGTTCAACTCTGTGAGTTGAATACACACACACAAAGAAGCTACTGAGAATTCTTTTGTCAAGAATTATAAGAAGAAATCCCGTTTCCAACGAAGGCCTCAAAGAGTTCCAAATATCCACTTGCACACTGCACAAACTAAGTCTTTCCAAACTGCTCTATGCAAAGAAATGTTCAACTCTGTGAGTTTAATACCCACATCACGAAGCAGTTTCTGAGAATGATACTGTCTAGTTTTTATACGAAGATATTTCCTTTTGTACCATTGGCCTCATACTGCTAGAATTTTCCACTTGCAAATTCCACAAAAAGAGTGTTTCCAATCCGCTCTGTCTAAAGGAAGGTTCAACTCTCTGATTTGAATACATACATCCCAAAAGAAGTTACTGAGAATTCTTCTGTCTAGCATTATGTGAAGAAATCCCGTTTCCAACGAAAGCCTCAAAGAGGTCCAAATATCCAGTTGCAGAATTTACAAACTGACTGTTTCCAAACTCATCTATGAAAAGAAAGGTTAAACTCTGTGAGTTGAATGCACATATCACAAAGTAGTTCCTGAGAATGATTCTGTCTAGTTTTTATACGAAGATATTTCCTTTTCCACCAATGGCCTCAAAGTGCTTGAAATCTCCCCTTGCAAATTCCACAGACAAGTGTTTCAAATCTGCACTGTCTAAAGGAAGGTTCAACCCTGTGAGTTGAATACACACACACAGAAAAAAATTCACTGAGAATTCTATTGTCTATCATTACACGAAGAAATCCCGTTTACTACGAAGGCCTCAAAGAGGTCCAAATATCCAGCTGCAGACATTACAAACTG
Source organism: Homo sapiens (assembly GCF_000001405.40). NCBI lineage: Eukaryota > Metazoa > Chordata > Mammalia > Primates > Hominidae > Homo > Homo sapiens. The sequence continues at coordinate 92,869,525 of NC_000003.12, read as the reverse complement.
AGTGTTTCCAAAGTGCTCTATGAAAAGAAGTGTTAAACACTGTGAGTTCAATGCACACATCCCAAAGCAGTTTCTGAGAATGATTCCGTCTATTTTTTCTACGAAGATATTTCCTTTTCTGCCGTTGGCCTCAAAGCGCTTGAAATCTCCACTTGCAAATTCCACAAAAAGAGAGTTTCAAATCTGCTCTGTCTAAAGGAAGGTTCAACTCTGTGAGTTGAATACACACCACAAAAAGAAGTTACTGAGAATTCTTCTGTCTAGCATTATATGAAAAATCCCGTTTCCAACGAAGGCCACAAAGAGGTCCAAATATCCACTTGCAGATTCTGCAAAAAGAGTGTTTCCAAACTGCTCTATGAAAAGAAACGTTAAACTCTGTGAGTTGAACGCAAACATCACAAAGTAGTTTCTGAGAATGACTCCGTCTAGTTTTTATACGAAGATATTTCCTTTCCTACCATTCACTTCAAAGCGCTTGAAGTCTCCCCCTGAAAATTCCACAAAAAGTGTTTCCAATCTGCTCCGCCTAAAGGAAGCTTCAACTCTGTGAGTTGAATACCCACAACCCAAAGAAGTTACTGAGAATTCTTCTGTCTAGCATTATATGAAGAAATCCCGTTTCCAACGAAGGCCTCAAATACATCCAAATATCCAGTTGCTGACTTTACAAACTGAGTGTTTCCAAACTGCTCTATGAAAAGAAAGGTTAAACACTGTGACTTGAACACACACGTACCAAAGTAGTTTCTGAGAATGATTCTGTCTAGTTTGCATACGAAGATATTTCCTTTTCTACCATTGGCCTCAAAGCTCTGAAATCTCCACTTGCAAATTCCACAAAAAGAGAGTTTCAAATCTGCTGTTTCTAAAGGAAAGTTCAACTCTGAGAGTTGAATACACACCAGAAAAAGCAGTTACTGAGAAGTCTTCTGTCTAGCATTATATGAAGAAATCCCATTTCCAACGAAGACTTCAAAGAGGTCCAAATATCCACTTGCAGATTCTGCAAAAAGAGTGTTTCGAAACAATTGTATGAAAAGAAAGGTTAAACACTGTGAGTTGAACGCACACATTGCAAAGCAGTTTCTGAGAATGATTCCGTCTAATTATTATACGAAGTTATTTCCTTTTCTATCATTGGCCTCAAAGCGCTTGATACCTCCACCTGAAAATTCCACAAAAAGAGTGTTTCCAATCTACTCTGTCTAAAGGAACGTTCAACTCTGTGAGTTGAATACACACACACAGAAAGAATTCACTGAGAATTCTTCTGTCTGGCATTACATGAAGAAATCCCGTTTCCAACGAAGGCCTCAAAGAGGTCCAAATATCCACTTGCAGATTCTGCAAAAAGAGTGTTTCAAAACCACTCCATTAAAAGGAATGTTGAACTCTGTGAGTTGAATGCAAACATCACAACTCAGTTTCTGAGAATGCTTCTGACTAGATTTTATGGTAAGATATTTCCTTTTCTACCGTAGGCTTCAATGCCCTCTAAATACACCCTTGCAAATTCTACAAAGAGACTGTTTCATAACTGCTCTATAGGAAGAAAGGTTGAACTCTGTGAGTTGAATGCAGAGATCACAACGTGGTTTCTGCGAATGATTCTTTGTAGTTTTTACATGAAGATATTTCGTTGTCAACCGTAGGCTTCAAAGCACTCAAAGTATTCACTTGGAACTTTTACAAAAAGAGTATTAGAAAACTGCTCTTTCCAAAGTAAGGTTCAACTCTGTGAGTTGAATGCACACATAACAATCAAGAAGTTTCTGAGAATTCTTCTGTCCTGGTTTATATGAAAAAATCCCGTTTCCAACGAAGGCCTCAAAGACGTTTAAATATCCACTTGCAGACTTCACAAACAGAGTGTTTCCAAACTGCTCTATGAAAAGAAAGGTTAAACTCTGTGAGTTGAACGCACACATCACAAAGTAGCTTCTGAGAATGATACTGTCTAGTTTTTATACGAAGATATTTCCTTTCTACCATTGGCGTCAAAGCGCTAGAATTCTCCACTTGCAAATTCCACAAAAAGAGTGTTTCCAATCTGCTCTGTCTAAAGGAAGGTTCAACTCTGTGAGTTGAATACACACACACAAAGAAGCTACTGAGAATTCTTTTGTCAAGAATTATAAGAAGAAATCCCGTTTCCAACGAAGGCCTCAAAGAGTTCCAAATATCCACTTGCACACTGCACAAACTAAGTCTTTCCAAACTGCTCTATGCAAAGAAATGTTCAACTCTGTGAGTTTAATACACACATCACAAAGCAGTTTCTGAGAATGATACTGTCTAGTTTTTATACGAAGATATTTCCTTTTGTACCATTGGCCTCATACTGCTAGAATTTTCCACTTGCAAATTCCACAAAAAGAGTGTTTCCAATCCGCTCTGTCTAAAGGAAGGTTCAACTCTCTGATTTGAATACATACATCCCAAAAGAAGTTACTGAGAATTCTTCTGTCTAGCATTATGTGAAGAAATCCCGTTTCCAACGAAAGCCTCAAAGAGGTCCAAATATCCAGTTGCAGAATTTACAAACTGACTGTTTCCAAACTCATCTATGAAAAGAAAGGTTAAACTCTGGGAGTTGAATGCACATATCACAAAGTAGTTCCTGAGAATGATTCTGTCTAGTTTTTATACGAAGATATTTCCTTTTCCACCAATGGCCTCAAAGTGCTTGAAATCTCCCCTTGCAAATTCCACAGACAAGTGTTTCAAATCTGCACTGTCTAAAGGAAGGTTCAACCCTGTGAGTTGAATACACACACACAGAAAAAAATTCACTGAGAATTCTATTGTCTATCATTACACGAAGAAATCCCGTTTACTACGAAGGCCTCAAAGAGGTCCAAATATCCAGCTGCAGACATTACAAACTGAGTGTTTCCAAAGTGCTCTATGAAAAGAAGTGTTAAACACTGTGAGTTCAATGCACACATCCCAAAGCAGTTTCTGAGAATGATTCCGTCTATTTTTTCTACGAAGATATTTCCTTTTCTGCCGTTGGCCTCAAAGCGCTTGAAATCTCCACTTGCAAATTCCACAAAAAGAGAGTTTCAAATCTGCTCTGTCTAAAGGAAGGTTCAACTCTGTGAGTTGAATACACACCACAAAAAGAAGTTACTGAGAATTCTTCTGTCTAGCATTATATGAAAAATCCCGTTTCCAACGAAGGCCACAAAGAGGTCCAAATATCCACTTGCAGATTCTGCAAAATGAGTGTTTCCAAACTGCTCTATGAAAAGAAACGTTAAACTCTGTGAGTTGAACGCAAACATCACAAAGTAGTTTCTGAGAATGACTCCGTCTAGTTTTTATACGAAGAATATTACCTTTCCTAACATTCACTTCAAAGCGCTTGAAGTCTCCCCCTGAAAATTCCACAAAAAGTGTTTCCAATCTGCTCCGCCTAAAGGAAGCTTCAACTCTGTGAGTTGAATACCCACAACCCAAAGAAGTTACTGAGAATTCTTCTGTCTAGCACTATATGAAGAAATCCCGTTTCCAACGAAGGCCTCAAATACATCCAAATATCCAGTTGCTGACTTTACAAACTGAGTGTTTCCAAACTGCTCTATGAAAAGAAAGGTTAAACACTGTGAGTTGAACACACACGTACCAAAGTAGTTTCTGAGAATGATTCTGTCTAGTTTGCATACGAAGATATTTCCTTTTCTACCATTGACCTCAAAGCTTTGAAATCTCCACTTGCAAATTCCACAAAAAGAGAGTTTCAACTCTGCTGTTTCTAAAGGAAAGTTCAACTCTGAGAGTTGAATACACACCAGATAAAGCAGTTACTGAGAAGTCTTCTGTCTAGCATTATATGAAGAAATCCCATTTCCAACGAAGACTTCAAAGAGGTCCAAATATCCACTTGCAGATTCTGCAAAAAGAGTGTTTCGAAACAACTGTATGAAAAGAAAGGTTAAACACTGTGAGTTGAACGCACACATTGCAAAGCAGTTTCTGAGAATGATTCCGTCTAATTATTATACGAAGGTATTTCCTTTTCTATCATTGGCCTCAAAGCGCTTGATACCTCCACCTGAAAATTCCACAAAAAGAGTGTTTCCAATCTACTCTGTCTAAAGGAACGTTCAACTCTGTGAGTTGAATACACACACACAGAAAGAATTCACTGAGAATTCTTCTGTCTGGCATTACATGAAGAAATTCCGTTTCCAACGAAGGCCTCAAAGAGGTCCAAATATCCACTTGCAGATTCTGCAAAAAGAGTGTTTCAAAACCGCTCCATTAAAAGGAATGTTGAACTCTGTGAGTTGAATGCAAACATCACAACTCAGTTTCTGAGAATGCTTCTGACTAGATTTTATGGTAAGATATTTCCTTTTCTACCGTAGGCTTCAATGTCCTCTAAATACACCCTTGCAAATTCTACAAAGAGACTGTTTCATAACTGCTCTATAGGAAGAAAGGTTCAACTCTGTGAGTTGAATGCAGAGATCACAACGTGGTTTCTGCGAATGATTCTTTGTAGTTTTTACATGAAGATATTTCGTTGTCAACCGTAGGCTTCAAAGCACTCAAAGTATTCACTTGGAACTTTTACAAAAAGAGTGTTAGAAAACTGCTCTTTCCAAAGTAAGGTTCAAATCTGTGAGTTGAATGCACACATAACAATCAAGAAGTTTCTGAGAATTCTTCTGTCCTGGTTTATATGAACAAATCCCGTTTCCAACGAAGGCCTCAAAGACGTTTAAATATCCACTTGCAGACTTCACAAACAGAGTGTTTCCAAACTGCTCTATGAAAAGAAAGGTTAAACTCTGTGAGTTGAACGCACACATCACAAAGTAGTTTCTGAGAATGATACTGTCTAGTTTTTATACGAAGATATTTCCTTTCTACCATTGGCGTCAAAGCGCTAGAATTCTCCACTTGCAAATTCCACAAAAAGAGTGTTTCCAATCTGCTCTGTCTAAAGGAAGGTTCAACTCTGTGAGTTGAATACACACACACAAAGAAGCTACTGAGAATTCTTTTGTCAAGAATTATAAGAAGAAATCCCGTTTCCAACGAAGGCCTCAAAGAGTTCCAAATATCCACTTGCACACTGCACAAACTAAGTCTTTCCAAACTGCTCTATGCAAAGAAATGTTCAACTCTGTGAGTTTAATACACACATCACAAAGCAGTTTCTGAGAATGATACTGTCTAGTTTTTATACGAAGATATTTCCTTTTGTACCATTGGCCTCATACTGCTAGAATTTTCCACTTGCAAATTCCACAAAAAGAGTGTTTCCAATCCGCTCTGTCTAAAGGAAGGTTCAACTCTCTGATTTGAATACATACATCCCAAAAGAAGTTACTGAGAATTCTTCTGTCTAGCATTATGTGAAGAAATCCCGTTTCCAACGAAAGCCTCAAAGAGGTCCAAATATCCAGTTGCAGAATTTACAAACTGACTGTTTCCAAACTCATCTATGAAAAGAAAGGTTAAACTCTGTGAGTTGAATGCACATATCACAAAGTAGTTCCTGAGAATGATTCTGTCTAGTTTTTATACGAAGATATTTCCTTTTCCACCAATGGCCTCAAAGTGCTTGAAATCTCCCCTTGCAAATTCCACAGACAAGTGTTTCAAATCTGCACTGTCTAAAGGAAGGTTCAACCCTGTGAGTTGAATACACACACACAGAAAAAAATTCACTGAGAATTCTATTGTCTATCATTACACGAAGAAATCCCGTTTACCACGAAGGCCTCAAAGAGGTCCAAATATCCAGCTGCAGACATTACAACCTGAGTGTTTCCAAAGTGCTCTATGAAAAGAAGTGTTAAACACTGTGAGTTCAATGCACACATCCCAAAGCAGTTTCTGAGAATGATTCCGTCTATTTTTTCTACGAAGATATTTCCTTTTCTGCCGTTGGCCTCAAAGCGCTTGAAATCTCCACTTGCAAATTCCACAAAAAGAGAGTTTCAAATCTGCTCTGTCTAAAGGAAGGTTCAACTCTGTGAGTTGAATACACACCACAAAAAGAAGTTACTGAGAATTCTTCTGTCTAGCATTATATGAAAAATCCCGTTTCCAACGAAGGCCACAAAGAGGTCCAAATATCCACTTGCAGATTCTGCAAAAAGAGTGTTTCCAAACTGCTCTATGAAAAGAAACGTTAAACTCTGTGAGTTGAACGCAAACATCACAAAGTAGTTTCTGAGAATGACTCCGTCTAGTTTTTATACGAAGATATTTCCTTTCCTACCATTCACTTCAAAGCGCTTGAAGTCTCCCCCTGAAAATTCCACAAAAAGTGTTTCCAATCTGCTCCGCCTAAAGGAAGCTTCAACTCTGTGACTTGAATACCCACAACCCAAAGAAGTTACTGAGAATTCTTCTGTCTAGCATTATATGAAGAAATCCCGTTTCCAACGAAGGCCTCAAATACATCCAAATATCCAGTTGCTGACTTTACAAACTGAGTGTTTCCAAACTGCTCTATGAAAAGAAAGGTTAAACACTGTGAGTTGAACACACACGTACCAAAGTAGTTTCTGAGAATGATTCTGTCTAGTTTGCATACGAAGATATTTCCTTTTCTACCATTGGCCTCAAAGCTCTGAAATCTCCACTTGCAAATTCCACAAAAAGAGAGTTTCAAATCTGCTGTTTCTAAAGGAAAGTTCAACTCTGAGAGTTGAATACACACCAGAAAAAGCAGTTACTGAGAAGTCTTCTCTCTAGCATTGTATGAAGAAATCCCATTTCCAACGAAGACTTCAAAGAGGTCCAAATATCCACTTGCAGATTCTGCAAAAAGAGTGTTTCGAAACAACTGTATGAAAAGAAAGGTTAAACACTGTGAGTTGAACGCACACATTGCAAAGCAGTTTCTGAGAATGATTCCGTCTAATTATTATACCGAAGGTATTTCCTTTTCTATCATTGGCCTCAAAGCGCTTGATACCTCCACCTGAAAATTCCACAAAAAGAGTGTTTCCAATCTACTCTGTCTAAAGGAACGTTCAACTCTGTGAGTTGAATACACACACACAGAAAGAATTCACTGAGAATTCTTCTGTCTGGCATTACATGAAGAAATCCCGTTTCCAACGAAGGCCTCAAAGAGGTCCAAATATCCACTTGCAGATTCTGCAAAAAGAGTGTTTCAAAACCGCTCCATTAAAAGGAATGTTGAACTCTGTGAGTTGAATGCAAACATCACAACTCAGTTGCTGAGAATGCTTCTGACTAGATTTTATGGTAAGATATTTCCTTTTCTACCGTAGGCTTCAATGCCCTCTAAATACACCCTTGCAAATTCTACAAAGAGACTGTTTCATAACTGCTCTATAGGAAGAAAGGTTGAACTCTGTGAGTTGAATGCAGAGATCACAACGTGGTTTCTGCGAATGATTCTTTGTAGTTTTTACATGAAGATATTTCGTTGTCAACCGTAGGCTTCAAAGCACTCAAAGTATTCACTTGGAACTTTTACAAAAAGAGTGTTAGAAAACTGCTCTTTCCAAAGTAAGGTTCAACTCTGTGAGTTGAATGCACACATAACAATCAAGAAGTTTCTGAGAATTCTTCTGTCCTGGTTTATATGAAGAAATCCCGTTTCCAACGAAGGCCTCAAAGACGTTTAAATATCCACTTGCAGACTTCACAAACAGAGTGTTTCCAAACTGCTCTATGAAAAGAAAGGTTAAACTCTGTGAGTTGAACGCACACATCACAAAGTAGCTTCTGAGAATGATACTGTCTAGTTTTTATACGAAGATATTTCCTTTCTACCATTGGCGTCAAAGCGCTAGAATTCTCCACTTGCAAATTCCACAAAAAGAGTGTTTCCAATCTGCTCTGTCTAAAGGAAGGTTCAACTCTGTGAGTTGAATACACACACACAAAGAAGCTACTGAGAATTCATTTGTCAAGAATTATAAGAAGAAATCCCGTTTCCAACGAAGGCCTCAAAGAGTTCCAAATATCCACTTGCACACTGCACAAACTAAGTCTTTCCAAACTGCTCTATGCAAAGAAATGTTCAACTCTGTGAGTTTAATACACACATCACAAAGCAGTTTCTGAGAATGATTACTGTCTAGTTTTTATACGAAGATATTTCCTTTTGTACCATTGGCCTCATACTGCTAGAATTTTCCACTTGCAAATTCCACAAAAAGAGTGTTTCCAATCCGCTCTGTCTAAAGGAAGGTTCAACTCTCTGATTTGAATACATACATCCCAAAAGAAGTTACTGAGAATTCTTCTGTCTAGCATTATGTGAAGAAATCCCGTTTCCAACGAAAGCCTCAAAGAGGTCCAAATATCCAGTTGCAGAATTTACAAACTGACTGTTTCCAAACTCATCTATGAAAAGAAAGGTTAAACTCTGGGAGTTGAATGCCCATATCACAAAGTAGTTCCTGAGAATGATTCTGTCTAGTTTTCATACGAAGATATTTCCTTTTCCACCAATGGCCTCAAAGTGCTTGAAATCTCCCCTTGCAAATTCCACAGACAAGTGTTTCAAATCTGCACTGTCTAAAGGAAGGTTCAACCCTGTGAGTTGAATACACACACACAGAAAAAAATTCACTGAGAATTCTATTGTCTATCATTACACGAAGAAATCCCGTTTACTACGAAGGCCTCAAAGAGGTCCAAATATCCAGCTGCAGACATTACAAACTGAGTGTTTCCAAAGTGCTCTATGAAAAGAAGTGTTAAACACTGTGAGTTCAATGCACACATCCCAAAGCAGTTTCTGAGAATGATTCCGTCTATTTTTTCTACGAAGATATTTCCTTTTCTGCCGTTGGCCTCAAAGCGCTTGAAATCTCCACTTGCAAATTCCACAAAAAGAGAGTTTCAAATCTGCTCTGTCTAAAGGAAGGTTCAACTCTGTGAGTTGAATACACACCACAAAAAGAAGTTACTGAGAATTCTTCTGTCTAGCATTATATGAAAAATCCCGTTTCCAACGAAGGCCACAAAGAGGTCCAAATATCCACTTGCAGATTCTGCAAAAAGAGTGTTTCCAAACTGCTCTATGAAAAGAAACGTTAAACTCTGTGAGTTGAACGCAAACATCACAAAGTAGTTTCTGAGAATGACTCCGTCTAGTTTTTATACGAAGATATTTCCTTTCCTACCATTCACTTCAAAGCGCTTGAAGTCTCCCCCTGAAAATTCCACAAAAAGTGTTTCCAATCTGCTCCGCCTAAAGGAAGCTTCAACTCTGTGACTTGAATACCCACAACCCAAAGAAGTTACTGAGAATTCTTCTGTCTAGCATTATATGAAGAAATCCCGTTTCCAACGAAGGCCTCAAATACATCCAAATATCCAGTTGCTGACTTTACAAACTGAGTGTTTCCAAACTGCTCTATGAAAAGAAAGGTTAAACACTGTGAGTTGAACACACACGTACCAAAGTAGTTTCTGAGAATGATTCTGTCTAGTTTGCATACGAAGATATTTCCTTTTCTACCATTGGCCTCAAAGCTCTGAAATCTCCACTTGCAAATTCCACAAAAAGAGAGTTTCAAATCTGCTGTTTCTAAAGGAAAGTTCAACTCTGAGAGTTGAATACACACCAGAAAAAGCAGTTACTGAGAAGTCTTCTGTCTAGCATTATATGAAGAAATCCCATTTCCAACGAAGACTTCAAAGAGGTCCAAATATCCACTTGCAGATTCTGCAAAAAGAGTGTTTCGAAACAACTGTATGAAAAGAAAGGTTAAACACTGTGAGTTGAACGCACACATTGCAAAGCAGTTTCTGAGAATGATTCCGTCTAATTATTATACGAAGGTATTTCCTTTTCTATCATTGGCCTCAAAGCGCTTGATACCTCCACCTGAAAATTCCACAAAAAGAGTGTTTCCAATCTACTCTGTCTAAAGGAACGTTCAACTCTGTGAGTTGAATACACACACACAGAAAGAATTCACTGAGAATTCTTCTGTCTGGCATTACATGAAGAAATCCCGTTTCCAACGAAGGCCTCAAAGAGGTCCAAATATCCACTTGCAGATTCTGCAAAAAGAGTGTTTCAAAACCGCTCCATTAAAAGGAATGTTGAACTCTGTGAGTTGAATGCAAACATCACAACTCAGTTTCTGAGAATGCTTCTGACTAGATTTTATGGTAAGATATTTCCTTTTCTACCGTAGGCTTCAATGCCCTCTAAATACACCCTTGCAAATTCTACAAAGAGACTGTTTCATAACTGCTCTACAGGAAGAAAGGTTCAACTCTGTGAGTTGAATGCAGAGATCACAACGTGGTTTCTGCGAATGATTCTTTGTAGATTTTACATGAAGATATTTCGTTGTCAACCGTAGGCTTCAAAGCACTCAAAGTATTCACTTGGAACTTTTACAAAAAGAGTGTTAGAAAACTGCTCTTTCCAAAGTAAGGTTCAACTCTGTGAGTTGAATGCACACATAACAATCAAGAAGTTTCTGAGAATTCTTCTGTCCTGGTTTATATGAAAAAATCCCGTTTCCAACGAAGGCCTCAAAGACGTTTAAATATCCACTTGCAGACTTCACAAACAGAGTGTTTCCAAACTGCTCTATGAAAACAAAGGTTAAACTCTGTGAGTTGAACGCACACATCACAAAGTAGTTTCTGAGAATGATACTGTCTAGTTTTTATACGAAGATATTTCCTTTCTACCATTGGCGTCAAAGCGCTAGAATTCTCCACTTGCAAATTCCACAAAAAGAGTGTTTCCAATCTGCTCTGTCTAAAGGAAGGTTCAACTCTGTGAGTTGAATACACACACACAAAGAAGCTACTGAGAATTCTTTTGTCAAGAATTATAAGAAGAAATCCCGTTTCCAACGAAGGCCTCAAAGAGTTCCAAATATCCACTTGCACACTGCACAAACTAAGTCTTTCCAAACTGCTCTATGCAAAGAAATGTTCAACTCTGTGAGTTTAAAACACACATCACAAAGCAGTTTCTGAGAATGATACTGTCTAGTTTTTATATGAAGATATTTCCTTTTGTACCATTGGCCTCATACTGCTAGAATTTTCCACTTGCAAATTCCACAAAAAGAGTGTTTCCAATCCGCTCTGTCTAAAGGAAGGTTCAACTCTCTGATTTGAATACATACATCCCAAAAGAAGTTACTGAGAATTCTTCTGTCTAGCATTATGTGAAGAAATCCCGTTTCCAACGAAAGCCTCAAAGAGGTCCAAATATCCAGTTGCAGAATTTACAAACTGACTGTTTCCAAACTCATCTATGAAAAGAAAGGTTAAACTCTGGGAGTTGAATGCACATATCACAAAGTAGTTCCTGAGAATGATTCTGTCTAGTTTTTATACGAAGATATTTCCTTTTCCACCAATGGCCTCAGAGTGCTTGAAATCTCCCCTTGCAAATTCCACAGACAAGTGTTTCAAATCTGCACTGTCTAAAGGAAGGTTCAACCCTGTGAGTTGAATACACACACAGAGAAAAAAATTCACTGAGAATTCTATTGTCTATCATTACACGAAGAAATCCCGTTTACTACGAAGGCCTCAAAGAGGTCCAAATATCCAGCTGCAGACATTACAAACTGAGTGTTTCCAAAGTGCTCTATGAAAAGAAGTGTTAAACACTGTGAGTTCAATGCACACATCCCAAAGCAGTTTCTGAGAATGATTCCGTCTATTTTTTCTACGAAGATATTTCCTTTTCTGCCGTTGGCCTCAAAGCGCTTGAAATCTCCACTTGCAAATTCCACAAAAAGAGAGTTTCAAATCTGCTCTGTCTAAAGGAAGGTTCAACTCTGTGAGTTGAATACACACCACAAAAAGAAGTTACTGAGAATTCTTCTGTCTAGCATTATATGAAAAATCCCGTTTCTAACGAAGGCCACAAAGAGGTCCAAATATCCACTTGCAGATTCTGCAAAAAGAGTGTTTCCAAACTGCTCTATGAAAAGAAACGTTAAACTCTGTGAGTTGAACGCAAACATCACAAAGTAGTTTCTGAGAATGACTCCGTCTAGTTTTTATACGAAGATATTTCCTTTCCTACCATTCACTTCAAAGCGCTTGAAGTCTCCCCCTGAAAATTCCACAAAAAGTGTTTCCAATCTGCTCCGCCTAAAGGAAGCTTCAACTCTGTGAGTTGAATACCCACAACCCAAAGAAGTTACTGAGAATTCTTCTGTCTAGCACTATATGAAGAAATCCCGTTTCCAACGAAGGCCTCAAATACATCCAAATATCCAGTTGCTGACTTTACAAACTGAGTGTTTCCAAACTGCTCTATGAAAAGAAAGGTTAAACACTGTGAGTTGAACACACACGTACCAAAGTAGTTTCTGAGAATGATTCTGTCTAGTTTGCATACGAAGATATTTCCTTTTCTACCAGTGGCCTCAAAGCTCTGAAATCTCCACTTGCAAATTCCACAAAAAGAGAGTTTCAAATCTGCTGTTTCTAAAGGAAAGTTCAACTCTGAGAGTTGAATACACACCAGAAAAAGCAGTTACTGAGAAGTCTTCTGTCTAGCATTGTATGAAGAAATCCCATTTCCAACGAAGACTTCAAAGAGGTCCAAATATCCACTTGCAGATTCTGCAAAAAGAGTGTTTCGAAACAACTGTATGAAAAGAAAGGTTAAACACTGTGAGTTGAACGCACACATTGCAAAGCAGTTTCTGAGAATGATTCCGTCTAATTATTATACGAAGGTATTTCCTTTTCTATCATTGGCCTCAAAGCGCTTGATACCTCCACCTGAAAATTCCACAAAAAGAGTGTTTCCAATCTACTCTGTCTAAAGGAACGTTCAACTCTGTGAGTTGAATACACACACACAGAAAGAATTCACTGAGAATTCTTCTGTCTGGCATTACATGAAGAAATCCCGTTTCCAACAAAGGCCTCAAAGAGGTCCAAATATCCACTTGCAGATTCTGCAAAAAGAGTGTTTCAAAACCGCTCCATTAAAAGGAATGTTGAACTCTGTGAGTTGAATGCAAACATCACAACTCAGTTGCTGAGAATGCTTCTGACTAGATTTTATGGTAAGATATTTCCTTTTCTACCGTAGGCTTCAATGCCCTCTAAATACACCCTTGCAAATTCTACAAAGAGACTGTTTCATAACTGCTCTATAGGAAGAAAGGTTGAACTCTGTGAGTTGAATGCAGAGATCACAACGTGGTTTCTGCGAATGATTCCTTGTAGTTTTTACATGAAGATATTTCGTTGTCAACCGTAGGCTTCAAAGCACTCAAAGTATTCACTTGGAACTTTTACAAAAAGAGTGTTAGAAAACTGCTCTTTCCAAAGTAAGGTTGAACTCTGTGAGTTGAATGCACACATAACAATCAAGAAGTTTCTGAGAATTCTTCTGTCCTGGTTTATATGAAAAAATCCCGTTTCCAACGAAGGCCTCAAAGACGTTTAAATATCCACTTGCAGACTTCACAAACAGAGGGTTTCCAAACTGCTCTATGAAAAGAAAGGTTAAACTCTGTGAGTTGAACGCACACATCACAAAGTAGCTTCTGAGAATGATACTGTCTAGTTTTTATACGAAGATATTTCCTTTTGTACCATTGGCCTCATACTGCTAGAATTTTCCACTTGCAAATTCCACAAAAAGAATGTTTCCAATCTGCTCTGTCTAAAGGAAGGTTCAACTCTGTGAGTTGAGTACACACACACAAAGAAGCTACTGAGAATTCTTTTGTCAAGAATTATAAGAAGAAATCCCGTTTCCAACGAAGGCCTCAAAGAGTTCCAAATATCCACTTGCACACTGCACAAACTAAGTCTTTCCAAACTGCTCTATGCAAAGAAATGTTCAACTCTGTGAGTTTAATTCACACATCACAAAGCAGTTTCTGAGAACGATACTGTCTAGTTTTTATACGAAGATATTTCCTTTTGTACCATTGGCCTCATACTGCTAGAATTTTCCACTTGCAAATTCCACAAAAAGAGTGTTTCCAATCCGCTCTGTCTAAAGGAAGGTTCAACTCTCTGATTTGAATACATACATCCCAAAAGAAGTTACTGAGAATTCTTCTGTCTAGCATTATGTGAAGAAATCCCGTTTCCAACGAAAGCCTCAAAGAGGTCCAAATATCCAGTTGCAGAATTTACAAACTGACTGTTTCCAAACTCATCTATGAAAAGAAAGGTTAAACTCTGGGAGTTGAATGCCCATATCACAAAGTAGTTCCTGAGAATGATTCTGTCTAGTTTTCATACGAAGATATTTCCTTTTCCACCAATGGCCTCAAAGTGCTTGAAATCTCCCCTTGCAAATTCCACAGACAAGTGTTTCAAATCTGCACTGTCTAAAGGATGGTTCAACCCTGTGAGTTGAATACACACACACAGAAAAAAATTCACTGAGAATTCTATTGTCTATCATTACACGAAGAAATCCCGTTTACTACGAAGGCCTCAAAGAGGTCCAAATATCCAGCTGCAGACATTACAAACTGAGTGTTTCCAAAGTGCTCTATGAAAAGAAGTGTTAAACACTGTGAGTTCAATGCACACATCCCAAAGCAGTTTCTGAGAATGATTCCGTCTATTTTTTCTACGAAGATATTTCCTTTTCTGCCGTTGGCCTCAAAGCGCTTGAAATCTCCACTTGCAAATTCCACAAAAAGAGAGTTTCAAATCTGCTCTGTCTAAAGGAAGGTTCAACTCTGTGAGTTGAATACACACCACAAAAAGAAGTTACTGAGAATTCTTCTGTCTAGCATTATATGAAAAATCCCGTTTCCAACGAAGGCCACAAAGAGGTCCAAATATCCACTTGCAGATTCTGCAAAAAGAGTGTTTCCAAACTGCTCTATGAAAAGAAACGTTAAACTCTGTGAGTTGAACGCAAACATCACAAAGTAGTTTCTGAGAATGACTCCGTCTAGTTTTTATACGAAGATATTTCCTTTCCTACCATTCACTTCAAAGCGCTTGAAGTCTCCCCCTGAAAATTCCACAAAAAGTGTTTCCAATCTGCTCCGCCTAAAGGAAGCTTCAACTCTGTGAGTTGAATACCCACAACCCAAAGAAGTTACTGAGAATTCTTCTGTCTAGCATTATATGAAGAAATCCCGTTTCCAACGAAGGCCTCAAATACATCCAAATATCCAGTTGCTGACTTTACAAACAGTGTTTCCAAACTGCTCTATGAAAAGAAAGGTTAAACACTGTGAGTTGAACACACACGTACCAAAGTAGTTTCTGAGAATGATTCTGTCTAGTTTGCATACGAAGATATTTCCTTTTCTACCATTGGCCTCAAAGCTCTGAAATCTCCACTTGCAAATTCCACAAAAAGAGAGTTTCAACTCTGCTGTTTCTAAAGGAAAGTTCAACTCTGAGAGTTGAATACACACCAGAAAAAGCAGTTACTGAGAAGTCTTCTGTCTAGCATTATATGAAGAAATCCCATTTCCAACGAAGACTTCAAAGAGGTCCAAATATCCACTTGCAGATTCTGCAAAAAGAGTGTTTCGAAACAACTGTATGAAAAGAAAGGTTAAACACTGTGAGTTGAATGCACACATTGCAAAGCAGTTTCTGAGAATGATTCCGTCTAATTATTATACGAAGGTATTTCCTTTTCTATCATTGGCCTCAAAGCGCTTGATACCTCCACCTGAAAATTCCACAAAAAGAGTGTTTCCAATCTACTCTGTCTAAAGGAACGTTCAACTCTGTGAGTTGAATACACACACACAGAAAGAATTCACTGAGAATTCTTCTGTCTGGCATTACATGAAGAAATCCCGTTTCCAACGAAGGCCTCAAAGAGGTCCAAATATCCACTTGCAGATTCTGCAAAAAGAGTGTTTCAAAACCGCTCCATGAAAAGGAATGTTGAACTCTGTGAGTTGAATGCAAACATCACAACTCAGTTGCTGAGAATGCTTCTGACTAGATTTTATGGTAAGATATTTCCTTTTCTACCGTAGGCTTCAATGCCCTCTAAATACACCCTTGCAAATTCTACAAAGAGACTGTTTCATAACTGCTCTATAGGAAGAAAGGTTCAACTCTGTGAGTTGAATGCAGAGATCACAACGTGGTTTCTGCGAATGATTCTTTGTAGTTTTTACATGAAGATATTTCGTTGTCTACCGTAGGCTACAAAGCACTCAAAGTATTCACTTGGAACTTTTACAAAAAGAGTGTTAGAAAACTGCTCTTTCCAAAGTAAGGTTCAACTCTGTGAGTTGAATGCACACATAACAATCAAGAAGTTTCTGAGAATTCTTCTGTCCTGGTTTATATGAAAAAATCCCGTTTCCAACGAAGGCCTCAAAGACGTTTAAATATCCACTTGCAGACTTCACAAACAGAGGGTTTCCAAACTGCTCTATGAAAAGAAAGGTTAAACTCTGTGAGTTGAACGCACACATCACAAAGTAGCTTCTGAGAATGATACTGTCTAGTTTTTATACGAAGATATTTCCTTTCTACCATTGGCGTCAAAGCGCTAGAATTCTCCACTTGCAAATTCCACAAAAAGAGTGTTTCCAATCTGCTCTGTCTAAAGGAAGGTTCAACTCTGTGAGTTGAATACACACACACAAAGAAGCTACTGAGAATTCTTTTGTCAAGAATTATAAGAAGAAATCCCGTTTCCAACGAAGGCCTCAAAGAGTTCCAAATATCCACTTGCACACTGCAAAAACTAAGTCTTTCCAAACTGCTCTATGCAAAGAAATGTTCAACTCTGTGAGTTTAATTCACACATCACAAAGCAGTTTCTGAGAATGATACTGTCTAGTTTTTATACGAAGATATTTCCTTTTGTACCATTGGCCTCATACTGCTAGAATTTTCCACTTGCAAATTCCACAAAAAGAGTGTTTCCAATCCGCTCTGTCTAAAGGAAGGTTCAACTCTCTGATTTGAATACATACATCCCAAAAGAAGTTACTGAGAATTCTTCTGTCTAGCATTATGTGAAGAAATCCCGTTTCCAACGAAAGCCTCAAAGAGGTCCAAATATCCAGTTGCAGAATTTACAAACTGACTGTTTCCAAACTCATCTATGAAAAGAAAGGTTAAACTCTGGGAGTTGAATGCCCATATCACAAAGTAGTTCCTGAGAATGATTCTGTATAGTTTTCATACGAAGATATTTCCTTTTCCACCAATGGCCTCAAAGTGCTTGAAATCTCCCCTTGCAAATTCCACAGACAAGTGTTTCAAATCTGCACTGTCTAAAGGATGGTTCAACCCTGTGAGTTGAATACACACACACAGAAAAAAATTCACTGAGAATTCTATTGTCTATCATTACACGAAGAAATCCCGTTTACTACGAAGGCCTCAAAGAGGTCCAAATATCCAGCTGCAGACATTATAAACTGAGTGTTTCCAAAGTGCTCTATGAAAAGAAGTGTTAAACACTGTGAGTTCAATGCACACATCCCAAAGCAGTTTCTGAGAATGATTCCGTCTATTTTTTCTACGAAGATATTTCCTTTTCTGCCGTTGGCCTCAAAGCGCTTGAAATCTCCACTTGCAAATTCCACAAAAAGAGAGTTTCAAATCTGCTCTGTCTAAAGGAAGGTTCAACTCTGTGAGTTGAATACACACCACAAAAAGAAGTTACTGAGAATTCTTCTGTCTAGCATTATATGAAAAATCCCGTTTCCAACGAAGGCCACAAAGAGGTCCAAATATCCACTTGCAGATTCTGCAAAAAGAGTGTTTCCAAACTGCTCTATGAAAAGAAACGTTAAACTCTGTGAGTTGAACGCAAACATCACAAAGTAGTTTCTGAGAATGACTCCGTCTAGTTTTTATACGAAGATATTTCCTTTCCTACCATTCACTTCAAAGCGCTTGAAGTCTCCCCCTGAAAATTCCACAAAAAGTGTTTCCAATCTGCTCCGCCTAAAGGAAGCTTCAACTCTGTGACTTGAATACCCACAACCCAAAGAAGTTACTGAGAATTCTTCTGTCTAGCACTATATGAAGAAATCCCGTTTCCAACGAAGGCCTCAAATACATCCAAATATCCAGTTGCTGACTTTACAAACTGAGTGTTTCCAAACTGCTCTATGAAAAGAAAGGTTAAACACTGTGAGTTGAACACACACGTACCAAAGTAGTTTCTGAGAATGATTCTGTCTCGTTTGCATACGAAGATATTTCCTTTTCTACCATTGGCCTCAAAGCTTTGAAATCTCCACTTGCAAATTCCACAAAAAGAGAGTTTCAACTCTGCTGTTTCTAAAGGAAAGTTCAACTCTGAGAGTTGAATACACACCAGAAAAAGCAGTTACTGAGAAGACTTCTGTCTAGCATTATATGAAGAAATCCCATTTCCAACGAAGACTTCAAAGAGGTCCAAATATCCACTTGCAGATTCTGCAAAAAGAGTGTTTCGAAACAAAACTGTATGAAAAGAAAGGTTAAACACTGTGAGTTGAACGCACACATTGCAAAGCAGTTTCTGAGAATGATTCCGTCTAATTATTATACGAAGGTATTTCCTTTTCTATCATTGGCTTCAAAGCGCTTGATACCTCCACCTGAAAATTCCACAAAAAGAGTGTTTCCAATCTACTCTGTCTAAAGGAACGTTCAACTCTGTGAGTTGAATACACGCACACAGAAAGAATTCACTGAGAATTCTTCTGTCTGGCATTACATGAAGAAATCCCGTTTCCAACGAAGGCCTCAAAGAGGTCCAAATATCCACTTGCAGATTCTGCAAAAAGAGTGTTTCAAAACCGCTCCATTAAAAGGAATGTTGAACTCTGTGAGTTGAATGCAAACATCACAACTCAGTTTCTGAGAATGCTTCTGACTAGATTTTATGGTAAGATATTTCCTTTTCTACCGTAGGCTTCAATGCCCTCTAAATACACCCTTGCAAATTCTACAAAGAGACTGTTTCATAACTGCTCTATAGGAAGAAAGGTTCAACTCTGTGAGTTGAATGCAGAGATCACAACGTGGTTTCTGCGAATGATTCTTTGTAGTTTTTACATGAAGATATTTCGTTGTCAACCGTAGGCTTCAAAGCACTCAAAGTATTCACTTGGAACTTTTACAAAAAGAGTGTTAGAAAACTGCTCTTTCCAAAGTAAGGTTCAACTCTGTGAGTTGAATGCACACATAACAATCAAGAAGTTTCTGAGAATTCTTCTGTCCTGGTTTATATGAAAAAATCCCGTTTCCAACGAAGGCCTCAAAGACGTTTAAATATCCACTTGCAGACTTCACAAACAGAGGGTTTCCAAACTGCTCTATGAAAAGAAAGGTTAAACTCTGTGAGTTGAACGCACACATCACAAAGTAGCTTCTGAGAATGATACTGTCTAGTTTTTATACGAAGATATTTCCTTTCTACCATTGGCGTCAAAGCGCTAGAATTCTCCACTTGCAAATTCCACAAAAAGAGTGTTTCCAAACCGCTCTGTCTAAAGGAAAGTTCAACTCTCTGATTTGAATACATACATCCCAAAAGAAGTTACTGAGAATTCTTTTTTCAAGAAATTATAAGAAGAAATCCCGTTTCCAACGAAGGCCTCAAAGAGTTCCAAATATCCACTTGCACACTGCACAAACTAAGTCTTTCCAAACTGCTCTATGCAAAGAAATGTTCAACTCTGTGAGTTTAATACACACATCACAAAGCAGTTTCTGAGAATGATACTGTCTAGTTTTTATACGAAGATATTTCCTTTTGTACCATTGGCCTCATACTGCTAGAATTTTCCACTTGCAAATTCCACAAAAAGAGTGTTTCCAATCCGCTCTGTCTAAAGGAAGGTTCAACTCTCTGATTTGAATACATACATCCCAAAAGAAGTTACTGAGAATTCTTCTGTCTAGCATTATGTGAAGAAATCCCGTTTCCAACGAAAGCCTCAAAGAGGTCCAAATATCCAGTGGCAGAATTTACAAACTGACTGTTTCCAAACTCATCTATGAAAAGAAAGGTTAAACTCTGGGAGTTGAATGCACATATCACAAAGTAGTTCCTGAGAATGATTCTGTCTAGTTTTTATACGAAGATATTTCCTTTTCCACCAATGGCCTCAAAGTGCTTGAAATCTCCCCTTGCAAATTCCACAGACAAGTGTTTCAAATCTGCACTGTCTAAAGGAAGGTTCAACCCTGTGAGTTGAATACACACACACAGAAAAAAATTCACTGAGAATTCTATTGTCTATCATTACACGAAGAAATCCCGTTTACTACGAAGGCCTCAAAGAGGTCCAAATATCCAGCTGCAGACATTACAAACTGAGTGTTTCCAAAGTGCTCTATGAAAAGAAGTGTTAAACACTGTGAGTTCAATGCACACATCCCAAAGCAGTTTCTGAGAATGATTCCGTCTATTTTTTCTACGAAGATATTTCCTTTTCTGCCGTTGGCCTCAAAGCGCTTGAAATCTCCACTTGCAAATTCCACAAAAAGAGAGTTTCAAATCTGCTCTGTCTAAAGGAAGGTTCAACTCTGTGAGTTGAATACACACCACAAAAAGAAGTTACTGAGAATTCTTCTGTCTAGCATTATATGAAAAATCCCGTTTCCAACGAAGGCCACAAAGAGGTCCAAATATCCACTTGCAGATTCTGCAAAAAGAGTGTTTCCAAACTGCTCTATGAAAAGAAACGTTAAACTCTGTGAGTTGAACGCAAACATCACAAAGTAGTTTCTGAGAATGACTCCGTCTAGTTTTTATACGAAGATATTTCCTTTCCTACCATTCACTTCAAAGCGCTTGAAGTCTCCCCCTGAAAATTCCACAAAAAGTGTTTCCAATCTGCTCCGCCTAAAGGAAGCTTCAACTCTGTGACTTGAATACCCACAACCCAAAGAAGTTACTGAGAATTCTTCTGTCTAGCATTATATGAAGAAATCCCGTTTCCAACGAAGGCCTCAAATACATCCAAATATCCAGTTGCTGACTTTACAAACTGAGTGTTTCCAAACTGCTCTATGAAAAGAAAGGTTAAACACTGTGAGTTGAACACACACGTACCAAAGTAGTTTCTGAGAATGATTCTGCCTAGTTTGCATACGAAGATATTTCCTTTTCTACCATTGGCCTCAAAGCTCTGAAATCTCCACTTGCAAATTCCACAAAAAGAGAGTTTCAAATCTGCTGTTTCTAAAGGAAAGTTCAACTCGGAGAGTTGAATACACACCAGAAAAAGCAGTTACTGAGAAGTCTTCTGTCTAGCATTATATGAAGAAATCCCATTTCCAACGAAGACTTCAAAGAGGTCCAAATATCCACTTGCAGATTCTGCAAAAAGAGTGTTTCGAAACAACTGTATGAAAAGAAAGGTTAAACACTGTGAGTTGAACGCACACATTGCAAAGCAGTTTCTGAGAATGATTCTGTCTAATTATTATACGAAGGTATTTCCTTTTCTATCATTGGCCTCAAAGCGCTTGATACCTCCACCTGAAAATTCCACAAAAAGAGTGTTTCCAATCTACTCTGTCTAAAGGAACGTTCAACTCTGTGAGTTGAATACACACACACAGAAAGAATTCACTGAGAATTCTTCTGTCTGGCATTACATGAAGAAATCCCGTTTCCAACGAAGGCCTCAAAGAGGTCCAAATATCCACTTGCAGATTCTGCAAAAAGAGTGTTTCAAAACCGCTCCATTAAAAGGAATGTTGAACTCTGTGAGTTGAATGCAAACATCACAACTCAGTTTCTGAGAATGCTTCTGACTAGATTTTATGGTAAGATATTTCCTTTTCTACCGTAGGCTTCAATGCCCTCTAAATACACCCTTGCAAATTCTACAAAGAGACTGTTTCATAACTGCTCTATAGGAAGAAAGGTTGAACTCTGTGAGTTGAATGCAGAGATCACAACGTGGTTTCTGCGAATGATTCTTTGTAGTTTTTACATGAAGATATTTCGTTGTCAACCGTAGGCTTCAAAGCACTCAAAGTATTCACTTGGAACTTTTACAAAAAGAGTGTTAGAAAACTGCTCTTTCCAAAGTAAGGTTCAACTCTGTGAGTTGAATGCACACATAACAATCAAGAAGTTTCTGAGAATTCTTCTGTCCTGGTTTATATGAAAAAATCCCGTTTCCAACGAAGGCCTCAAAGACGTTTAAATATCCACTTGCAGACTTCACAAACAGAGGGTTTCCAAACTGCTCTATGAAAAGAAAGGTTAAACTCTGTGAGTTGAACGCACACATCACAAAGTAGCTTCTGAGAATGATACTGTCTAGTTTTTATACGAAGATATTTCCTTTCTACCATTGGCGTCAAAGCGCTAGAATTCTCCACTTGCAAATTCCACAAAAAGAGTGTTTCCAATCTGCTCTGTCTAAAGGAAGGTTCAACTCTGTGAGTTGAATACACACACACAAAGAAGCTACTGAGAATTCTTTTGTCAAGAATTATAAGAAGAAATCCCGTTTCCAACGAAGGCCTCAAAGAGTTCCAAATATCCACTTGCACACTGCACAAACTAAGTCTTTCCAAACTGCTCTATGCAAAGAAATGTTCAACTCTGTGAGTTTAATACACACATCACAAAGCAGTTTCTGAGAATGATACTGTCTAGTTTTTATACGAAGATATTTCCTTTTGTACCATTGGCCTCATACTGCTAGAATTTTCCACTTGCAAATTCCACAAAAAGAGTGTTTCCAATCCGCTCTGTCTAAAGGAAGGTTCAACTCTCTGATTTGAATACATACATCCCAAAAGAAGTTACTGAGAATTCTTCTGTCTAGCATTATGTGAAGAAATCCCGTTTCCAACGAAAGCCTCAAAGAGGTCCAAATATCCAGTTGCAGAATTTACAAACTGACTGTTTCCAAACTCATCTATGAAAAGAAAGGTTAAACTCTGGGAGTTGAATGCACATATCACAAAATAGTTCCTGAGAATGATTCTGTCTAGTTTTTATACGAAGATATTTCCTTTTCCACCAATGGCCTCAAAGTGCTTGAAATCTCCCCTTGCAAATTCCACAGACAAGTGTTTCAAATCTGCACTGTCTAAAGGAAGGTTCAACCCTGTGAGTTGAATACACACACACAGAAAAAAATTCACTGAGAATTCTATTGTCTATCATTACACGAAGAAATCCCGTTTACTACGAAGGCCTCAAAGAGGTCCAAATATCCAGCTGCAGACATTACAAACTGAGTGTTTCCAAAGTGCTCTATGAAAAGAAGTGTTAAACACTGTGAGTTCAATGCACACATCCCAAAGCAGTTTCTGAGAATGATTCCGTCTATTTTTTCTACGAAGATATTTCCTTTTCTGCCGTTGGCCTCAAAGCGCTTGAAATCTCCACTTGCAAATTCCACAAAAAGAGAGTTTCAAATCTGCTCTGTCTAAAGGAAGGTTCAACTCTGTGAGTTGAATACACACCACAAAAAGAAGTTACTGAGAATTCTTCTGTCTAGCATTATATGAAAAATCCCGTTTCCAACGAAGGCCACAAAGAGGTCCAAATATCCACTTGCAGATTCTGCAAAAAGAGTGTTTCCAAACTGCTCTATGAAAAGAAACGTTAAACTCTGTGAGTTGAACGCAAACATCACAAAGTAGTTTCTGAGAATGACTCCGTCTAGTTTTTATACGAAGATATTTCCTTTCCTACCATTCACTTCAAAGCGCTTGAAGTCTCCCCCTGAAAATTCCACAAAAAGTGTTTCCAATCTGCTCCGCCTAAAGGAAGCTTCAACTCTGTGACTTGAATACCCACAACCCAAAGAAGTTACTGAGAATTCTTCTGTCTAGCATTATATGAAGAAATCCCGTTTCCAACGAAGGCCTCAAATACATCCAAATATCCAGTTGCTGACTTTACAAACTGAGTGTTTCCAAACTGCTCTATGAAAAGAAAGGTTAAACACTGTGAGTTGAACACACACGTACCAAAGTAGTTTCTGAGAATGATTCTGTCTAGTTTGCATACGAAGATATTTCCTTTTCTACCATTGGCCTCAAAGCTCTGAAATCTCCACTTGCAAATTCCACAAAAAGAGAGTTTCAAATCTGCTGTTTCTAAAGGAAAGTTCAACTCTGAGAGTTGAATACACACCAGAAAAAGCAGTTACTGAGAAGTCTTCTGTCTAGCATTATATGAAGAAATCCCATTTCCAACGAAGACTTCAAAGAGGTCCAAATATCCACTTGCAGATTCTGCAAAAAGAGTGTTTCGAAACAACTGTATGAAAAGAAAGGTTAAACACTGTGAGTTGAACGCACACATTGCAAAGCAGTTTCTGAGAATGATTCCGTCTAATTATTATACGAAGGTATTTCCTTTTCTATCATTGGCCTCAAAGCGCTTGATACCTCCACCTGAAAATTCCACAAAAAGAGTGTTTCCAATCTACTCTGTCTAAAGGAACGTTCAACTCTGTGAGTTGAATACACACACACAGAAAGAATTCACTGAGAATTCTTCTGTCTGGCATTACATGAAGAAATCCCGTTTCCAACGAAGGCCTCAAAGAGGTCCAAATATCCACTTGCAGATTCTGCAAAAAGAGTGTTTCAAAACCGCTCCATGAAAAGGAATGTTGAACTCTGTGAGTTGAATGCAAACATCACAACTCAGTTTCTGAGAATGCTTCTGACTAGATTTTATGGTAAGATATTTCCTTTTCTACCGTAGGCTTCAATGCCCTCTAAATACA
Source organism: Homo sapiens (assembly GCF_000001405.40). Classification (NCBI taxonomy): domain Eukaryota; kingdom Metazoa; phylum Chordata; class Mammalia; order Primates; family Hominidae; genus Homo; species Homo sapiens. The sequence goes on along the minus strand of NC_000003.12, from coordinate 92,844,884 downwards.
CCCTTGCAAATTCTACAAAGAGACTGTTTCATAACTGCTCTATAGGAAGAAAGGTTCAACTCTGTGAGTTGAATGCAGAGATCACAACGTGGTTTCTGCGAATGATTCTTTGTAGTTTTTACATGAAGATATTTCGTTGTCAACCGTAGGCTTCAAAGCACTCAAAGTATTCACTTGGAACTTTTACAAAAAGAGTGTTAGAAAACTGCTCTTTCCAAAGTAAGGTTCAACTCTGTGAGTTGAATGCACACATAACAATCAAGAAGTTTCTGAGAATTCTTCTGTCCTGGTTTATATGAACAAATCCCGTTTCCAACGAAGGCCTCAAAGACGTTTAAATATCCACTTGCAGACTTCACAAACAGAGTGTTTCCAAACTGCTCTATGAAAAGAAAGGTTAAACTCTGTGAGTTGAACGCACACATCACAAAGTAGTTTCTGAGAATGATTACTGTCTAGTTTTTATACGAAGATATTTCCTTTCTACCATTGGCGTCAAAGCGCTAGAATTCTCCACTTGCAAATTCCACAAAAAGAGTGTTTCCAATCTGCTCTGTCTAAAGGAAGGTTCAACTCTGTGAGTTGAATACACACACACAAAGAAGCTACTGAGAATTCTTTTTTCAAGAAATTATAAGAAGAAATCCCGTTTCCAACGAAGGCCTCAAAGAGTTCCAAATATCCACTTGCACACTGCACAAACTAAGTCTTTCCAAACTGCTCTATGCAAAGAAATGTTCAACTCTGTGAGTTTAATACACACATCACAAAGCAGTTTCTGAGAATGATACTGTCTAGTTTTTATACGAAGATATTTCCTTTTGTACCATTGGCCTCATACTGCTAGAATTTTCCACTTGCAAATTCCACAAAAAGAGTGTTTCCAATCCGCTCTGTCTAAAGGAAGGTTCAACTCTCTGATTTGAATACATACATCCCAAAAGAAGTTACTGAGAATTCTTCTGTCTAGCATTATGTGAAGAAATCCCGTTTCCAACGAAAGCCTCAAAGAGGTCCAAATATCCAGTTGCAGAATTTACAAACTGACTGTTTCCAAACTCATCTATGAAAAGAAAGGTTGAACTCTGTGAGTTGAATGCACATATCACAAAGTAGTTCCTGAGAATGATTCTGTCTAGTTTTCATACGAAGATATTTCCTTTTCCACCAATGGCCTCAAAGTGCTTGAAATCTCCCCTTGCAAATTCCACAGACAAGTGTTTCAAATCTGCACTGTCTAAAGGAAGGTTCAACCCTGTGAGTTGAATACACACACACAGAAAAAAATTCACTGAGAATTCTATTGTCTATCATTACACGAAGAAATCCCGATTACTACGAAGGCCTCAAAGAGGTCCAAATATCCAGCTGCAGACATTACAAACTGAGTGTTTCCAAAGTGCTCTATGAAAAGAAGTGTTAAACACTGTGAGTTCAATGCACACATCCCAAAGCAGTTTCTGAGAATGATTCCGTCTATTTTTTCTACGAAGATATTTCCTTTTCTACCGTTGGCCTCAAAGCGCTTGAAGTCTCCACTTGCAAATTCCACAAAAAGAGAGTTTCAAATCTGCTCTGTCTAAAGGAAGGTTCAACTCTGTGAGTTGAATACACACCACAAAAAGAAGTTACTGAGAATTCTTCTGTCTAGCATTATATGAAAAATCCCGTTTCCAACGAAGGCCACAAAGAGGTCCAAATATCCACTTGCAGATTCTGCAAAAAGAGTGTTTCCAAACTGCTCTATGAAAAGAAACGTTAAACTCTGTGAGTTGAACGCAAACATCACAAAGTAGTTTCTGAGAATGACTCCGTCTAGTTTTTATACGAAGATATTTCCTTTCCTACCATTCACTTCAAAGCGCTTGAAGTCTCCCCCTGAAAATTCCACAAAAAGTGTTTCCAATCTGCTCCGCCTAAAGGAAGCTTCAACTCTGTGACTTGAATACCCACAACCCAAAGAAGTTACTGAGAATTCTTCTGTCTAGCATTATATGAAGAAATCCCGTTTCCAACGAAGGCCTCAAATACATCCAAATATCCAGTTGCTGACTTTACAAACTGAGTGTTTCCAAACTGCTCTATGAAAAGAAAGGTTAAACACTGTGAGTTGAACACACACGTACCAAAGTAGTTTCTGAGAATGATTCTGTCTAGTTTGCATACGAAGATATTTCCTTTTCTACCATTGGCCTCAAAGCTCTGAAATCTCCACTTGCAAATTCCACAAAAAGAGAGTTTCAAATCTGCTGTTTCTAAAGGAAAGTTCAACTCTGAGAGTTGAATACACACCAGAAAAAGCAGTTACTGAGAAGTCTTCTGTCTAGCATTATATGAAGAAATCCCATTTCCAACGAAGACTTCAAAGAGGTCCAAATATCCACTTGCAGATTCTGCAAAAAGAGTGTTTCGAAACAACTGTATGAAAAGAAAGGTTAAACACTGTGAGTTGAACGCACACATTGCAAAGCAGTTTCTGAGAATGATTCCGTCTAATTATTATACGAAGGTATTTCCTTTTCTATCATTGGCCTCAAAACGCTTGATACCTCCACCTGAAAATTCCACAAAAAGAGTGTTTCCAATCTACTCTGTCTAAAGGAACGTTCAACTCTGTGAGTTGAATACACACACACAGAAAGAATTCACTGAGAATTCTTCTGTCTGGCATTACATGAAGAAATCCCGTTTCCAACGAAGGCCTCAAAGAGGTCCAAATATCCACTTGCAGATTCTGCAAAAAGAGTGTTTCAAAACCGCTCCATTAAAAGGAATGTTGAACTCTGTGAGTTGAATGCAAACATCACAACTCAGTTTCTGAGAATGCTTCTGACTAGATTTTATGGTAAGATATTTCCTTTTCTACCGTAGGCTTCAATGCCCTCTAAATACACCCTTGCAAATTCTACAAAGAGACTGTTTCATAACTGCTCTATAGGAAGAAAGGTTCAACTCTGTGAGTTGAATGCAGAGATCACAACGTGGTTTCTGCGAATGATTCTTTGTAGTTTTTACATGAAGATATTTCGTTGTCAACCGTAGGCTTCAAAGCACTCAAAGTATTCACTTGGAACTTTTACAAAAAGAGTGTTAGAAAACTGCTCTTTCCAAAGTAAGGTTCAACTCTGTGAGTTGAATGCACACATAACAATCAAGAAGTTTCTGAGAATTCTTCTGTCCTGGTTTATATGAAAAAATCCCGTTTCCAACGAAGGCCTCAAAGACGTTTAAATATCCACTTGCAGACTTCACAAACAGAGGGTTTCCAAACTGCTCTATGAAAAGAAAGGTTAAACTCTGTGAGTTGAACGCACACATCACAAAGTAGCTTCTGAGAATGATACTGTCTAGTTTTTATACGAAGATATTTCCTTTCTACCATTGGCGTCAAAGCGCTAGAATTCTCCACTTGCAAATTCCACAAAAAGAGTGTTTCCAATCTGCTCTGTCTAAAGGAAGGTTCAACTCTGTGAGTTGAATACACACACACAAAGAAGCTACTGAGAATTCTTTTGTCAAGAATTATAAGAAGAAATCCCGTTTCCAACGAAGGCCTCAAAGAGTTCCAAATATCCACTTGCACACTGCACAAACTAAGTCTTTCCAAACTGCTCTATGCAAAGAAATGTTCAACTCTGTGAGTTTAATACACACATCACAAAGCAGTTTCTGAGAATGATACTGTCTAGTTTTTATACGAAGATATTTCCTTTTGTACCATTGGCCTCATACTGCTAGAATTTTCCACTTGCAAATTCCACAAAAAGAGTGTTTCCAATCCGCTCTGTCTAAAGGAAGGTTCAACTCTCTGATTTGAATACATACATCCCAAAAGAAGTTACTGAGAATTCTTGTCTAGCATTATGTGAAGAAATCCCGTTTCCAACGAAAGCCTCAAAGAGGTCCAAATATCCAGTTGCAGAATTTACAAACTGACTGTTTCCAAACTCATCTATGAAAAGAAAGGTTAAACTCTGTGAGTTGAATGCACATATCACAAAGTAGTTCCTGAGAATGATTCTGTCTAGTTTTTATACGAAGTTATTTCCTTTTCCACCAATGGCCTCAAAGTGCTTGAAATCTCCCCTTGCAAATTCCACAGACAAGTGTTTCAAATCTGCACTGTCTAAAGGAAGGTTCAACCCTGTGTGTTGAATACACACACACAGAAAAAAATTCACTGAGAATTCTATTGTCTATCATTACACGAAGAAATCCCGTTTACTACGAAGGCCTCAAAGAGGTCCAAATATCCAGCTGCAGACATTACAAACTGAGTGTTTCCAAAGTGCTCTATGAAAAGAAGTGTTAAACACTGTGAGTTCAATGCACACATCCCAAAGCAGTTTCTGAGAATGATTCCGTCTATTTTTTCTACGAAGATATTTCCTTTTCTACCGTTGGCCTCAAAGCGCTTGAAATCTCCACTTGCAAATTCCACAAAAAGAGAGTTTCAAATCTGCTCTGTCTAAAGGAAGGTTCAACTCTGTGAGTTGAATACACACCACAAAAAGAAGTTACTGAGAATTCTTCTGTCTAGCATTATATGAAAAATCCCGTTTCCAACGAAGGCCACAAAGAGGTCCAAATATCCACTTGCAGATTCTGCAAAAAGAGTGTTTCCAAACTGCTCTATGAAAAGAAACGTTAAACTCTGTGAGTTGAACGCAAACATCACAAAGTAGTTTCTGAGAATGACTCCGTCTAGTTTTTATACGAAGATATTTCCTTTTCTACCATTCACTTCAAAGCGCTTGAAGTCTCCCCCTGAAAATTCCACAAAAAGTGTTTCCAATCTGCTCCGCCTAAAGGAAGCTTCAACTCTGTGAGTTGAATACCCACAACCCAAAGAAGTTACTGAGAATTCTTCTGTCTAGCACTATATGAAGAAATCCCGTTTCCAACGAAGGCCTCAAATACATCCAAATATCCAGTTGCTGACTTTACAAACTGAGTGTTTCCAAACTGCTCTATGAAAAGAAAGGTTAAACACTGTGAGTTGAACACACACGTACCAAAGTAGTTTCTGAGAATGATTCTGTCTAGTTTGCATACGAAGATATTTCCTTTTCTACCATTGGCCTCAAAGCTTTGAAATCTCCACTTGCAAATTCCACAAAAAGAGAGTTTCAACTCTGCTGTTTCTAAAGGAAAGTTCAACTCTGAGAGTTGAATACACACCAGAAAAAGCAGTTACTGAGAAGTCTTCTGTCTAGCATTATATGAAGAAATCCCATTTCCAACGAAGACTTCAAAGAGGTCCAAATATCCACTTGCAGATTCTGCAAAAAGAGTGTTTCGAAACAACTGTATGAAAAGAAAGGTTAAACACTGTGAGTTGAACGCACACATTGCAAAGCAGTTTCTGAGAATGATTCCGTCTAATTATTATACGAAGGTATTTCCTTTTCTATCATTGGCCTCAAAGCGCTTGATACCTCCACCTGAAAATTCCACAAAAAGAGTGTTTCCAATCTACTCTGTCTAAAGGAACGTTCAACTCTGTGAGTTGAATACACACACACAGAAAGAATTCACTGAGAATTCTTCTGTCTGGCATTACATGAAGAAATCCCGTTTCCAACGAAGGCCTCAAAGAGGTCCAAATATCCACTTGCAGATTCTGCAAAAAGAGTGTTTCAAAACCGCTCCATTAAAAGGAATGTTGAACTCTGTGAGTTGAATGCAAACATCACAACTCAGTTTCTGAGAATGCTTCTGACTAGATTTTATGGTAAGATATTTCCTTTTCTACCGTAGGCTTCAATGCCCTCTAAATACACCCTTGCAAATTCTACAAAGAGACTGTTTCATAACTGCTCTATAGGAAGAAAGGTTCAACTCTGTGAGTTGAATGCAGAGATCACAACGTGGTTTCTGCGAATGATTCTTTGTAGTTTTTACATGAAGATATTTCGTTGTCAACCGTAGGCTTCAAAGCACTCAAAGTATTCACTTGGAACTTTTACAAAAAGAGTGTTAGAAAACTGCTCTTTCCAAAGTAAGGTTCAACTCTGTGAGTTGAATGCACACATAACAATCAAGAAGTTTCTGAGAAT